>NC_000012.12:128000629-128302253 GCF_000001405.40 Homo sapiens | reverse complement strand
ATTTGGTGCCAATGATACAATACAAAGTAAAGAAAGTTTTCTCTCACTCTCTACCCTGATCCCAGCACTTCACCAATGTCAGGCACAAAGGTGAGTGACCATCTGACACACTCGACAGACTTTAGCCATTTATAACTGATGTGGTTTGGCTGTGTCCCCACCCAAATCTCATCTTGAATTGTAGCTCCCATAATTCCCCCATGTTCTGGGAGGGAGACAGTGGGAGATAACTGAATCACAGAGGCAGCTTCCCCCATACAGTTCTCGTGGTAGTAAGTAAGTCTCATGAGATCTGATGGTTTTATAAGTGGTTTCCTCTTTCACTTGGCTCTCATTTCTCTCATCTGCCACCATGTAAGATGTGCCTTTTGCCTTCCGCCATGATTGTGAGGCCTCCCCAGCCACATGGAACTGCGAGTCCATTAAACCTCTTTTTCTTTATAAATTACCCAGTCTCAGCTATGTCTTTATCAGCAGCGTGAAAATGGACTAATACAATACCTTAGTCAGCTACCTTCACAGGACACCAGTAATACTGGAAGCCCATTCTGCATCTGTTTGCCAAGTCCCAATGCAAATGAAACGGAACTCTTTCCTCCAATCCTTGCAAATTTCTTTCCTTTCTTTGATGGCATTATAAATACTACCATCCCATCATTTCTACCTGATTCTTCAAAAATCAAGGCAAATATTCTGGCTCTGGGAGGCACATGGTTCCCAGGGCAGAAGCATGGCAGTCATTTGTAGATGTTAGAGCCAAAAAGAAGATGGGAAACTATTAGGCAGGCAGGCAACGCTAATACTAATACTACTACTAATAAATTTCGATATATTTAATTCTTTGAGATACAAGTAAAAGAACAATGTTTTTAAAATAGAAAAACTTATTTTAAGGGGCAACTACTGGGGAGGCCTGAACACAGCAATGAGGCGGGAACTAGAACTGAGGTCTGGAGAGCTAACTGGGATGAGGCAACAATAACTTGCTCAGGTATTTCTGTTTTTCTCTGCATTTCTGTGTCTATTTGATTTTTCCTCCCTACACTTCCTTTCCTTTTTCATGCTTTCCTCGCCTTCCATCTCCAAGCTCTCCTACTTCTGCTTCCCACAGCACACCTCTCCTCCATTCATTGTTTGTTTCTCATCAGTGTGCATGGTAAAAGGTAGTTGGACCATGGTCCCTGAGTTTTCTGTTCATTTGTTTTGTTTGTTTGAGACAGGGGCTTGCTCTGTCACCTGGGCTGGCATGCAGGGATGAATTCCTAGCTCACTGTAGCCTCAAACTCCTGAGCTCAAGATATCCTCCCACCTCAGCCTCCCAAGTAGCTGGGACTACAGGCATACATGACCATGTCTGACAAATTTCTGAATTTTTTTTTGTAGAGGTGGGGTCCCCCTATGTTGCCCAGGCTGGTGTTGAGGCTCCTAGCCTCAAACAATCCTCCCGCTTACGTCTCCCAAAGTGCTGGGATTACAGGATTGAGCCACGATGCACAGCTGGAGCCTGAGTTTTTAATAGGCGCTTAGCTCCACCATAAATAGAGCCTGGTATCAGCCAAGATTCCATATTTCTAGGGAAGCACATCTTCTTGGTCCAGCTTGGAATGAGTGTCCACCCCTGGTTCTTAGAACTGACTGGAGACCAGAATCACTTATGGAAAATACGGCTGCTTGGTGTCCTCTCATAGGCTTAGAGTCCTCAGTGAAAAGGCATCACTGTAACTCAGGCAAACACACTCAAGAGTGCCCACCACAACTATGCTGTGAAAAACTTTCTTCACAGAAGAAAAAATGCAGGAAGCACAAGGACACACGGAAGAGACCCCTTTCTCTCTCCCATCATAATGCCTCCTTCAAATGAGAAAAACCATGAACTCTGCTTTTCAGGAAGGTCCCAGGCTCAAGGAGATAAGTTCATGAGGCTGGAACCTGAGCCAACACTCTGTAAGCTCTTCCACCTTCCTGTTGCCAGCAATAACCCCAGGAGGAAGAACAGAGGACTTCTCCCAGTCTTTCATCACAGCGGTTTCTCTTTTAAAGCCAGTAAAAAACTGCTTAGAGGACTTCAAAAGAAGCCCAATCCCAGGGAACAAAAAGTCACTGGAGCCACCCCGCAGACTTTGGCTTACGCTTATGGCTATCTCCTTAAAGCACCACCTGCTTTGATCATGGATTTGCCCAAACATGTTTACTCTTGCTCTTACCTGTCTTGAGTTTTGTATTTCTTATTGTGTCTAGTCTAGTATTGAACACTGGCCGACTGTGTCTAGACTACACTGACGGAATTATTTAAATGTGGGCATCCTGCCCCGGTTCCACTGGCACCTAACTCCTGGTCTCTTCCTGGTGTGGGATGTGGGATGTGCCTACCCAGCTCAGTGCTAACATCTTAGAGTTATGTGAACCCACCTGCAATCACGTGTAGGGGTGAGAGGTAGGGACCACATTTCATAGAGTGAAGACCTGGAGGAAAGGAAGAACCTGGGCTGCATGCAGCTTTAGAGACCCTCGGCAGCAGGATTTTCACAAACCTTTACCTTAAGGTGACCAAGCTATACACCCTTGCCTGATTCTCTCCAACCTTCTACCAAAGTTCTCTCTATACGAAAAACAATCTGGAATTGTTTTCAAATTTCAAATTTGATTTTCTCCCATTGCTTGAGAGGAAGACAACATCTATTCTCTCACATCTCTGTTTTACTCTGTGTGTTACTGTCTCGCTTGTCTCTGGTTCTCATCTGGGTCCTCTGAACTGGCACCATCAGCTCTGTCTTTCTAAGAGCATCTCAGTAGCCATGCCATCAATAGCTGGTGAATTCCGTGTACATTGCTTAACTCAAAATCTCATGGACCAGCTCATCTAATGAGACCAGCTCATCTTTTCAAAACCAGGCATCCAGGTATACATTAACCACCCAGGGATCAGGTGTTTCTTGTGGTTGACTCAAACATGGATTCAGTGTAGAAGATGGAAATTGCATGGTATGAAACATGGCTGCCTAACAATTAGGGCTCCAAGGCAGCACAGAGCCCCTGGGACAGTGAGTCTCATGACCAATATCTCTAGTACAATTTTGAGTTTTCAGAAAATTTATCACCTTCCAAGCTCCAGAGTGATGGTTAAAAGGTAAAGGTTGAACACAGGGCTCAGGGTCAGGATACATGGATTTTCATACTAATCCTACCGTAAGCCACCGTGAGGAAGTTATCACATTCATCCCACACACATGTGCTGTTGCTCTCAGCGTTAAATACCAACACTGTATGAAAAATCCAATACCACACTGGGGAAATGATAGTACATACAACCAAATAAAAGAGAAAAAACACCCCTGTTTTCATGGAACTTCAAGTTAAATGGGGACAACATGTATGAGCACATATCTGCAATCCAGGGAAATGCTGTGCAGGACAGGTACAAGGTGCTCTACCAGCGACCTTGGTCCACTCCCCACTGGGGAAAAACATTCCCCCAAAGAAGGCAGCTGAGGTCCTCAGCATGAGTAGATGTGGATCAAAGACAACTCCAGCCTCATCTGCAAAGTTCGTTTTCTTCCCCCAAAGAAATGTCTTCCTGTGAGGATACAGAGGTAGCAGGAGGGAGGCTCTGATGGCACAGTTTAGTGTCTTCAGAGCAGTGGCTGCAGGCAGTTACCCACAGGATGCAATGGCAAAGAATTATGCAGGCACCTGCCGATGCTGGTTTCCTGGCTGTGAGTCGTACGTACCGTAGTTACGTGAGATGCAATCACCAGGGAGAGCTGGGTGAAGGGGACTTGGGGCTCTCTGTACTATTTTATGCAACTTCCTGTGAGTCTCTATTTAAAAAAAAAAGTTAAAACAAATAAACAGACAAAAAAATCAACATAACAATTGCCCTGTAGGAAGAACATTTTGCGCTGTACCAGTTGCCCTTTCGGAAGGAACACATTCAACAAAACACAATGCACATGGCCCGGGGGAGGAGAGGGCGGGAGAACCTGAGGCTGGAGAGCCTGGGGAGCTCCACCACAGAGGGTCATGGGTTAGTTTCTGGAACAATGGGAGCCGCACTGGGGTCTTAAGCAAGGGAATAACATGATTAGATGTGCATTCTCACAGGTGCTCTCTGGCAACATCCTGAACCTGTACTGGGCAGAAGGAGAGGAGATAAAATGGGATAAAAAGAGGAAAATGCTTTGTAACCTTTAAAGCTACATTCATAGCTAAAGGCGGGGTGAGATTACCCCACAGGCTGTCACACCAAACAAAAGCAAAACAGGGAAACTAACATGAAGGAGGGAATATTTTTGTAAATCATTTGATATTGAAGTCATCATCATGAGAAAACAAATATTTTGTTGGGTTTTCTTCCATTTGCTTTATGGCTAAGTACTATTTTAATTGTGAATTGTAGACAGGTTGAGCAGGGCCCCATAATTTATTTTCAGTGCTTGGGGTCTCTAAGGAGGTAAATGATTGGGTTTTAACTTTTTTTTGAAAAATTATAGAGTTTTTGCTTAAAATCATGTGGGTGTCAGAAGGAAAAAGTTCAGAAGAGATACCAAATCCTGGAAAAAGGAAAAGAACTGTGCCCACCAGGAGACACTGCTACACTCTCTGAAAAGATTTGGGGGTGAAGGGTCAGAATTAAAGTCAGACCTTCTCAGTTCAAGTCGAGTGCCTTCAAAGCCAGCTTTTGCAGGCCTTGGTTAAATGTTAACCCTAAGCAGGAGAGACTAAGTGGGAAAGATTCAACATCAGTTAAGGCAAGACAGTCACTATCCCAAGGAGGGCGAAGCTTATTAGAGACCCGGAGCCATGATAGCACCCGTAAATTACTTAGACGCATGACCAAGGAGTAATCCAATAATCCATTTATGACTTTAAATGAATCTGGCTGCACACTAAACCCCTTCTGAGTTTACAAACGTACAATATTCACAGCCACTGGCCTCCTATCGGCAGGAGGCCATCACGTCCAGCCCAACTTCTGCATGGTGTTCACAGCACAGAAAATTAACCAGAGCCAAGCAGTCAATACCATATTATCCCCTTCACTGCAGTTATTTATTCTATTTGTTGCTCTTCATTTCAAGCCAGCACCAACTGAAAAGATGGCCAGTCCAGCCCCTAAAAACAGACCCTTGCTGCTTTCTATTGAATCATGAAAGTTTAAAAAGGGGAAAACTTACATATGCACTTTGCAATTAAGAAAAAAAAAAGACCATTTGACGGAATTACAGCTGTATTTCCTACATCCATAAAAACCTGGGATTTATTTTGTCCAAAGATCACGGGGTGTGTTTTGGTGAAATATGCAGTTTGGGAAGTCTAGTCTAAATCTAGCAATTCCCAAAATGGTACAGAGATAAATATCTTTTATTTATATTATCATATATTTATTTTAATGCTGGTTAGAAGAAAACACTTATAGTATATCAAACCCTGATGTTTTAAAAATAGTTTTGCTAAATTAAAGAAATGCATCAATTTAAAGGAAAACATGAATTTCTTGCCTACTCTTGACTTTATTGCCCCATCTTCTTCCTCATGACACTCACAGTCATGAACCTGACGGAGGACAACTTCCATTCTCAGGTCCAAGTGTTGTTCTATCTATCCCTTTAAGGCGAATCCAGCTCCCTTTCTAGTGACTGGCTACAGAATGGCTCTGTGCTCTAAATATGACCAGAAAGACAGAGAGGAAAGACAGAGAGGAAATTAATGGCTGGGCTGGCCCTCCTTTGTTTTTGAGAGAAGCCTCTGTAAAGCTGGCCACTCCTTCTAGCCATAAACATATAAACTGTGTACCCTAAATACCAGTGTCATCTCTCCTGTGACCATGAGAACAACCAGTCTTGGGGTGAAGCCAGGATGTCATTAGAGAGACAGAAAGACTTTGATCATTAAGGGGAGCAATAAGCCACTGCATCAATTAACCTGGAAACCACCCTACTTCTGGAGTTGCTTTTTAAGATAATATGTTTCCTTACCATTTAAGGCAGACTGTATTCGTGTTGTTATTACTTGCAGCCCAAAGCATCCTAATTATAAAACGTGAACCTCCAATGATTGGGAAACTCAGGTCTCAATGCTGGATAGGCCCTGAGTCCTGTCTCCTGGGTTCAGGCATCAGGCCAAAAGCTTTGCATCTCAAATCAACAAATACTCTCAAAACAAGGGTGCTACTTCAGTAAATATAGGGGACAAAGAGAGACAAAGGGACTTGGACACTAGGAAGAAAGGGAGGCAAGGGGAGGTACAGAGAAAACCAATGTTCACTCATTCTTGCAAGATGCATTTCACTGCTTATTATGTGTTGAATATCCCATTACAACCTGAAGATATGGAAGGTAATAAGGAAAGGCCCATGTCTTCAAGAAATGACAGAGCAGAGAGAAAGACAGAGGAATGTACAACTAAATATGGTCTGAAAAGTACAATATTCTACAAGGATCAAGAAGGAAATAGGAGAAATTTTTAAGGTTTTTTTTTTTTAATTGGTGCTTAAAACTGAAATCTATGACTGGACTGGTCTCTGATCACTGAGCAGAATTTTATGTGGGGCTCTTATTTTTCTTCTTTCTTCAGGTTGTACCCCACCCTTTTTTCTTTCTTTTTTTTTTTTTTTTTGAAGGACTTAAAAGGCACATCAGTAACATTGGAGGGCAAGTCTAAGAAGTCGGGTAAGGAATGAAAGCATACCCAGGGGAGGGGGTGGAAGGTAGCAGGCTGTTACAGACAGGACGCCCTGGACATCACAGTTTCAAGGCGGTCATTATTTATTTTCCATGTGACCCTACACGTCTCAGTTTTCTCATCTGTAAAATGGGGATGGAACTGCCTTCCCCTCAAGTAGGTCTGAGGCTGAGAGGGAATGATGCTGATGAAAGGTCTTAGTGAATAGCTATAGCTATACCAAATATTTATTTTGGGACTGGGTGTGTTGACTCACACTTGTAATCCCATAACTTTGGGAGACTGAGGCAGGAGGACTGCTTGAGGCCAGGAGTTCGAGGCTGCGGTGAGTTGTGATTGTGCCACTGCACTCCAGCCTGGGCAACAGAGCAAGACCCTGTCTCAAACATAATATAAATTTATTTCTAGAGCTAGCTCCATACAGAATTTCAAAGAACCTTGGGGCACTTGAGTACTGGCATCTATTTGTATACAAAACAGGATGAAACAGGATAAATCATTTCTTTCTCAATTTTTTAATTTTTTTTTTTTGCTGGGGGACAAAGAAGCTTGAACTTCTTATCTATCTACCTATCTATCTATCTATTATTTATTTATTTAGGGCTCACACCAAGCATTGGTTCCTCAGATACAAGTCAAAGATGAGGAAAATGGAGGCATTAAAATATTTGAAATCTGACTACAAAATGGCTGTGTTCTAAACGTCTTTGTTCCTTGAAAATTCATGTGTTGAAATCCTCCTCTTCAGAATGGAGGTCTTAGGAGGTGGTACCTTTGGGAGGTGATGAGGTCACGGGGGTGGAGCCTCATGAATGGGATTAGGGCCCTTATAAAAGGGTCTAGGGAGATTCCTCTCCCCTCCACTGTGAGAGGACATAGGGAGAAGCCCTGTCTATGAACCAGGAAGCCGGCTCTCACCAGATAGTGAATCTGCTGGTGTCCTGATCTTGGATCTCTGGGCTCTGGAACTGCAAGAAACAAATTCCTGTTGTTTAGATGCTTCCCAGTCTCTGGTATTTTGTTAGAGCAACTAGAACAGACTAAGACAGGTGCCAATCATAAAATATCAAATTTCTTCCCATGCTCAGAGTGCCACCAGCCATTTCTCCAATGGCTTGCATTTTCTACTCTTTCCAGAATTAGAGAGGGAGAGGAAGTCAGCTGAAGCCTGAGTCCTGTTAGGGCCACCTTGCTGTGTGAGTCACTGAAGTGTGGTTTTGCTGCTGTTGAGCATTGTTGGCTGGTTTCTGCAGATTTGGTAAGCCCCAGTCTCATTCAAAAGCCCCAAAAGTGAGACGCGTGTCTGGTCTCCTTGCTCCTGTTGGTCTGCTAGGCTTGTTCTACTAGGACACCTTTGGACACCTTCCCATGGGCGGTTCACAGAGGAAGATGCTGAGCTAGGGGTGTCAGGACGCCTCTAGTGAACTGGAAGTAGATCCCATTCCTTCCATTTCTCAAGATGCCTCCTCATCCCCAGTCCCCAAAGTGAATGACTGAAGTTTCTACTGCTCTGCAAAACCCAAGATAGGTCACCATTTTATTCCATTCTGATTCCCCCAGCAGACACAACCACCTGATTCCCCTTCGGAAATATTCTGCACCAAATGAAATCCGAGTGAGGTCATTAATTATGAAAATTCACAATGCGTAATTATAATAATTACTCTGATCACATAAACATTATACCACCATGAATAATTTAATAGGAATTGTGCTTTTGAAAAGCATGGCAATTAAAATAAAACCCAGGGAGGTGACAGAGACGATGCGGGAAATATATGCTCCAGTTTGTTCAGAGGAGGCTGTGCAGTCTCCAGAATGCTCACTCTTTGCCATAAAGAATCACTCTCGACCTTAGGAGGTTGGGAGACAAAGAAGGCAATGAGAGACCTGAGAGTTTACAAATGGGCTCCACTCCTGAGAAGTGGAGATCAAGAGTTCAAAGAGAGGCTGTTTTTCCCCTAAATAAAACAAGTTCAATCATCTTTATCTTTATCCCCCAGCAAAATAAAATAAAATAAAAAATCCTGATTGAAGAAGAAATGATTCATCCTGTCTGGACACCAATTCTCAAGTGCCCCGAGGTTCTTTGAAATTCTGTAAGGAGGTAGCTCTAGAAATAAATACAAGTTTTCTGGCCTCCCGATGGGTGGTGTGTACAACTAAGCAAAACAATCAGGGTGAAGGGATTACATTTTGCACTAAAAAGAAGAAATAAGACCAATTTACCCTGTGACTTTTATTAACCATGACAAAATCTTTTTTAAGTACCTTACTAAGTTTGTGAACAAGCAGCAATTTCTGCAATGAAACGGCCCCCTGAGATTAGGGAATTAAGTTATTTGGAATGGTTGGAAAGGAGAGTTTATACTGTGGAGAGGTGCAAAATGAGACCAGAGGGAGTTTGGACCCAGTTTTTAAAGAGGATCCTCTGTCCTCACTGACAGCAATCCAGGAGACACTACAGGTTCAGATTTGCACACTCCTTACCGTTCACAAAAAGCTGAACTATTATCTTGCTGTCCGGCTTTCAAATTTTTTGAAAATCAAGGTCTACTGTAAGAATCACATTTTACAACACAAGTTGGTGCTCGTGCTTGCATATACACACACACACATACACATACCTACACCAACACACAGAAAACACAGACCTACCATGTGAAATGTGCTCTATTAGGAATAGAATTTCTATGCTATTCTGTTTATGAAAGAAAACTGCTGACAGCAACAGTCTATCAAGTTAATTCCACTGTGTCATGATCCACAGTTCTTATTGTACACTTAACAGACACTTATGAAGTGCCTCATCTAGGTACTAGGGTACCTAGGTACTAAGTACACTTATGAAGTACCTCATCTAGGAATTTAGGTACCTAGGTACTAAGTACACTTAACAGACACTTATGAATACCTCATCTAGGAACTTAGGTACCTAGGTACTAAGTACACTTAACAGACACTTATGAATACCTCATCTAGGTACTAGGGTACCTAGGTACTAAGTACACTTAATAGATATTTACAAAGTACCTGCTGTGTGCCCAGCACTCATCTAGGTACCAGGGTTTCAGTACTGGCAACAGAGACAAAATCTATGCCCACGAGGAGCTTACATTCTACTGGAACAAGTTAGAAAAAACCATTGACAAACCCATTTCTTACAACTGCTGGGTGAGGAAGTTGGGCAGGGATTGTCAAAAACAGGTTCAGGTGGGGAAGTGTGGGCCTGTCTCCCTTGTACACAGCAGGAATCTCAGGGAGGCCGGCTTTGTTTCCAAGGCTTTCCTCTAAGTTTTGCCTTTCATTCTGTTTGACCACGATTCTTTTGACTGCAAGAAACAGAAAGCAAACTTGAATGTGCATAAGAAAAAAGTGATATTTTGTCAGAATTCAGCCAGAAAAACAAAACAAAACAAAATGCTGTAGTTACTGGAACAGAAGGGCTTAAACATAGGAATTGATTACGTAGTGAGGCAAGAGTTATGAAGCAGAGACGGATGGTGAGACACCTAGATACCAGCGACAGGAGGGCACCCCGCAGCCCTAGGGGAGGAGGAACAATGGGTCCCAGGGGGTTTCCAGGGGCCAAGGCCACCCGTGGGGCAGGGTGCAAACCAGGACACAGTGCGCAGAAGCTGCCTCCGGTCAGCCGGGGTTCCTGAGACGCCCTGGCCATCACTGCAGGCAGTCCAGGAAGAAAAGCAAGAAAAGGAGAAAAGCACTGTGGCTTTCCCCACTTCAATCTCCCTCCTGTCTTCTGCCACTGCCTCAGACAGGACTAGAATGTGTCCAGAAGCCAGAAAACAAGGGAACCTGGGAGGTGCAGTTCCCTATAATCCAGAAGTGAGCAGGGGAAACAGGATGGATCTGAGGAAGGAAAGGCAGGCACTCAACCAGCACAGGACTCAACCAGCACAGGTATTGAGTGGGATTGCTCCAGGGCATATCCCTGAGTTACGGGAACAGCAGGACAACTGAGCCTTGGGAAAACAGGAAGCTAAACCAGGGACCCCAATCCCTCCCAGACTCTCCTCCCCCTTTCACCTATTTCTGCTGTTCTGGGAATCCCAGCATCATCTCCTCCCGCAGCAGGTCGGCTGCATTCACACAGTTGGTGCGGGCTGCAGGCAGCTCAGCCCCTCAGTATCAGCCCATCCAGGGGAAAAGGGCACCTGGCACTGTATGGAGATGTTTTGGTTGTCATCAGCGAGGCTGGATGCTGCTGGCATCTAGCGTGTGGGGACAGAAACTCTGCACTATAGGGTGAAAACGGTACCTACACCAGAGGGGAACTGGACTTCAAAGGACTTCATTTGTGTCATGACTCCTGGGAGGTTTGCAACACCTCTATAGATATTTATTTCTTCTTGGATGTACTTGCAGGGGAATTCTGGGATCGCCTTGCAGCTGGCTCAGACCATAAGAATGTCCCTCGAGAATTTGGGGATTCCTGTGCTGCTCGGGTCATCCAGCTCTTTAGAGGCCTAAGAGCTGCAGGACCTCACCTCACCAGGAGGATGGTGCACTCACCTACAGCACGCTCCAGTTCAGTGGCTTTCATTGTGGAAAAGATGTAAACTTCCATTTGGACCAGCAATTCTCAACTGGGAGGGGTGGGATATGTATACATCAGAATTCTGAAATGGGTTTAGCATTAAAATGCATATTCAGTCATTTCTATTATGAAATTGGGAAATCACTTATTTCTTTTTTTTTTTTTTGTTAAATGAGCCACAGAAGGCAAAGTGAATCTATTTGTTGTTCTTTTGGCTTGGAGAATAAAGAACAGGATCTTTAAGGGATCATGTTCTCTCCTCTGAGAGAAGGAGTGGAGAAAAATCTCTGGATTTTTATGTTTATTTGGAAAGGGCATATATGTTTAAAGTTGGGAAATGCTGACTTGTATGTTGGTTGATGGGCCCAAGCCCAGCAATGTCCTGGTCTGGAATAATTCAGCACCTGGCCAGGGGGGACCCTATTTGACAATTCAATGGGGCTATAACTCCCGGTGGAACAGTGCGTCACACATCTTCAGTGTCCGATATGGTTTAGCTCTGTGTCCCCACCCAAATCTCATCTTGAATTGAAATCTCCACATGTCAAGGGAGGGACCTGGTCGGGGGTGAATGGATCATGGGGGCGGCTTTCCCCATGCTGTTCTCATGATAGTGAGTTCTCATGAGATCTGATAGTTTAAAAGTGTGGCACTTCCCCCTTCACTCTCTCTCTCTCCTGCTGCCATGTAGGACGTCCCTTGCTTCCCATTTCCCATGACTGTAAGTTTCCTGAGGCCTCCCAGTTATGCTTTCTATTAAGCCTGCAGAACTGTGAGTCAACCAAACCTCTTTCCTTTATAAAATACCCAGTCTCAGGTACTTCTTTATGGCAGTATGAGAATGGACTCATACAGTGTCCCAGCATCACACGCCCTACTGGGTTTTATATGGTAGGAAATAATGTTCCTTTCTGCACCTTTGGATCCAGCCTTTCAGAATTTCAGAAAGTAATTCCTCCACCTTTTCTGGAAGCCCTTTTTTCACATTATAGGATAGGGCACGCAATCCAGAGGTTCCATCAAGGAAAGAAAAGCAGCTGATATCAGATCTGCCTGCCCATCTTCATCAGGGCCTCAGGACAGGGTTTGCCTCATGTGAAATATGAGATAATTTGAGGTGAAACATAGGACCTTTAAACATGCTATCAGTTATGTATTTAGCTTGATGTTTTGGGGAAAATGCAATTAGTATGTAAAACAGTGACTTTCATGGAAATGATTGCTTAGGGCAAAGCTCAGATTAAAAGACTTGAAATAGAGAAAAGCTGTTGTTAAGTAAATGGAAGTGCAGATGATACCAATATAGGCCAAAAATTATTGAGAATCATATAGGGCAGACTGCAAATTAGAAAATGCTGATTTAAAAGTTACCAGCAATTTTCTGTCTTTGAAGATGGGGACGTTAAATACACCTCTTGGGCCTACTTTCTTTCAGAATATTCTCCAAAATGTGTTGTGAGTGTGTGTGCTTGCATGTGTTTTCAGCTGCACCCCTATAAACCAGGTACGCCGTGTTCTTGGAGAAAACTGTAAAGTTACCATTAACTCTAATGAAGATATTCACTGTTTTGGTTAGTCACGCAAATAGATGTACTAACAGGACTGTGCCCCACGGAGTTAGGGACATTTTTAAATTCCTAAATCTGGATTTAGATTCCCTTGTTCTTAAAAACTAACGGCTAGTCACAAGGCTGCATTCACGTATGTGTGTCTGTGTGTGTGTGCGCACATGAGCATGTGTGCGTGTGTATAAGTGTGCATGTATGTTAACATGTGAGAGGGTGTGTATAGGTGCATATGCGCATTAATGAACAAG
This sequence comes from Homo sapiens, assembly GCF_000001405.40. NCBI lineage: Eukaryota > Metazoa > Chordata > Mammalia > Primates > Hominidae > Homo > Homo sapiens. The sequence goes on along the minus strand of NC_000012.12, from coordinate 128,289,198 downwards.
TGAGAGTATGCAGGTGTATGTGTGTGAGTGCATGCGTATGAGCGTGCATGTATGCATTACAGTGTGTGTTAGCGAGCATATGTATTTGTGCACGTGTGGGCACACATGTGAATGAACGTGCATGTGTGTTCATGAGTGTGTGAATGTGTGGGAGGTGCATGTGTGAATGTGAGTGTGCATGTGTGCGCTAATGAGCATGAGCGTGTGAGCACATGCATGCGTGTGTGAATGTGTGACTGTGTGGGGGGCGGTGCACACATGCAGGCCTGTATGTCTAAGCATCTTCTCCGGGGCAGTAAAAGCCAAGAAGAGCTGGCTGTCCTGGGGAAATCAAGGGAAGGAGGGGAAAGCAAGAAGATGTGAATTTCCCTCAGCCCTCACTGAAGGGAAGGTTGTAAAAGAAAAGGGCTTATTTAGCCTGTGACTGTGACACTCAGGTACAACAGCATGTGCCAGACTTCAGAGACTACAGTGGGTTTGACCCATGAATATATAAGAGTGCCAGCCTCCACAGTGACATGGGGCCCCTGTTGTCCCTCACCGTTCAGAAAGTCCTGTTGAAATTCCCACCAGCTCTGTGTCATGCTGGGGGAGCTGGGAGCCTGATCTCCTCCCCTAGTGCTGCCTGGGAGACAGCTGTGCCCATGTGGCTGTCCCAGGGAAAACTCAGTGGCAGAACTCTACTAGATAAAGAGGCAGGGCCAGAAGAAACCACTCACGCCAGAACAGGACAGCCCAGACCCAGCTGCAGGGGAGGGAAGGAGAGGAGGGTGTCCTACTCAGAGGCAGAGGGCTTCTGAGCCCTTCAGCCACAATAATGGGGACATTAAAAGTAAGAGAGGGCTGGGCGTGGTGTCTCACGCCTGTAATCCTAGCACTTTGGGAGGCCGAGGCAGGCGGATTACCTGAGGTAGGGAGTTTGAGACCAGCCTGACCAACATGGAGAAACCCCATCTCCACTAAAAATACAAAATTAGCTGGGCGTGGTGGCACATGCCTGTAATCCCAGCTACTCAGGAGGCTGGGGCAGGAGAATCATTTGAACCCGGGAGGCAGAGGTCGCGGTGAGCCGAGAGCACGCCATTGCCCTCCAGCCTGGGCAACAAGAGCAAAACTCCATCTCAGAAAAAAAAAAAAAAAAAAGTAAGAGAGGATCCTGCAGGGATAACTGTGGACAACAGTGATATTAAGACTGCACCAAACACACAATCATCCCAATTCAGAACTCAATGTCCGGAAGGGCTAGATCAATTCGAAATGAATGCAGCTATTACCTCCAAATCAACACGGATCAAATTGAGGGACATTCTTCTAAAAAACCTGGCCTGTACTCTTCAAACACGTCAGAGTTATGAAGACAAAAAAAGGCTGAGAAATTGTTTCTGATAAAAAAACACAAAGAGACATTACAAGGAAGCACAGCATGAGATGCTGGACCAACAGAAAAAATCAGTTTTCTTTGGCTTTAAATAACAGTAATGGAATAACTGGAAACATTCGAATAAAGGAGGCAGATACATAATAGTACCATAGCAATGCCATTTTACTTTGACCAATGTGATTATATCAGAGAATTGCCTTATTTTAAGGAATACACATGATAGAGGTATAATGTGTGTAACTTACTAATAATTAATTCAGAAAAATTGCACCTAGAGACACACACACAGATAGATATAGATATAGATATAGATATAGATATAGATATAGATATGCAGACAGAGGGGGAGAGAGAGAGAAACATTCAGACAAAGCTATTAAGAAAAATACTGATAAACAAACCTGGTAAATGTTAATTTGGAGGAATCTAGGTGAAAAGTATGTAAGACTCTTTGTACTATTTTTGCAACTTTTCTGAAAGCCTAAAATTATTTCCTAGTAAAAAGTTTAAGACAATATTTTGATGCAGGAAGTACTTTATACAGAGTGGGCAGGATTTAAACCAGAGGTTCTCAATGCACCCAAGGGACATTTGGCAATGGCTGGAGACATTTTTGGTTGTCATAACTGTGTGGGCAGGGAAAATGCTGCTGGCATCTAGCCCTGCACAGGACACTCCCCCACCCCAGCAATAAACAATAATCTTGCCCAACATGTCAACAGTGCTGAGGCTGAGAAACTCTGACTGCAAAACTTAAAGGAGAAGGAACAAGATTTCTCACAGACATGATCACAAGTAGTGCTGGCAAAACCGCTGCCCTTCTTGGAAAAGCAGCATCATTTGGCAGAGATAACATAGTTTTTCTTCGTCTTCTTTCTCTTATTCTCTTGACCAACATCTTTACTCTTTCTACCCCTCTCTCTCAAGTTTTCCAGGATCCTGTTCAATGGACAATAATCTCACGTGCCCGGCACTCCCTCTCTCCCTTCTTCTGGTACCAACACGTCCCTTCTTCTGGGAAGGGATCTCAAAACTCCAGCTGCATGGACTGGATGGGAACTTCAATGTCTGTGTGGATCTTGCTGCTTTGGCCTCAGGTGACTGTGTGCCCAAACTGAGCCACTTCTAGTATCTCATCCTTTCCATCAAAGTTCAGTGGTCAAAGGCAGAAATGAAAAATGGTCCTGAGGTCATAACCTAGACTATTTGTCCCACACAGCATTTAACAATTTTTTATTTTGCTGTCCACACTTGAAAGCTGCCATTTCATATTTAAATATCCTTATTTCCCGGTTTATGTAAATCAATAAGGCTTAGGAATTATTCTGCCCACACCCACTACTGTCTATGGGGGCCAGAGCTACTCTCACCTGCTGTCACCATGTGGGAGTGGCCCTGGCCTCACAAACTGAGCATCATATTCCCGTTCATCATAGCCCAATCAATGTGCTTCACTCCTGTCTAAGCAGGGGCCCTGGAGGCATTTGAGTTTGTAAGCCTGCATCCAGGAGTGGGCACATTCCACCAAGCAAGGCAGAGTCGTTTCCTGAAATGTTCACGTATAAGCTAAGGGAAGCAAAGACCTTCCTGAGAACTGAAGTCCAGGAGCTCTCAGAGGCCACATTTCCCATAATGTAGAAAATCCAAATGAGAGAATGAAGCCTCCATGAAAGCATGCGTGTGTGTGAAGGAGGCAGAGAGAGAGAGAGAAAGGGAGAGAGGGATAGAGATGGGGAGAGAGAGAGAGAGAGAGAGGAAGGGAGAGAGGGATAGAGGTGGGGAGAGAAAGAGAGAAAGGGAGAGAGGGATAGAGATGGGGAGAGAGAGAAAGAGAGAAAGGGAGAGAGAGATAGAGATGGGGAGAGAGAGAAAGAGAGAAAGGGAGAGAGGGATAGAGATGGGGAGAGAGAGAAAGAGAGAAAGGGAGAGAGGGATAGAGATGGGGAGAGAGAGAAAGAGAGAAAGGGAGAGAGGGATAGAGATGGGGAGAGAGAGAAAGAGAGAAAGGGAGAGAGGGATAGAGATGGGGAGAGAGAGAGAGAGAGAGAAAGAGAGAAAGGGAGAGAGGGATAGAGATGGGGAGAGAGAGAGAGAGAAAGAGAGAAAGGGACAGAGGGATAGAGATGGGGAGAGAGAGATGGGGGCGAGGGGAGGGAGAGGGAGAGAGAGAGAGAGAGAGAATGAATATGTCCTTGACGCCCTATTCAAATCCCAGTGAACCCCTGGGTCCGGCTGGTTCCTCTCCTCTTTTAGTCAATCTTTCCTTGGCTTGCCTGTCTGTAAAAGTTCCTCTGCTGCCTACACTGGTGTTAACCTGTTACTTGTGTTTAAGAGTCTAATGTTCTTCCCTGGCAACGACATTAAGCTCTTTAATCTTTTAAAAGCTGGTGATAAGATAATTTTATTTATTTACTAAAATGTCTTTTTTTTTGTTTTCATTCCTATTTGTAATTAAAACACAATAATTGTACATATGCATGGGGTACAATATGATATTCTGATAAATGTACAAAATGTGTAATGATTAAATCAGAGTAATTGCATATCAATCACCTCAAATACCATTTTTGTTGAAAACATTCAAAATCTGTTCTTCTAGGTATTTGAAAATATACAATAAATTGTTGTTCATCATAGTCACCCTGCAGTGCTGGAACTTATCCCTCCTACCTCACTAAACAGGGTCTTGTTCTGTCTCCCATGCTGGAGTGCAGTGGTGCAATCTTGGCTCACTTCAACCTCCACCTCTGAAGGTCAACAATCCTCCTACCTCAGTCTCCCAAGTAGCTGGGACTAAAGGCACTCACCACCACGCCCAGCTAATTTTTTGTGTTTATTTTTTGGGGTAGAGCTGGGTTCTCACCACATTGCCTAGGCTGGTCTTGAACTCCTGGGCTCAAGCAATCCTTCCACCTCAGCCTTCCGAAGTACTGGGATTACAGGCATGAGACACCATGCTGGCTGTCTTCTACTCTTTACTTCTATTCTATGAGATACCATAGCCTTAGAAAGGGTTATTATTATTAAAATGATAATTTATCCCAAATTCATCTATATCATTTTCTTATTTTACATAATTCCAATTAACTTAAGCCACTGACTTTTAATGTTACTATATGTTTAACTGCTATAGGTAGAAATTGTCTTATTTATGTGGGCTAGAGTTACACGGGAAGTCTAATCTGTGCATAGAAGAGGCACTCTGCTAACCTTTCACCATTATTTCTTACAGGAAACCTCTTGCCATTATTTCTTACAGGAAAGCTGGCTTAGATTGATGTGGATTGGCTTCACATAGGCTTGAGGGCACTCACAGTGTGGTGGTCACAGCACATGTGCCAAGGACCATGGAGATAGACCCAGTAGGTCCAAACCCTGACTCTGCCAATCATTTGCTTTACATTTTAGAAATGCTCTCAGTGTCCCCAGTTGTAGGACTAACAAATGTGCTTATCTCCTGAGGTTACCATAAGAGTAAGTTTACACACATATGTATATCTGTCACACAAATGATGGTCCTCCCAGAGCACTATACACTCCTAAACACGAATGACTGTTTAGATGCTGTATCAGTCAGAGTTCTCCAGAGAAACAGAACCAATAGGATATAGATATGTAAGAGTAGACTTGTTATGCAAATTGGCTCACGTTATTTTCCTAGGAATGGCTGGTCAGTACATGGTGGTACATGGGCCCATGGTCCTCTCTGGTCAACGTGCTCATTCACCACCCCGACCTGCCAAAAAATGGGTATCCTGAGGTAGAGAAGTTGCAGCACATTCCTTTGACTTGAACTTTATAGGATTCTTCTAAACAGATAATATAATGGAGTTCATGTAACTGAAGATACAAACTGGATGCTGCCCCTCTTCCTCCTGCTTCTGAACAGTTCAGCCCAACACCATCAGGAGAGGCCCAGCAAGGCAGACAGTGGAGACTCAGTGGCTGAGGCAGGGGGTCAGAGGAGTGGCAAGGAGGACAGGCGGCATCAGGGGCTGGAGATTGAGTGGACTGAGATGGGGAAGGCAGGGGAAATGGCCTGGCCTGGGATTAGGAAAAGGGAACTACAAACACAGAAAGGAAGAAACCTAGAATGACTCCTGTGGTGCTGGATTAGAATCTGAGGCATCAGTGTGAACTCATGGTTTTTAAGGCAGATAAATAGATTAGATAATAGATAGATGGCTGGAGGCATAGGTAGATAGACACAGAACAGTAGACAGAGAACAGTAGATAGCTAGGATAGGTTAGTAGAGAGAGACAGACAGAGGGAGAGAGAGAGAGAGAGATGCCTAGATACAGAACAGTAGATGGAGGTAGAGAGGTAATGAGAGAGGAAGAGAGAAAGGCCAATGTGTGCACAATGATTTCCTGCCTCTGTCCACTGAGTGGAACTAGAGCACCCCATTAGTCATGAGCACATGCAGAGCCAGGATCTTGATGTCTAAATACCATTTCCCCACTAAAAGCAACTGAACTGATTCCAAAACTGGGGCAGGGAAGGTACAGATGAGCCTTGAGGATCTTACATCCAGAAAGTAGGGCAGTGCTTAAAGAAGGAGGACATGTCAGAACAACACAGAAGTTGTCATAAAATGGCTCCCACTGGCCAAACCTGTGATATTGTGAGCATCAAAATAAACAGTTATAGTAATGAAATGTAAGCCATAGAGTACAAAAGAAATCCAGGAACCCATCCTGTTATAGATTCATAATGAAATGTTGAAATTCTAATGAGGAACAGGATCATCACGTAGACTCTGAACATCTTTCCACAAAATATGTCTTAATTTCAAAGGGAATAAGAGTAACCTCACAGTAGAGAAGCCCAGCAGACACCACCTTAATCAGGTGATCAAAGAGAACATCATTAATATTGTGACACATTTAAATCCCATGCAACCCGATAAAGTACAAAGACAACAGCAGAGCATCCTGTCTGGAGCATTCCTGCCCAAAATGTAGCATCTGAATCACTAATCAGGAAGAAACATCAGACAAATCTGAATGGAGAGACGTGTCACAAAATAACTAGCCTGGTAAGCTTCCGCAGTGTCAAAGTCATGAAATTCAAGGGAAGACTGAAAAAAAGTAAAAACCCATGACAACTAACTGCAATGTGCAATCCTGAACTAGATCCTTCTGCTGTGAATTATTGGGACAATAGTTGATATGGTTTGGCTCTGTGTCCCCACCCAAATCTCATCTGGAACTGCTGTAATCCCAACACGTCCAGGGAGGGACCTAGTGGGAGGTGACTGGATCATGAGGAGGGGGGTAGTGGCTTTCTCCATGCTTTTCTCATCATAATGAGTGAGTTCTCACAAGATCTGACGGTTTTATAAGGGACACTTTTCCTTTTGCCTCTTCCTTTTCCTGCCACCATGTGAAAAAGGTACTTGCTTCTCCTTTGCCTTCTGCCATGATTGTAAGTTTCCTGAGGCCTCCCAAGCCATGCAGAACTGTGAGTCAATTAAACCTCTTTCCTTTATAAATTACCCCGTCTCAGGGGAATTCTTTATAGCAATGTGAAAACGGAATAATACAACAGTATTGTGTGGTAATAATGCAGCAGTGGTAATTCTCTGATTTTGATGTTATCTTGTGCTTTTGTAAGAGAATGTCTTGTTTGTAAGAAATACACAACAAAACATTCAGGGATGATAAGCATCAACTCAGCCAGTTACTCTGAGATGGTTCATGGGACAAAAGTTCTAGGCACCTATTTTTGAAATATTCTAAATGTTTGAGCTTGTTTAAACATAAAAACAACAAAAAACTCCAGCCATTTTCCACTATGTATGAGTAGTTTTTATTTGTATAGGTGTCAGCCTCAGGAGGAAAGAGAATCCAACTCCAATGTTCAAAGTCCCTTTTATGAAGGAACTATTTATGGAAGAAATGAAATAATGAGGCTGGGTACCTAGAGATAAGAAATAGACATTATCTTCACCTGAAGGGGGAAGTGGAGAAGGGAGTGTTCCTCAAGGTCAGTGGGAGCTGGAATCTTGAACAGAGGCCACCCAACAGGAATTAGATTCATGGGGAGACAAAGGCACAGCCAGAGATGGGCCCAAACAAGGAGCGAGTGGGGAACAAATATTCCAGCTTCTCCTTTCTCTTGCCCTCCAATCTCTTGCCATGTCCCCACTAGTCAGCCCCCCATGGAATCCAGCAGATACAAGAACCAGGAGTTGCCCTTTGCAGGGTCAGCCTCCTAGGGTTCAGAGCAGGACAGAGAACAACGGAGATTGTATCCAAAATGTGCAAATGAAAAATAAAGACAAATAGACATTAGGTCATTTGATCCTTTTAAATAACTCCATGAGACACATTTTACTAGCCCCAGTGACAGACCCAGAAGCTGAGGTTTGATGCTACAATTGGCTTTCCCATGTCTACACAGTGGAGCAGGGATTTGATTCAGGCCAGTATAACCACCAAGCCTTGATCTTGCCTCCCAAACAGGACCTGTCTGGAGAGGAAGGGGTCCTAACTTGTTGAAACAAACCTGTTTTAGATCTCATCTTTCTCTCTTCCAACTGGCACTCGGGCCACCTCTTGTATCTATCTCATTTTGCCTCTGATATTGAAGGCAGCCTGGGTTGACAGCTGAGTGATACATGATGTTTGCTTATCCTTGGTTTCAGGCAAGTATGACACAAACTCAACTAGGAAAACACATCTTCATGCTGTCTCCTGTTCATAGATACTAATCCAAGTAGACTTCTGAGGAGGAAAGAGATACTACTTGCTTGCATGACTCTTCTATGTTCCTGTGACCTGTGTTGATCACAGTCTCAAAGCTGGAGATGTAGGAATATGTATCGTTCTTTTTCTGGTCTCAAATGTGGGTAACAACACCCACATTTTTCTCTGCATCCCACTTCTAGCCCATATGAACTCCTCCCACAGCTCCCTGGCCTGGATAATTAGAGCACATTGTTTTCTATTGACTGGGTTGAATGGTTCAGAAACTGGCATATGAAACAAACAGAGCCAATGAAACACAGTATGACTTTTGCTGGGATTATTGAGAGAGAGATATTTGACCCCTCAAGCATGTAAACTTGGAACTTCCAAGAGCCACAAATTAGAACCTAATAAGGAAGCCAACAGTATAACAGGCCGAGTAAATCACTTTTTAAACAAATTCTAATGTTATAATTGAATACCCAGATCAAGTCACATCTGATGCCTCATTATAATATCTTTCCATCCACTCAAAAGATACCTTATACTCATTAGTAGTCCGTCCCCATTATTCTAGTGATTACGCTATTAAGTTAACTGAATTTAAGCATGTTTTCCTTATATAAGGATATTAGGATGCTTTTCACTATTTATGATAGAATTCTGGTCTGTGTTTGAAGTTTAGTCCTTTAATGTAGTCAGTTTTGAGAATCTCTTGTCTACAAGGAAGGAGCCCCTCCTATATCTCACCTGAAAGTAAGAGGCAGATGGATACAAGGGAGGGTAGGACAACTCAGAAATAAAGTCGGCGACTTGAAAATGTTGCCCCTGGCCAGCATGTGAATTTGTGTATCACACTCCTCTTCTGAGCACTCTCACCTCAAATTGACGGGGGCACTTCCCTGGAGCGACTGACGGAGAGAAGAGATGAAGACAGGCTCCATTCTCAGCTAGAGACCTTTAATAAAATGGTGGCCTTCAGAGATTTCTGGCATATAAAACTTACCTCCCCATTTTCATGTATGTAGCAGGCAGCATGAATCTTGGGCTATCAAGATTCAAGAGACTGGCTCAGAATGAAGGACAGATAATATGAGAAGCCGAAGACAGACTGAAGTCATTTATTCACTTGTCCGTTCATTCATTTATCAAGCATTCGGGGCCTCACCAGAGTACCAGAGGTACTAGAGCCATCAGCAAAATAGATAAATACAACCATGAAACAATAGGCTGAAATTTCTGTTCTCATGGAGCTTTAATTCTAGGGAATGGGAAGACAGTTAAATAAGTCAAAGTTATAGTTTATCAGGAGGTGATAAGTGCAAAGAGAAAGGACAAAATAGGGACAGGGCACAGAAAGGGCAGGAATGGAGAACAACAGACAATGTGCATAGGGAGACTTCCATGAGGAGGTGCCCTTGGCACACAGATCTGAGAAGCTGAAAGTGCGTCATGAGGGTATCTAGAAGTTACCCCACAGTAGGCATGTGCAAAGGCCCTGCGGTGGGAGCCTATCTGGGGTGGTGAGCCCAGCAAGCAGGCCCATGGGACTGGAGCAGAGTGTGGGGTTGAAAATGAGGTCAGAAGGATGCTACGGGGTCAGAGATTACAGAGCGCCTTGTAGATCACCGCACAGACTGTGGTATTACCTCTGAATGTGATGGGAGACACTAGAGAATTTGGGGCAGAGGACATGATCTGACCACTAGTCAAGAAGGGCTTAAACATGCAGCTGGTGTTTGCTGAGGATGGTGGACATTTAGATCTTCCCGTCGGGCTAATGAACAAAGTAAGGAAGCACTGTCTCTAGAGGATTAGCAGTGATTTAATAATAATAAAAAAAATGACAGCACCAATTCTGTCTCTGAAGTATATTCCTTTTATGTGGCCAGTTCTGGGAATCCATTATCTTCAAGGAATGGAGATAATGAGTGTGCTTGGAGAATAGACAGGTGAGATATGTGAGAGAGAAAACAAAATTCCCTTTGCCTGGGACTAGATCTTCCAGGACCCTCTATTACTCAGGGTTCTCCTGGGAAATAGAACCAATAGAGTGAGTATATAAGGAGAGAAACTTATTTTAAGGTATTGGCTCATGCAATTATGGAGTCTGGCAAGTCCAAAATCTGTAGGGTGGGCTGGCAGGCTGGAGACCCAAGGAAGACCTAATGTTGCAGTTCACGTCCAAATGCTGTCGACTGGCAGAATTCCTTCTTGTCTTCTAGGGGTGGTCAGCCTTTTGATCTCTGCAGGCCTTCAACTCATTGGATGAGGCTACCCACATTATGCAGAGTAACCTGTTTTATCAAAATCCACCAATTTGTTAATCTCACCCAAACACACACACACACACACACACACACACACACACACATACACGTATAGAATCAAGTCTGCACAAATATCTGGGAACCGTGGCCCACACAAGTTAAGACAAAAACTTAGTCATCATGGACACCCTGACCACCGGGGTTTAGTAAAAAGCTGATGTTTGTAGGCTTCTTGCCTCTGTGAATGGTAGAGGGGACCCCTTCCCACCCAGAACTAACAGGCAACCACACAGTCAAACCACTGCCAGCTGTCACCTCCATGGCATCGGTGCCGCAGGGAGACAGGCTGGGGTCAAGGGCCAGGACATGGCCAGGGAGACAACTGACCAGGAGAAGGCAGTGAGAGATCCCAGCTAGGAAACGTCATTTAGTTAATAGGATATGAACACGACAGATGAAAACACTGAGTTTGAAGGCAAATGAGAAAAGTCTGCTCTCTCAGTCAATTCATTGCTTACAATTAAACAGTGGAAAATAAAGAAAATGGTAACCCGGGGCTGTGTCGTGACCCAAAAGGTTTACAAAAATTGAAGATAAGAACCTATTGCCATTTAGGAGGCAGGAAAGAGGGAACAAAGCCGGAGCAGAACAAATGCCCCGAAACATAGACTTCCCCTGAGATTTTTGTTCTCCTAAATCAGGATGCCAGAGGGGCAAGCCTTTTAGGGTCACCGTATACAGCTGCGGCATGAGAAACTGGCAGGCTTTAGCAACTCAGCCCAGGGATCCCACAGTCCTGGGGGTGAGCACCTGAGGTTGAAAGTAAGGTCTCCTTATCTGCAAGAGGAGGTCAGTGATAGAAGATGCTACTATTGCAGTGCCCATCTCTTATTGGAGGGATGTTGGATGGCTGGATATCAATGAGAGAAGAATGAATGAAGGTCAAGACAAGCAGAAAAGAGGAAAAGCCACCCAGAGGTAGAGATGTGATGAGAGATAAAGAAGGCCACCTTCCTAATTTGAGATGTCCTGGACTTTGTTGTTTGTGCATAGGCAGGAGAAACGAGCTGACCTCCCATGTGGGCTGCCCCCACAATGTGGAGCACACCCGTGAGAAGTGGCCATCCAGTGGCTTTTGATTCCCTTCATTTTGCTCATTTGGTTGATGAATAGGGTTTTGCCTGCTGGGCAGTCATTCCCCATCTTCTGAAACAGCTCCACCTGTGTTTGGGCATCATCACACCTTCTATCTTAGTGGTGTGGGTGGAAGTGACCTCACCCCCAGGCTCCCAGAATTCCTGTGCCCAAGATCTGCATCATCAGAAAACCCCATTCCCTTAAGTCCGCAGTAAGTGGGCGAAAGGCTGTAGTGAGTGCCAAAAATCTGCCCCTGCAACTTTTTCTACAACCGTGTGAGAAGTCACTTTCTTTTAGTTGAGTATGCTGTGTGGACAGAATATAAGCCTGGAGGTGCTGTTGATAATGATGGCCTCTCCAAAATGAAGACAGCAAAGAGGACAGAGCAGCCAAGAGATTGGGAGAAACAGAAACTGTCCAATGACATCACTTGACCCCTGGATCCAGCTGTGCCTGAAGTCTATCTGGACTTTGCAGTTACTGAACAAATTATTTTTTTCCTTCTTTTGACTTTGGTATGGTTTGCTTAAGCTGGGAGTTTTGGCATTTGTAACTAGAGGAATCGTGAATAAGAAACTGAATAATTTGGTGCATATTCAAAAAACATTTCCATCAAACAGGGAAAACTGCTTCAGTGTGTCAAACCCAACCTCATTGTTTCCAGTGGAGACAAAAATCACATTTTCAGGAATACCTTGTTTAGGGCATAAGTAAGAGCTTTTTCTTTTTTGTTTGTTTGTTTTGTCTTAAAATCATCACTAAGCTGTAACTCAATGATAAGACCAGAAACTAGCCTAGAATTGTGTGTGTGTGTGTGTGTGTGCATGCACGCACATGCATGCACACATGTGTGTGTTGAGGCAGGAGGCAGTTTTCTTCAAGTTCCTTTATTTTGGGAATATAAGAATCCCTTGTTGCCTCAAAGACTTGCTAGTAGAATACCGCGTGCCAAAGTGGCCAGCATTTGATCCACATTTCTACAGCATCTGGGTCCGCAGAGACAGTGAGGAAACACAGCAAAAGTAAACATAATTATGGGGCCAGAGGGACCAATTGAGCAAGAAGGATGAAAAAAGTCAACTGCAGAGTTGGGAGAAAAAATTAACCTAAGAGAGAAATGGGGCCTGCTCTGGATGGTTTTCATGACTCTGAGAACTCAGAAGGAGAAGGGAAGCTTAAGATCGTGTCAAGAATATCCTAACACTAAGCCAGATGGAATTATGCCTAAGCTGTAGTTAAGCATGAAGTGGTCAAGGGATGTCTCAGAATATAAACCTTTGGCTCTCTGTTTAGGTCTACAATAAACAAACACCTCACACTTGACCAGTTTTCCTATTCCCCGATATTGTTGAATGCACAGTTCTGTTTTCTTTGCTTTGTGTTTTAAATTATTCTCAGTTATTTTTAAAAAATATCTATGTAAGGTTTCCATTGTATTGTACTGTGGATTCTTCTTCTCCATGGCTTTAATAATACAAATAATGATGGCCCTGATTTATTGAACTTTACTATATGCCAAGTCTTACCGCATGCAATAGTTTGCATGGCCTCAAAAGCGAATGTCCACTTAGAACCTGTGAATATGTCCTTGCTTAAGAAAAAAATCTCTTTTCAGATGTCATTAAGGATCTTGAAATGAGATCATCCTGGATTACAGTGGGTTATAAATCCAATGACCGGTATCCTTATAAGACAGACAGGTAAGGATCATTTAGAATGGGAGGCCATGTGAAGACGGAGGCAAAGATTGCTGTGATGCTGCCACAAGCCAAGAGCACCAGGAGCCAAGAGAAGCTGGAAAAGGCAAGGAAGGATCCTCCCCTGGGGGCTCAGCACAGTGCATGGCCCTGACAACATATGATTTTGGACTTTTGGCCCCAGAATTGTGAGAGGACCAATTTTTGTTACATTAAGCTTCCATGTTTGTTACAACTGCCCTTGGAAATTCATAAAGCGTGCTAAGTATCTCTAGTCCACTTTTGCATTAAATATTGTCAACCATCCTATAAAATAGATATTATCCCTTCTTAGCACAGTGGTCCCCAACCTTTTTGGCAAAAGGGACCAGTTTTGTGGAAGACAATTTTACATCGGACCAGGGGGTGGGGGGATTGTTTCAGCATCATTCAAGCACATTACATTTATTGTGCATTTTATCTCTATTATTATTACACTGTACTATATAATAAAATATTATATAACTCACCATAATGTAGATTCAGTGGGAGCCCTAAGCTTGTCTTCCTGCAACTAGACCATCCCATCTTGGGGGCTAGTGGTGGACAGTGACAGATCATCAGGCATTAGATTCTCATAAGGAGCATGCAACCTAGGCCCCTCGCATGCACAGTTCATGATAGGATTCTAGCTTCTATGAGAATCTAATGCTACCGCTGATCTTACAGGAGGCAGAGCTCAGGCAGTAATGTGAGGGATGGGGAGCAGCTATAAATTCAGAGGAAGCATTGCTCGCTTATCCATCACTCACCTCCTGCTCTGCAGCCTAGTTCCTAATAGGCCACGGACCAGTACCAAACCATGACCAGAGGGTTGGGGAACCCTGACTTATAAAACAAAACTGAGGCTCAGAAAAGCTGTCCTTTATTTTTTCACTACATACACTAGGTCTTAGGGCCAGTGGAATGAACATTGGTTGATTTTTCATCCAGCATCCATCACACCTTCTTTTAGTAACAGCTCTTCAGTTTTTCTCTGGGAGGAAAATCCTTTCCCCTTGGATACAAAATGATGGAACTATTAATGAGGCTGTCTTATACCTTTCTAGATAGAGATGGGCCTACACAATCTGTGTGCATCCCTGAGAGTTAGAATCACCTGAAGAGCTTTTAAACAGTAAAACTGATCAGCCCTGCCTCCACACCCACCCCTACTCCATCCCTACCAAAGAGCCTGATTCCATTGGTTTGGGATAAGGCCTGGGGATTGGTATTTTCAAAATTCCCCAGGTGAAAAGTTTAGCCAAGGTATAGGCTTCTTTCACCCTGGAATCTAAAACATGAGCACTGAGACAAAAATAAGTAAAATGGTTCCTGTTTTCCAACTGCGGTACCCTAAAGAAGCCAGACAATTATAGCTACAGGAACCCAGCACCTGGCAGCTTCCTGCTCATAGGAAACCTCGTCCTTTAGCTTTCTCTGGAGTCAAGAGCTTCCAATCTCTTATAACTTAGTAATAAGCAATTAAGGTATTAAGATGTTTCTGTTGCTAACAACCAAAGACTTCTGACCAATTCATCCAGGAACTGGTGGAACAGAAGCTCAAACTTAAGCTGTTGTTTCTATGATACTGAACCTTCCTAATTAGTCCATAAGTGATAACTCACCATGTTGCTGGCAAGATGAAGGGTATTGAGAGAAGAAAGAAAAAAATGTTATACATAGAAAAGACATGGTCTTCTATATTAAGTCTTTGGGTTACTTTAGGATTCCAGCCATATGCAAGTGTAAACTCAACATTCCTAACACATTATTAAGAACATCCTTAATCAGGAAGAAAAAATGCGTACACATTGTGGAAGACAAGAAATCAGTCTCTCTGGGAGAATAACTGGAATCCATTGTCTTGGAAATTTTGCTGATTTAGACTCCAGATGGGTTGTATTTCACATTTGCTTTCTCCTTGAATGCAGCAACTTCTAAGTTCCTAAAGGCATATAAAACAAGGGAGCTCAGTGCACAGGTAGGAGAATAACATCTTGAAGAGAAACTGGTTTTAAGAACATCAGAAGTACCCATTTAGAAACAAAAGCAACACCATTAATACAATTTTTATTCTTCTTTAATAGACATAAAGATAATTTTTAAATGACAATTCTCCCAGTCACACCTAGGGTACGTGAGTGCATGTACTTGAAAACATAGTAGAGGAAAACAGTGTAAGGAATATACTGTTGTAAATTTCTTATATAGCATACAAAGCACCGTAACATAATTTGAATGCAAGTAATGATTAATTAAAATTGTATTTTGTAAGCCATAGAGCAATGACTAAAATTTAAAAAGAAGTATAAATAATAAGCCAATAGTGGAGATAAAATGGAACCATAGAAAATACTCAATATAAAAGCTGGTAGGGAAAGAAGAATAAAGAGCAGATGGAACATAAATAAAACAATGAGCAAAATAGTAGATCTTAATACAAATAGATGAATAATTACATTAAATATAAGTGGTCTAAACATTACACTTAAAAGACAGAGATTATCAGATTGGATAAACAAGTGAAACCCAACTATATGCTGCCTATAAACAACCAACATTACATATAGAGACATAAGTTAAAAGTAAAAAGATGAAAAAGATATTACCATAAAAATACCAATCAAAAGAAAGCTGAGGTGGCTATATTAATATCAGATAAAATAGATTTTAGAACAAGAAATATTTCTAAGAATAAAGAAAGGCATTACATAAAGGTGGATTGATTGAACAACAACAAAAAAATCCTAAGTATGTACCTAAGACAGTGTTCAAAATACATGAAACGAAAGCTGTCAGAGCTAAAATAAAAAACAGACAAAACCATAACATAGTTGGAGACCTCAATACTCTTCTCTCAATAAGTGACAGAACAAACAGATCAGTAGGAATATAGAAGACCTGAACAACACTATACACATTTAGGGAATCATTGTGGCCTTGGGTAAGGCACAGCTTCCTTAGATGTGACACCAAAAAACCAATAACTAAAAGAAAATATTAATAAACTAAACATCATTAAAATGTAACACCTCTGCTCTTCCAAAGACACATACTCAGAGAAACTATCTTAAAACACTTATCTGACAAAGGACTTGCATTCAGAATATATAAAGCACTCTCAAAAATCGTAACAGGAAAATAATCAATAAAAAATGGGTACAATATTTGAAAAAGATATTTCACCAAAGACAATATAAGGACAGCAATTAAGCACAAGAAATATTATTCAACATTATTAGTCATGAGGGCAAAAATTAAAACCTCAAAGAAATGCCTATTATACACCTATCAGAATGACTAAACAAAATCAAAACAAAATGGATAATATCAAATGCTGCTGAAGATACAAACCAACTATTAGACATGGCTGATGGGGATGCAAACTGCTAAAACTATGTTTAAAAAGAGTTTGCAGTATTTTATGAAGTTATATATACAGTCTGCATACAACCTAGCAATCCCAATCCTAGCTAGTTACTCAGGAGAAATGAAAATATATGTTTGCATGAAGATTGTTGGTGAATATTTATAGCAACATTTTTCATAATTACCCAAAACTTGCATAATTTTAAGGTCTTTTCAGTATGAAATAAACTGTGGTGCGTTCATTCAATGGAATGCCATTCAGCATTGAAAAGGAACAAACTATTGATACATAGGTGACTATCAAATGCATCCTGCTAAGTAGAAGAAAGCAGATCCAAAAGCTGCATACTGCATGATCCTGTTTTTATGACATTTTGAAAAAGGTAAAACTCTAGAGACAAATAACTAATCAGTGGTTGCCAGGACTGGAGGTAGAGGAAGGAGGGGGCTACAAAGGCAAATAGAAATTTTGGAGAGTAATGGGCACGTTCTATACCGCAATCCTAGTGATGTTTACGTGACTGTGTGCATTTGTCGAAACTTAGAACTATACACTCAAAGAGGTGAATTTTATTGTGTGCAAATTACACTTTAATAAGCCTGGCTTTTAAACAAAGTAGATGGCTGTAAAAATGTTCTATCGATCAGATGTTCCATTTATTCCATTAATTCAGTAATACTTTCCTTCACTTCAATTAATATACCAAAGACACATTTTTATTAACCTTGCTTTTTATGACTATGGATGTATGAAATATCTAATACATCCAAAGGCTTTGTTTTAACCTCTGCTCATGGAGGTGTTAACTACTAATATAATTGAGAGTGCTGAGCTCTTCTCTGCATGACTGTAGCCACCCTGGTGATTAAGCTAACTGTGAACAGTGAGATGAACGAAGAAGAGGTTGAAGCAAAACTCAACTGCTTAAGGGAAGGGTCAGGCGAGTGAGCAGAGGAAGAGAGGACCTGAATAAACACATTCTCCAGAGGAGGACACCCCTGCTCAGCTTTGGCACAAGGTAGCCATAAAAGAAATTACACCCAAGATTGGCAGACTCTCGACACTTTTGAGAGAAGTTGGAAATCCTAATTTGCTTTTCATAATGAAGGAGAAAACTTATTTGATCATCTCAGTAGATGCAAAAGAGCATTTGATAAAATTCTATATGCAACTTCTAGCAAACTAGAAATAAAATCTTTTTTATAATGGACAGATAAAATGTATATACAGTTACAGAGTACAATATGATGATTTGATATATGTACACATTGTGGAAATCCTAATTTTTTTATGTGAATGATCCCATTTCTCTTCATTTCATTTTATTATTATTATTATTATTATTATTATTATTATTATTATATTATTATTATTTTGAGACCAAGTCTTACTCTGTCACCCAGGCTGGAGTGCAGTGGCATGATCTTGGCTCACTGCAACCTCCAACTCCCAGATTCAAGCAATTCTCATGCCTCAGTCTCCCGAGTAGCTGGGATTAGAGGCCCCCGCCACCACGCCCAGCTAATTTTTGTATTTTTAGTAGAGATGGGGTTTCACCATGTTGGCCAGGCTGGTCTTGAACTTCTGCCCTCAAGTGATCCACTGTCTTTGCCTCCCAAAGTGCTGGAATTACAGGTGTGAGCCACCGTGCCTGACCAACTCTCACAATTTTTAAATGTTGGGAGCCTTTGAAAAAAAAAATTGTATGGATAAAACAGTACTTGTCTGTGGGTCCTGAAGTTCGCAAGCACTAGTAAAGAAATTTGGGTATAGAAGAAGAACTATAATAGGACACATTGAGATCTGATGGTTTAATAGAATGATTTCCAAGAAGTTGCAATAACTACTAAGAGGCTAAAACACAGTAAGGAATTTCGACTTGAGGGATAAGAAGGGACAAGGATGAAAAGAAAACCTATGTGTCTGTGCTAAGTGTACACATGTAAGTGTATGCAGGACAAGACAAGAGCATCATTCGTTGGTGGCAGCACGAATGCGGGTGAGTTGAGAGGGGCTTCTCCACCCTGATGACATCCTAGGAGGATCCTATTTCTCATCCCTGCTATAGAACGTAAATCCCTTACCAGAAACCCAAAACCCCTAAAGCACTGACAATCCCAAGGTTTGGCTGGTTGGTTGTATTTAATTCATTCCGTGGCCAACACTGATCTGAAGTCAAGCTATTTGGGGTCTTATTATCCTTCTTTAGGTAAAGATTCATACATTGCACACAAAGTCAGCACGATGTGCAATTACAGGCTGCAACTCCAGACGCAGACTAAGGGTGCCATACCACACATGCATATGACTTCATGCCTCTATTTTTCTATCTTTCCTTCTATCTTGTCATTCAAAGATATCAGTAATTCTAAATCTTGAAATACATTTGCCCCCACAGATTTCAGAAAAGAGAATGTGGTCCCACATAACCTTCCCAGAAGGTCTCATATGTGACTAACAACCATCACTAAACTTCCGAGGGCATCTCAGCCTGGCACCGCCCTTCCACTTGCTTTATACAGGCGCAATACATCAACCTCTAATTCAAGGATGTTTTGCCTCTCCTGCCTCGGCCCAAGTCTTAAATCTTAGGAAAAGATTTCTTTCTTTCAATGCCCTGTCCTATTTATGGAACCTCCCAAGAACAATTCTGCCTTTTCCGAACCCTGACAAATTGCAAAGCCTCTAAATCCACAGTCAAAAATAAACAGACAATTGGTATTAAAAATTAATCAGTGGTTTCAAGGATTCCAGAAATCAGCACTTAAATCCGTGTGCAGGAAGAGACAGAGATGGCTTTTTTTTTTTAAAGACAGCAGAAATGTAAACAAGGTCAGCAAACTTTCCTCTCTAGAAGATATCTTACGGTGCAAACGCTTTACGTGTGGAGGAATCCGAGGGGGGAATGAACTGCTGCTTTTGATCATGAGAAACAAACGGAAAATGTATTTTGCAGATGATAAGTTGCAGGCCCTTATGCACCCCCAAATCACGTGGTGAACTTTGTAAAGCAAAAAGCAGGGAAAGAAAGCCCCATCAAATCAAGGTTGCACTTAGCTAGAGGGCAGAGGCGGTTTGGGATAGGGGTGGGGCTTCGCTACGTCCCTAGTTTTCAGCACTTTCCCTTGTTGTGCAAATATCAGCTTCAAATCCAGTCCCAGTTGCCTTTCCAGCCAAATCACTGCCCCCAGCACTGAACACATGGACATCTGTAACAGCCACTCTCGTAATCAAAAGTAAAATCCTCTGGATACACACACACACACACACACACACACACACGGAATGTGAGCCTTAATGAAGAACAGTCCACACTTGCTTTAAAGGGAACATCCAGTTCGCCTGGTTAAATTCTCTCAAGGGCAAGGGGTGAAAACCCGGAGGAGGTCGGTCACGCCCTGCTCAATTAGCACCGCCTTCCTCTGCAAAGTGCTTTACTACCCATTCAGTCATTTTATCAACAAAAAACTGCTGGGAGGTAGGTTGGGAAGGGAATTCTTCAATGGCCACTTTGCATCTAGGAAAACTGAATCCTAGAAACGCTGGAACCTAGAGCTAATTAACAGCAGAATTCAGGCACCAGATCGTGACTGTTGACTCTTTCAAATAAAATAGAAAAGTGCCCCCCTCTCCTACTCCTCCACCCCCGACTTGCCCCCCCTTTCCCTCGTCTCTCACCCCCTTTCCCCCCTCTCTCGCCCCACCCTCTCTTTCCCTCTTCTCTCACTCCTTCTTCCCCCCCCTCTCTCACCCCACCCTCCTCCCTACCTGGAGCTCTTGGAAGAAAGGAACACTTATATAAAACATAGCAAACTTGTCTGGTTGGTGTATCTGGGAAAGCGCAGCCTCAAGGAAAGTAGATTTTTCTGGATTTTCAGGCGGTGCAGAATGACTTTTGAAAAGCAAACGCTACTTTTAAACCTCCATTGACAACTTGTCTCTCTGAACGCATTTCTAGCTCAGCCTCAGAGCATTAGGCGGGAGAAGGGTGGCTTTGAGTGTTCTCTGCTCAGAGCCTGGGGCCGATACTGGACCCGCGGCGCCGCGCGAAGGCTCAGGGCACCCATGTGCGCACCTCCGTTTAACCAAATGAACCCGAGACCTTCGCCAGGGCGCGGGGAGCAGGAAAGCGACGCTCTCCTTTTTCTACGCCCTGGGCGCGCCCCGGGACTCGGGCAGCTGCTGCCCTGGCAGAGCCTAGGCCTTGCTCCCCGCCTGCCCCGCGGCTCCTGGGGCTGGAGACCGCCTCTCCCCGCCCTTCCCGCCGCCGCATCCGCGCGGCCACTCGGCCGCACACGCACATAATAAAAAAGGTCGGAAAAACCACACGGCTACCTTTCGTGAGCCCTGCGGGCGCCATACGTTAACTCCTTTAAATTCCTCCAACCCAAAGCAGGGCCGTCACTCCCATTGTAGAGAAGAGGACACTGAGGTGAAGGAGCCCCGGACAGGACCGCTGGTGAGGTAGTTCCCGTCGCGAGGGACGCACCCACCTCCCCATCCGCGCTCCCCCACCGCAAAGGACTCATTTGAGAGAACCCGCAGAGAGCCCCTGGTTTCTGCCAAGCTGGGGTCCCTGGTGAGCTGCGCGATGAGTGAGCGTTCCTCTAGGGCCCGCACAGAGACCCTAGCGGTTGCGGAAAGGGGATGCAAAGAACCGGGCCTTCCCTCCTGGAGCACCAGCCCCACAGTGCCGAAGCTGTGGATGGGGAGCTGTGGACAGGGAGCACACAGCCGGGAGGAAGGAGCGCACAGAGCGGAGCACCTCTCCTGGATGCCAGTTCCACAGGGTGACTGTGCTGGGGCTGGGGCAGGTCCGCACGGAACTCAGGGATGGGGAACAAACACCGTGTCCCTCAGCCACGCCCCCTCCTCATCCGCGGGGCAGCTCTGGGTCTGGGGGGTCCGGGGTGGGAGATTCGGGACTCGGGACCAGCCTAACTTGCCCGGATCCCGGCGCCCAGCTGGGAGCGCCCTTCTGGATTAGGGGCGGCTCGGCACCCGCAGAGGCGCTGTTGATGGGATCCGAGCCCCCGCCGAGGCCCCCGCCGCACCCCTCGCTTCGGCTGCCCTCACCCCGAGCTCCCCCGGAACCGGGAAGTTCGCATGCGTCGGCGCGCCAGGCACCCGCCCCGGCCTTACCTTTGCCCAGCAGCGCGCCCAGCAGCAGGCTCAGCGCCCCGCACAGCGGCGCCGCCGGCCCGGGGGCCGCACCCTCGGAGCGCATCCTGCGTCCCGGCCGCTCACGCAGCCCGCCGCCAGCCCGAAGCGCAGCGCCCGCCCGCGGCCCCCGCCGGCCGCCCCATGCCCGGGGCCACTCCCGCAGCCCGGTCGGCCGGGCCCGCTGCGTCTCTGCTGTCCGAGGCCCGCCCCTGCCGGGTCCACGCCGCCGCAGCTCCGGCTCTGGCTCTGGCGGCTCCGGCTCCGCCGCTGCTCGCGCTCCGGCCGGGACAACTTTTCTCCCGCAGCCTCCGCAGCCTCCGCAGCCGCCGGCCCGCCCCGCCCCCGGCCCCGCCCCCGCCCCCGCCCGGGCCCCGCCCCCGCCGAGCCCCGCGACCGCGGACAGATTGAGGGTGCGGTAGGAGAGAGTTCGCCTGCCCGCCGGGAGGGGCGGCAGATGGAGAACCCCCCCGCCCGGGCTAGGGAGGGTGTGCCCGGGAAAGAAGACCGGGAGAGGAGGGGGCGTCTCCCCAGGCGGCTGGGACGGCTCCTCCGGGGGTCCGCGCCTTTCCAGAGAAACTCAGCGTTCGCAGACTCCTGCCCGGGTGCCCAACGGACAGCGGCCCGTGGCCCGGAGGGTCCTGCCCAGGGACCCGACGCTCAAGGCGGAGCTGGACTCCTTCTCCCCACCCTCCCGTGGTCACTGCGGGACCTGGTGGTCGTCACGCCCCATTCCTCAACTTCAGGTGGCCGCTGCTTTAGCCTGGAGGGCTGGGGACATCTGGAATGCAAAGTCCCGCGCAGCTGCTGCGGGGAGAGCTCCTAACTGGATCACTGAGCGCGGAAAAGCAGCGCGCAGCGGAGCGTGAAGGCGGGGTGCGGGCTCAAGACAGATGCGGGTGTGCACCTGTGCGTGTGCGGAGGGGGCGAGGCACGAGATCACAGCGGTGTCTCTGGGAAGGGGACGAGAACGCAGAGGGGAAGAAAGGATCATTTTTCACTGCATGTCTGTGGGGCTTCCACTCCCCAATCATCTCCCCGCCGCCCATAGCATGTGTTTTATTATCTTTTCAGTGGGTGGAGAATAGCCCCTCTCTAGACTTGCTCCTGCAATAGGCAATTTCTCTGCAGACTCAGACAAGGAAGATCCGCCCTCCCCCCCCCCCCCCCGACTTCGTTCTCTCTATCTTTTCCCTCTGATTTCTCCAGGGCTGGCCTCCCTCATGGTGGTGATCCCAGGTGATCTCAGCGGCTTCCCTGTGCGGTTCCTGATGCTCATGCTCTGCTCTTTCTGCCACGCGTGGTCTGAGCAGTTTGAGGGCGGGACCCCGACTCCCCCCTTGTGACTGGGAATGAAGGGCCATGGGTTCGGAGGTCTCTGGACGTCCCCTCCTGTCCTGAGCTCCTCACCACGGGCTCAGCATCCCCTCTCACCGTGGGCTGGCTCGGTCCAACATCAAAAGGAAGCCTGAGGGGTCTTTTCTCACCATCAGTGCAGGAAAGAATTTCAAAAGAAAAAAAGAAGTCCTTGATTGAAAGAAAAGAAATGTAAACGAATGATCCCCAGCAACTGCAACCCCAAGTCTTATCTCCCAACTCAGCCCCTAAGGAATGAGCCAGGCATAAGGAGAAATTGGGGCGGGGTGGGGCGAAGGCTTTGCAGGGCACTGGCCAGAGTGGGAGGCTCTCTCCTGGGGTGGGGCCCGGAAGTCTGGGCCAGGCTGGGGGGAGATGTCTCCCTGGTTTTCTTGGCCGGCTCTACTCACATGATGTGAGGAGAAGGCAGCTTGAAAACTATCCAGGCCCCAAAGGGAACGGTAAAAGCTTGATTCTCATAGGCCTGGATAGCAGAGACTTGATTTTTAAAGTGGATTATGCTGATAATCGCCCAATTCTTCAGTACATTCAGCTAGTGTAGACCTGACCTTGGGGGCAGGGGGCAGTTGTAAAGTAGATTTGGGCTCCTAAAACGGAAGGTACGTTTTATTCTCAGTGCTTTGAGCCTGAACATCACCGGGGAATAATTTTTTTTTCATTTAAATGTTCCCAGCATGAGGGAGAAATACACATGTCCCATTGTTTGTAACTGAGGATGGGAATCTGCCTTATCCTCTCTCCTCCCTATTGGATAACAGGGACAAAAAATAAAAACCCAAAGAAGTGCCCTCCACTCCCCTGTTCTATGCAGCCTCATAATGTACCTTCTTTCCACATCATTTCTTTCCTTTTGGCACAGAACATTGCTGTCCCTACTGCAAAGACAAGTCAGGTCCTGGACTACATCTCTGTGATGCAAATAATCAAAACCAGGGGCTACCAAACAAGCCACAGCAAAATAAATACTAATTCAACATGGGGTTGGAGTGGGGAAAGGATTCTCAATCAGATAAGCTCACTGCACAGCACCCCAAAGGCAGCCACTGTCTTCAGGTGATCCTGAATCACAGATGCCCCTTGAGACTATGATGCCTCCGGGCATCCCCTGTGAGAGCCTTCAGGAGACCCAGCAAATGAAAGCTTCTCTGCAAACCTTCCTTTAGGACTCCATTTAATCTATTGCGTGTCCCTCTCAAGAGCAGTCAAACAAACATGCACACAAAACTGAACAAACAAATAAAACAGATGATATAGTCAATTTCTCTTTCATAGGTAAATCCACAAAAATTGAGGTTCATGGGCTAATAAAGTTTTCTGTATTTATTTTTTTTAAGTCATGTATCATTTAACCCCCAAATCATTAATTCCTTAACTTAGATTACTTCCAGATGGTTTTCTGAATTTCATAAGGAACATCAGAGGCTTCTAATCTCCTCAAAGGCTGTTGCAGAATTCCTTAAGGACTGTGGGCACATGGAAGCACTTAACATAATTTATGGGAGAGGAGAATGATTGGAAAGAGGAAACCTGCTGCTTCCACAGGGTTTCAGGGTTCCTAAGTCAATGAGGCAACTTCAGATTGTTTTGTTCATGCTTAAATGTTAAATTGTGAATATCGCATAAAATGAGGGGTGGAACTTGTGATTTTAGTTCAAAGGCTTCTTGCATTGTCTACCTGTAGACGGGACATATGGGTATATATTGCCGAGGACATGGAAAAGAAAGGCTATATGTTGGCCTCATGAAACAGCTATGGTCATCCCGCAAACTGAGTATCAAGTCCTGACTATGGTGCTTACTATTAGCGATTAAAAAATGAGGAAGAAGGAAAAAAGGGAGAAAAATGATAGAAAGGTCTATGCTTAGTTCTGTGTCCTGTCATTGTTCTTAAAACATATAGGCACTATCTGATTTAATCCTCTTCACACTCGTGGGGTGTATTATTATTATCCTTGGACATTTTATTCATTCATTCATTCATTTAACAAATAGGTGTCACTTGCTTACTATTTGTCAGGCCCAAATTTTGGGGTTTTGCCAGTGAACAAAATAGACGAGAGTCCTAAATTCATGGACCTTACATTCTAGTGGAGGATGCAGACTCTAAAGTAATATACAAGTAATTGTATCTGTTAATGCAGTGATATGTGTTGTGAACAAAAATAAAGCAAAATAAGGGAAAAGTCTGATTTGGGGGTGCAACTTTAGGAAGGTGGGTGAAGTGAGAGCAATTTTTGGGAAAAGAGCTTCTCAGGCTGATAAAAATGAAAGTGCAAAGACACTAAGCTGGAGTCCTGAAAGGTCTTATTTTTCTTTCAGAAGGATCACTCTGGCCAATTGTAGACCACAGCCTATAGGAGTAGCCAAGGAAGCCTGAAGTCTAATTAAGAGCTGGTTCAAGGCACCCAGGAGTCTTGGATGCTTGCACTGGAGTAAGAGGAGCAAAGCTGTGAAGTCGAGACAAGGACCAGTTAATGATGCCTAGTGGAAGTGAAGCCAGCAGGATGTGCTGATGGATGGGTGTGGACTGTGGGAGGGAAAGAAGAGGCCACTGTTTTGGCCCAAACAACTGGGTACCTGAGGGTTCTCTTTATGGAGGTGAGGAAGAGAGGGGGTGAGTGACCTTGGTTGGTACATTGGTACAGATGAGGAAACTGAGGCTCATAGAGGAGATTAAGCCACTTGCTGGTATGTGACAGCCCATACATTGAAAATCAGCTCTCTGCACCCCCTGGAAGGAGCCGGGCCAGTTTATGACCACCAACCCTAAGGCAAATTGAGTATTGCATTGGTACGAACCGTAAGCCATATGTCATCCCCTCTTTCATTAACTCCAGGTCTAAGTCTGGCTAAGGTAGAGAGGAGTCAGAGGTGTGGAATGTAGAAATAATACATTCTTCCTCTCTCCGTGTGGATAAAGATTCCAGCCTTTATTCCATCTAATGAAAATATATTTAGGGAACATTTATTGGGGGCCATTCGCTGTCTGCCCTTGTTCCTTTATTTGTTTGCTTGCTCATTCCTCGTTCCATGTCAACTCCATGAGGGGACAATGTCTGACGTGCTCACCCCTGTATTCCTATCCCCTAAAACAAGTGTGTATGTGAAGATAAGTCCTTGTCCAATGAATGAATACTGTAAATCCATAGACTATTAGCCCTACTTTACTAATGAGGAATCTCAGAATCACTCATTTTACCTTTAGTTCATTTAGCTGTTAATAGTGATGATGATGATAATAACAATTAACATTTATTAGGTACTTCCTAATTGCCAAATATCTCATTAACAACCCTATGAACATGTACTCTTGTTATCTCCAGTTCACACATAAGAAAACTGATGTCAAAGAAGTGAAGTGGCTAGTTCAATGCCACTCATCTAGGAAGTGGTTGAGCTGGGATTCAATCTAGACCATCTGACTTCAAAGTCCACATTCGCAACCATTCACTAGACTGATAGGTGTGTGCTCAGGTGTGCCTGTTTCCTACACCAGATGTCTAGGAAACTTGTGTTAGGTCTCACTTGCTAGGTCTCTCTTTGTGTCAGGTTTCACTTGTTGGGCCCTTTTATTTTAAACAAGCACTGAAGAATTGTCCCTTTGTAACTTCCACTTACCATCCCAGACAACCTCTTGAGACCCTTGTGCTTCTCTGGCACTGCTACTTGAACTCAGCCTGTATGGAGCTTAATCGACCCTGAAGAGGACATGGGCCCAGCATCCCTAGATAAGATGCAAGATGCAGGTGACTTTTGGCCTGTGAAAACAACTTTTAAGAGTGATGCTCAAATGCCCATACCTGCTTATCATCCCATTCTCCACGTGGTACCTGTTGGATGCCCAGACTCCTCTCACATTTGTGGTTAAGACCCACAGAGTAGAATCTCTACCCTTCACCCTTCCGCTAGGGTTCAAGGCCAGCAAATGATCAATTTACTATAGGAATTAGGTTAACGAAGCTTCGGATTAGGTTACAAATGGAAGTAATCACACTGGTATTTCCTTAACTGTATTTGCATCATCATCATCATCACCATTATCACCATCATCATCATCACCATCATCATCACCATCACTATCATCATCACTATCACCATTATCACCATCATCATCACCATTATCATCATGATCATCATCATCATTATCACCATCATCATCACCACCACCACCACCATCATCATATCATCATCACCATCACCATCATAATTACCATCACCATCACCATCATCACCATTACTATTATCATCACCATCACCATCACGATCACCATCATCATCATCTCTAACACTTGCAGATTCCTTACTCTGTCCCAGGCACTGTCTTAAGTACTTTGACAGGTGTGGACTCATTTAATCCTCACAACAGTCCTATGACATTACTTTTGTTATTAACCCCACTTACACATGAGAAAATTGAGATACAGAGTTTAGGAGACTTACCCAATGTCACGGAACAACTAATTGGCAGAGCTGGTATTCAAACTCAACTCTCCCACCATAGACTCCTTGCTCTAAATAGACAATTCTCAGACTTTCCTGTGTATACACGTGACCAAGGGAACTTGTTAAAATGCAACTTCTGATTTAGGTGCTAGGGGTGGGGCCTTCTCCTCTGCATTTCTCCCAAGCCTCCAGGTGATCTTGATGTTGTGAGTCAGTGGGCCACTTTTGAGTAACAACTCCTAAATAATTACCCTATTCTGCTCCCTATCTACTTATGCAAAATCATATTATCCAAACTATATTTATTTGAAAATTTCACTGACATTAAACTCTTTCCTGCTTCTCAGCATAAAGCAATCACAAGCATATTCAGTGCATTCTGTCATTCCAGAAGAACCTTGAGACTGGAGAATTCGTCCTGCAGTCAGTTAATAATGGCTATTTAATGCACACTCCTCACCGAACCCAGTATTTGGAGTGGGCAGGTGCAATGACTGGCTTTGGTCTAGTTAGTAGCTGCTCCATCAACTGAGTCCCTAAGTGACGTTAATGGGCACAGACCCCTGCCAACCTGCAGTGGACACAAAAAAAAGGGAATGAGAAGTGAATGTTTGCTGTTGTATGCCTCTGAAAGTTTGGATTATTTGTTACAGCACCTTCACATAATAATCCATCCTCATTGGAACACCCAGGCATTCAAATTCATTGCATGCCCACTCACTCAGCTGCATTCCTGTTCCTTGTGGATGATCAGGTCTTGCAGGAATAAGACCCACTCTGTGTCTATGCATTCTTCAGTTCAATAGTAACTGTTGAGTGAATTACTTATAGGCAGGGTGCCTGCCCTCTGACAGCCCATTAGGCAGGATAATATGCATGCACAAATATCTCAAATCAACATCAGAAAATAGGCACACATTAAATGTTTTAAAGGCCTAGAGAAGATAAAAAATGATTTCACGGCCCACCTGCCCCCACTTATACTAATTATCCTGTTCCCTCTGCTGGCTCTGCCCAGTTCTCTCCCTCCACAGTCCTTGTACTTGCCACTCTCTCTTCCTGAAATACTTTTCCTATCATGTCCCTCTCCTTGCAAATATTATCCCCTCAGCAAAGTCTTTTGTCCCAGGGCCACATCACCAGAAATAAGTACAGAGCCTAGACCATATCCAGCACTCAATAAATATGGCTGAAGAAATTTCATGATGTTTGATCACAGGCATCAGGAACAGTGGGAGATTAATAGTGGAGATGCAAGGAAAGAAAGACAGGTCTTTCTGGCAGAAAGAATGAGACAGTATGCAGGACAGCCCATAAACAAGAATGGAAGTTGTTATAGCCAGTCAGTTCCCATAACCACCAGCCAGAAGATGCAGATTAAACCAGCTCCAACATGTTGGGATTGAATTGGGCTGGGTTCTGCTGTCATATCGATTTCACCCTCTCCACCCCTAAGTCTTTGGATTTATTTTCTCAATTTTGTAGTCCTTATTCACAAGGACCTAAATGTGGAATTGTTAATAGAAAATAATTCAAACTCATCCACGCTACGAAATGCACACAGAATTCAATTCCAATATTAAACTACCTTTAAAAAGCCCCTTCTGGCCGACCATGATCCAAATCCTAAACTATGGGATTACTTGTGATTCACAGCAGATCCAGCCAGGTTCTGGGAAGGAGGACAATGGTGACTTTTATGTGTGATTAGCTGCTTTCAACCACCTTTCTCAGGGCAGACAATCCAGGTAACCAAAGGCACTTCATAGAAAGACCCACTGCATTGCTTTTAACTCTCTTTAAGACTCTCTGATGGCTTGTTAAAAAAGATTGAGCTTCAAATGGAAATCTGCCAAAATTGTGTTGTTTTGACACTTGGAACAATGGAATGCCAATTCCATTAATTTATGTGCGAAATATCTCAGCTCCAGACCCACACGCAGCCTGGGAATGGTTATAGAGTAAACAGCGCTCCCTGGTGGTCCTGACTAGCATTTGTTGCTAGCAGAGAAAAAAGAAAAGCTCAGATTTGGGGGTCTAAGTGGCAAACAAATCAAAAGAGTGTCGCTACATTCAGCAGCATTTCACACTAATGAATGTCTTTGTTCTCAAGAGGCAATAATGGTCACTACTGGCTTCTTTACCTCTGACTTGTAAGTAAAAGTTGTGATACCTCCTGGGGCAGCCCATCTTTGATATGTTCAGCAAATAGTGATGCCTACTTAAAGCTGTGCCCTCGATACAGCTCAGGAGACAGCCGTTTGATCTTTATGGAGCATCCAAGAGATTACAGCTCAGCCCAGCTGGGAGCAGGACCAAGGTTGGTGGAAGGAAGGCGTGAAATTGTTGCCTCCTGCTCACTACAAAAAGCATTAAGCATAAATTGTTTAGGTTGCCATTCTACTTATGGATGGAACTCAAATGGAACTCAATCAAGGTTCAGTGAGGGAAACAGAACCACTAGGAATAGGAATCTATTTTTAGGAATGAGATCTTATATAATTGTGGGAGAAGCTAGAGCTATAAGAGCCAGAAGAGGGAGTCGGAGGATAAGCAGAAATTACTGACCAGCTTCCCTGAGGCTCTGGCATGGGATTCAGGACAAGCTGAGCTTTCAGTCTATTTCAGGGGAACAAATTGGAACTCGCAGGAGATCCAGGGAGGCGGGAGTCTCCAGCTACCAGAGCAGGAAGATGAAAGGGGTACTGTTCAAAAAGTGTTTGAAGGAGTTGAGCTTTCGGCATGACCAAGTCAACGCCTGCTGGATGGATCTTCACGTAGGTAACAATCATAAATTCTGAATAAGATACAAAACAAAAAGAGTAACACAAACACATCAACAACACCGCAAAGACTTCCAGAAGGCCATGAAAAGTGAAGGAAAACAGGAGCTTCTGGAGGTAAGTTGACATTTGGAAGGAGAGGCGTGGAGTGACTTTCCTGTTTTGGTGGCATTTCCCCTAAAAACAGGCCAAAATCATTGCTGCAAGTGACAACTGACACTCCTGTAGAAACTCACTCTTTCTTTTTTTTATTTTTTATTTTTTGAGATGGAGTCTCGCTCTGTTGCCCAAGCTGGAGTGCAGTGATGCAATCTTGGCTTACTGCAACCTCCGTCTCCCAGTTTCAAGCAATTCTTGTGCCGCAGCCTCCTGAGTATCTAGGATTACAGGCGCGCAACACCATGCCCAGCTAATTTTTGTATTTTTAGTAGACACAGGGTTTCGCCATATTGGCCAGGCTGGTCTTGAACTCCTGACCTCAAGCAATCCACCTGCCTTAGCCTCCCAAAGTATTGGTATTACAAGCGTGAGCCTCCGCGCCCTGCCGAAACTCACTCTTTCTAAACTGAAGAACCAGACAGCAAAATCTGTAGCAATCACTGCTACTGGAATGCAGAGGGGGAAATCCAACAAAGGAAAGAGCCAGAAAGAAAGACCCCCAATTGCTTGTATTAACTTTGCCCACATTTTTGGATGACGCATGAACCCCGGGAGCATGGGGAAGATTAAGCAGCATAGCTAAAGATAAAAGGACTGAGCTGATTTAAGCTGAACCCCAAGAGACGTTTTGTAGTGTGAATCCAACCAAGTCATTACTAGCCAAAAAAAAAAAAAAAAAAAAAAAAAATTCAGTTAACACTTTATTGATGAATACAACAAAATAGAGTCTGCATGGAATTCAAAATTTTAAAACAGTCAGAAGTATAACATTTGTCATTTGCAAGGCAGAATCCAAAATTACTTGGCATTCAAAAGCCAGAAGAATGGGCAAAGGACTTAAATAAACATTTCTCAAATGGCCAACTGATTTACGAAAAAACGCTTAGCATTACTAATTATCAGAGAGACACAAATTAAAATGATAGTAAGACGGTCACCTCCCACCTTGTAAGGATGAGACCTTAAAAAGATGGAAGATAACAAGGGTTGGTGAGGATTTGGAGGAAAGAGAACTCTAGCACACTGTGGGAATTTAAGCTGGTGAAGCCGTTATGTAAAACACTATGAAAGTTCCTCGAAAAACATAAAAATAGCCAGCGTGGTGACTCACATCTGTAATCCAATAACTTTCGAAGGCTGAGGTGGGAGGATCGCTTGAGCCCAGGAGTTCGAGACCACCCTGGGCACATAATAAGACCGTGTCTCCACAAAATAATAAAAATTAGAGTAAAAAAATAGCTGGACATGGTGGCATGTGCCCCAGTCACAATGGAGACCGAGGTGGGAGGATCAGTTGAGTCCAGGAGCTTGAGGCTGCAGTGAGCTATGATTTCACTGCTGTACTCCAGCCTGGGTGACACAGCAACACCCTTTTAAAAAAATAGAACTACCGTGTGATCCAGCAATCCCACTACTAGGCATATGTCCAAAGAAAATGAGATAATGTTAATGCATTTATATTGTTTCAGCCACTCAGTTTGTGGTACTTTGTTAAGGCAGCCCCAGCAAACTAATACATCATGTAAAGAGGAAGCGTAGGATGACCAGAATGGCTATATTAATATCAGATAAAATCGACTTCAAAACAAAGAACATAACCAGATATCAAGAAAGACATTTCATAATACTAAAAGCATCAGTTACACAGAAAGACATAAAAATCATAAGTATATATGTAGCTAATAATAAAGACTCAAAACACACCAAGAAAAATTAAACAGAATTAACGAGAAATATGAAAAATACCAAAATAATTGTCAGAGAATTTAAACACCTCATCAGCAATCAGCAATTGAAACAACATTCCTCTCTCCTGCTTCCCCTATCCCGTCTCTTCCCCCCTCCTGTGTCAGTAAAGATACGGATGATCTGAACATTATCAACTACCTTGCCTAATTGATCATTATAAAACACTATACCTGGTAACTTCAGAGTCCACATTATTTTCAAGTGTACATGGCATTTTAATCAATATAGACCATTTGCTGAGCAGAAGAACAAGTTTAAATACATTTAAAAGAATGGAAATTATCTAGGGCATGTTATCTGATCAAAATTGAAATTAAATTAGAAACCAATTACAGTAAGATACCTAAAAAAAAGCCCAGATATTTGGAACTTAAACAATGTCTAACTAATCCATGAACCAAATACAAATTACAGGAAATTAGAAAATATTTTGAAATAAATAATAATAATGCAAAATAAAATTTGCAAAATGTTGCTTAAAAAGTGCTAAAAAGGAAATTTATGGCTTTGTTTACAGTAGAAAAAAAGAAAAATCTAAAATCACTTACCTAATTCTATACTTGAAGAGCCTAGTTGGAAAAAAAACAAAAAAGCAGCGGAAGGAAGAAAATTAAGACAGAGAGGCAGAGGGGAGAGAAAAAGAGTGAGTGAGTAAGTGGAAGAAACAACAGAGAAAATGAGCAAAGTCTAAATTGTTTTCATTTTATTTTTTTAAAAAAATATCGGTGACAATTATAAAACTATCTCAACTGATGAAAAAAGGAGGAAAATATGAATTACCAGTGTCAGGAATGAAAAAGGAGTTACTACTACAGATTTTCTGAACAGTAAAAGAGTATATCATCAAGAACGATAATTCGACAACTTAGATGAAATGGAAATCTTTGTGGAGAAATGAAATTTACCAAAACTGACACTGGAAGAAAAAGAATATCTGAAGAGTTCTACATTTATTGTAAGTCACTAAAATCTATTGTTGCCATGACAAATTACCACAACTTTATTGATTAAAGTAGCACAAATTTACTACCTCACAGTTCTGTAGGCGAGAAGCCTGGTATAGGTTTTACTGAGATCAAACCAAGAGGTCAGCAATGTTCCATTCTGTTCTGTACCAGAGCCTCTAGGAGATAACTCATGTGTTGCTCATTCAAGTGTTAGCAGAATTCAGTCCTACCCAGGTACAGAATGACTGAAGTCTTAATTTCCTTGCTGGTTGTCAGCTGGGAACTGTCCTTGGCTCTTAGAGGCCTCTTTGGGGTTATCGTTCACTGTTCAGTGTCAGTAACAGGAGCTGAATTCTTCCTTCACTGGCACCTCTCTGGCCTGGCTCAGAAATATTCTCAGATTTTAAAGACTCATGTGATTAGATTGGACTCACCTGAATAATTCAAGATAATCTCACATTTCAAGGTCTGTACCCTTAATCAAATCTGCAAAACTCCCTTAGTCCTGTAAAGTAATATAGTTACAGTTTCCAGGAATTTGGCATGAACATCTTTGGGGGAGACATGATTCTGCCTACTGCAAAATCTTTATCAAAAGGCTTCCCAACAAGAAAACTCCAGGCCCAGATGGTTTTATTGGTGAAGTTTATCTACCATCTAAGATAGAAACAACAGCAGACTTGCACAAAATCTTTCAGAAAATGAAGGAAGAATAAAGTTTTTTCAATTCATTTTTATAAGGCCAGCATAATTTTTTCTTATTATTATACTTTAAGTTTTAGGGTACATGTGCACAATGTGCAGGTTAGTTACATATGTATACATGTGCCATGTTGGTGTGCTGCACCCATTAACTCGTCATTTAACATTAGGTATATCTCCTAATGCTATCCCTCCCTCATGCCTGTTAGAATGGCGATCATTAAAAAGTCAGGAAACAACAGGTGCTGGAGAGGATGTGGAGAAATAGGAACACTTTTACACTGTTGGTGGGACTGTAAACTAGTTTAACCATTGTGGAAGTCAGTGTGGCGCGATTCCTCAGGGATCTAGAACTAGAAATGCCATTTGACCCAGCAATCCCATTACTGAGTATATACCTAAAGGATTATAAATCATGCTGCTATAAAGACACATGCACACGTATGTTTTTTGCAGCACTATTCACAATAGCATAATCTTAATATAAAAATCTGACAAAGTCATAACAAAAAAATTACAATCTAATATTTTTCATAAACACAGATAGAAAAACCTTTAACAAAATATTAACAAATCAAATCTGACAAACTCTGTATATTTGTTGGGTTTTTTTTTAAAGCTATGGAAATCTGTCACTGTTCTGTCACCTCTGGTGCAACTTGCTGGTCATAGGAAAAGCAGTCCATAGGAGGGCTAGGAACACAGTAAAGGAGAGAGGAGAGAAGCTAGATGTCTTCTATTTCCTCTCTGATTGCTATAACCTTCAGACAGTAATGAGTACTGCTTCACTCCCACCTTCCAAATCTGTCAATCTGTGAATTCTAGGTCTATGAATTCATGTTTGGCCAACTTTATCCTGGAAACATATGAGGCAGGAGATCCTTGAAAACTTACTTTCTGCTTAACCAAGCAAACACAGCACACATCTCCACAGCCACTGAATAGTCCATTTAAAAATGCCATGACTCAATTAATGGTTAAGGCTTTTCAAAGAGATAGGTAGGGAGTTAAACCTTATTTGTTTCTAATTTAATATATTTTAATTTTAAGTTCCAGGATACCTGTGCAGATTGTGCAGGTTTGTTACATAGGTCAATGTGTGCCATGGTGGTTTACTGCACCTATCAAACCATCACCTAGGTATTAAGCCCTACATGCATTAGCCATTTATCTTGATGCTCTCCCTCTCTCACCCAACAGGCCCCAGTGTGTGTTGTTCCCCTCTCTGTGTCCATGTGTTCTCATTGTTGAGCTCCCACATGATCTTGTTCTTCTTCATGGCTGCATAGTATTCCATGGTGCATATGTAACACATTTTCTTTATCCAGTCTATCATTGATGGGCATTTGAGTTGATTCCATGTCTTTGCTATTTTGAATAGTACTGCAATGAACATACACATGCATGTATAAATGTTATTTTTGAAGAAAGAAGGTAAAAGTTTGATAGATGTTTGAAGTGATGAAATGAGAGTTTGCATCATTCCGTTTTTGCTGAATTCTCAATTGCACTTGAAAGTTAAGATGGAGACCATGGAGGCTCTACAGGTGTCAGCAGCAATTCATCAAAAACACAGAAAATTGAGTATATTAACTACAACACACATACACACACGTACAGAGTAGAATGCAGAAAACACTCAGTGCTGAAGATCACACTCAACCCAGTCTTTGCTTCTACCTTCTTCCCAGGAAATATCTTGCTTGAGCATCTGTTGCTCCCAAATGTCTCACTTTTGGAGATCTCAGTCTGTTCCTGAGAGGTAGCTGGCATTACAAGAAAGGGAACTTCAGCAAAGAAAGTTTTGATTTTGCCACGAATTGTCACATGTTGACTTTGGGAAGGAAAAAGATAGACTTCATTTTTGTTTAATGATGCAAGGAGAAGATGACAACCTCTTTGGGAAATGCCTTGTTTAGCTTGTAGTGAACACAAGGATCATACTCTCTTATAAGAAAACATCTAGAGCTTTAATTCAGAGCTTTCATCACCAGTTAAGAGATTTAACAAGTGGAGTGCAATGCAGAGTTATCACATAGGGCATACAGAAATTTGGGGCTTTGGTTGAAAAGAACTGGAGGTGATTGCAGGATGGTAATGAGAGTCAGGGAACTGCTTCAGTGATACACTCAACACTATTTCCAGAAGAGCAAAGGGCAATAGTTTGAATTAGAAGTGTTACACAACATTTTAGCATCATCATATTAACTTCAGCACGGCCAAAGATGCCTTCGTCTATCTCTATTCTTATAAATTCAAGATACTTGACCACCCTGTGGCTGTTTTCTAATCTTTAAAATGGGTGTAATAAAAATACATATATTCTAAGTTTGATGTGAGTATCAAATCCATCAGAATGTTCTTGGTGACAGGAAACTGGGCCCAAAGTGTCTTCACCAGTGACGTTTGTTGATATACTATAAGACTAAATGTCCATGAACAGGACTGCCTACAACGGAGGCCTGATCCTAGACTCATACGAGGTCCATCTATTGCTTTCCTTTTGGATTCATTTTCAACTCTGTGTGTTGGGTCTGGGGAAATTTAGGCTCATCAACTCATCTAGTCTAGCAGAAGGAAAGAAAGCTTACTCAATGGCTTAAGTATAAGTCCTAAGATTGAGTCAAGATTTTGCCCATGAATGGACTGCCTTGGAACCTGGGCCAGGTGGAAGGATTGGGCTGACTGGTTTAGCTTAAATTGCATGACGCACTCTGGATCCTGGAGGTTGAGTTAGCTCCACAAAGCTCTGTGGCTGAGATTAGAGGTAGAATGTTTTTTTCTAAAGAGTTCTGTTGACCCAAGAAACAGAATGGACATTGAGTAGCGAACACCACAAGTATCCACTATGGCCAAGTAGTCCCAACCCTGCTTTTACCAGCCATGTCAAGTAAAGCATCAATTTTCAGCCCATGTTTTTCATACAGGCAACTTCCCAACTCCAAGTGCAGTGTCAGAATCCATTAACTATTTTCAGGGTCTCTAGCAATTAAAATGATGTGTCACAGGGGTGAGCTCAGACCATCTTCTATGAGACCTTGGTGGTGTTATTTGTTTTAGGTCAATTACAATAAAGAGTATGCTGACACTGTTTGATTCCTTCCACTTCCATTCCACCCTCCTCCTGGTTGGTGAGATTGGGAAGCTAAAACTCTATTCCCTAGACTCTCCTGCAGCCAGGGTTCTGGAGAAGGTGGCCCTGCTGATTAGATATCCTTGCTCAAGGTGAGGAAGGGGGAATAGGGGAGTTCTTCTCTTTCTCCTACTGATGAGTGTGTGGAAGCTTGAGATTTCTCTGTATTGCTGTCCATCTTCCCATTCTCCAGCTTCCCGGCAAAATTATAATAGTTGCCACTATAATTCATATAATAAAGAGACTTTCGATTGCTACAAATTGTGAAGTATAGATGGCAGAATAAGGCACATACTTGCTGGGACAGAGTAGGTGACCACATCGCATAGGCTGGTACGTAGGCCCGACGTTAGATGATCTGCGGCATCTCCCGCTCTTCCACTAGGAGTTTTCTCGTGGACTTCATGTGGACATAGGAGTTTGCACTGCATTGCCTTTGGTTGGCTACCTTCCAGCATTCAGCTCCCAGGAGAGTGGCAGGGAAGGGAAAGCCTGCAGGTGTCTGCTTTCCTCTGCAACGATGTTTATGATAGGGCCAGTGTGAGAATTCTTTACTAGTACACGGGGCAGCCTCCTGTGATTTTCAGAGAAAGAGGAAAGCATTCATTTGCACATTCTTTTATTGCAAGAATGGTTATCAATCACCCCTTTTTCTTTTGGGTTGGTCAGGGCACTTTGATGAAATTGATAGAAATTCACAATTGAAAAAAAAGTAAATTATTCTGTGTTGCCAATGTCAAGAGGAGCAGTGTAGAGCTAATCTTAGTCTCAACTAGAACCAGGGACTTGAAAACTTTAACAACAAGCTTGTCCAACCCACAGTCTGTGGGCCACATGCAGCCCAGGACAGCTTTAAATACAGTCTAACACAAATTCATAAACTTTCTTACAACATTGAGATTTTTTTACAATTTATTTTTTTAGCTCATCAGCTATTGTTAATGTTAGTGTATTTTATGTGTGGCCCAAGACAATTCTTTTTACAATGTGGCCCAGGGAAGCCAAAAGTTTGGTCACCCCTGCCCTGCAGGCTTTCTCTACTCCCTCTGCCTCTGTCCTCCTTCCCTCCATTATCCCTCTCTCCTTCCCTCCCTTTCTCTTTCTCTCCCCCTCTTTCCATTTCTTTTCTTCTTTCTCCCTCTCCCTCCTTCCCTTCCCCTTCTCTTCTTCCTCTCTCTTTCCCTCTCTCTCCTCTGCCTTCCCCTCCTCTCTTTCTTCTTTCTGCCTAGTACTCCAGTTCTCCCTGTGTGTGTTAGTCAGGTATCTCCAGAGAAACAGAACAAATAGGATCTATAGATATAGATATAGATACAGATATAGACATAGACATAGATGATCTAGATATAGATAGATAGGTATAGATATAGACATACAAGGGGACATTTAATATGAGAACTGGCTCACATAATTATTGAGGCTGAGGAGTCCAGCAATGTGCCCTCTGCAAGCTGGGGACCAAGGGAAGCCAGGGGTGTGATTCAGACTGAGCCTGGTGGCCTGAGAAATGGTGTGTGTTGGCGGGTGGACGGCGGTGTAGGTCCTGGTTTGAATCAGAAGGCCCAAGAACCAGGAGCTCCTATATTTGAGGGCAGGAGAAGATGGATGTCCCAACTCAGGGAGAAATAATCCGCCCTTCCTCTGCCTTCTTGTCCTGTTCAGGCCCTCGGTGGACTGAAGGATGCACCCCCTCACTGGAGAGGGAGATCTCCTATACTCAGCCCACCGATTCCAATGCTGATTTCTTCAAGAAACACCCTCACAGACACACCCAGAAACCATGTTTTAATGTTTGCCCGCTCCCTGAGCTTCCCTAAGCCAAGTCAAGTTGGCACATAAAACAAATCTTCACCCTGCAACAGCTTTACTCACTTAGACCACCTGTTCTCCAGGAGGCTGCAGCCAAGAGTGCTGGAAGCTCCTGGGCTCAGATCATGAAATCAAACAGTCCCAGGGAGGGAGCTTTTAATGATCCAGTCACGGGTTCAGCTTTTCCTCAACTCTCCGTTACCAGAGCGGCAATATCACATAAGTGAATGGAGTTGGTGCCTCCGGCTGCTAAGTGGCGTGTGGGTGCGTGTCTATATGTTCGTCCCAAAAGAGAGATGGGGCAGAGTGTGAAGAATGGCATCCCAAAAGCAGAAGGCTGCATTTCCAACAAGAAGAGAGAGGAAGGGCTGGGCAAAGTCTCTGTGGTTCAGTCCTGCCTGCTGGGGGTCAGGAATAGGCTAGTGCATTCTACATACTTTCTATTTGGGTGTTTCTTTTCTGTGTCCCTAGGGAGGCATTTGGAAATCACAGACACTTTTAGTTGTTCCAATGGCACAGGCCAGGAATAGGAAACCGCCTCATCGTCCCACACGGTGAACTCTGTCCTGCCCAAATGCCACCGGTGCTTTTGTTGAGAGAAACTTGTTTCCCGCAAGGGCACAGACTCGTATACAAACCAACAGCACATGCCTCCCGTTCTGACATTTGAGATGCCAACTGAAATGCTAATC
The DNA here is from genome assembly GCF_000001405.40 of Homo sapiens. Taxonomy (NCBI): domain Eukaryota; kingdom Metazoa; phylum Chordata; class Mammalia; order Primates; family Hominidae; genus Homo; species Homo sapiens. The sequence continues at coordinate 128,249,678 of NC_000012.12, read as the reverse complement.
CACCACTTCAGAATTATCTAACTGGAGTTTCATTTTGCTCCACTAATAAATGCTGTTGAAAGTGACGAACTGAATATTTAACACCTCAATAGGAAATAGTTTATTAGACCTTTCCACGGAGAAAGAAATGGCCCCAGCGGCTACGGATCAACAGGACTTCTTAGGATCATGCAAAGGAAGAGGAAGTGGGCGTTTAAAGAAAAGCAAATGTCAGTTTCACAGCTGCACCAGCCCAAGTCAGTGGGAGGGAGACAGGGCTGGGGGAGGTGAAGTCCACTCCAAACACCCAGGTGAGGCAGCATCTGCCCTTACCTTCGTCTTGGGGTACGAAGCGTCCCCTGATGGGTGCTGCCTGCAGTCGGCTCCTCCCAGTAATTATCCACTTTCCAGTATTTCATTAGAAAAAGAGCAACAAGCTATCTTCCAGCTTCTGAAACCACTTATTTAAATTACAACTGTGCAGGGAAAGCAGCTCAGAGAAGAACTGTGTTACTTCAAATCAGATTCCCCCAGCTAACCCCAGCTCACACCGGGCACCCACCATCCTTTCTTCATGACTGCCCCTCCCTTGCAGGCATGAGGCTTCATGAAAAGTGCTAAGGGCAAAAGGTGGCACTTGAGATGAAATGGAGCCTTTTATGAAGCTTTTTCACAAGAAAAGCTTTTTAATTTTTTTTTTTTTACAACTACAAATGTTCACCCGTCATGAGGATGAACTGTTCAGTCTTTGTATGCGTGATACCGTATGGTCTTTAAAGGGTGGAAACGCTGGTGGCCCTCACAACCCATGCATCACCTCTCCCTCGATGGATGGAAGTAGATCCTTCTCATTTTGGCTCCTGTGCTTGTTTCATACTTTAAACTGACTTTGACTTAGAGACTCTGATTTTTTTTTTTTTTTGTCACCCTTTCCCAAATCCTGGATCATCTAGCTGTCAATAAGTGCTTATGAAAACAGTGTTCTGAGGTTCTATGATAGGCTCTAGCCAGGGTTAGGTTTAGGTTGCATCATTCAAATGACCCTTTCTTCTGGGATCTTTCACTGCATGTAGTTCATTCCTAACCACTCACAACTCCCTTCATGTTTGAAGCATGAAAACTCTTGTGGTGTGTTTGTGTAATGATTCCTGGATGAATCTTCTTAAGGGCATAGCCATGAGTGAAAGTTAGCACCTCGAACTTGTCACTATAAGAGGGCTTGCCCGAGGACAAAGATAGTGTGTCCACAATTGGTGGGTTCTTGGTCTCACTGACGAAGAATGAAGCCGCGGACCCTTGCCGTGAGTGTTAACAGTTCTTAAAGATGGTGTGTCCGGAGTTTGCTCGTTCTGATGTTCGGACGAGTTCGGAGTTTCTTCTTTCTGCTGGTTTCGTGATCTCGCTGACTTCGGGAGTGAAGCTGCAGACCTTCGGGATGAGTGTCACAGCTCATAAAAGCAGTAGGGACCCAAACAATGAGCAGCAGTAAGATTTATTGCAAAGACCTGAAGAACAAAGCTCCCAAGGTGTGGAAGAAAATGTCAACGGGTTGTTGCTGTTGGTGCTGGCAGCCTGCTTTTAGTCCCTTATCTGGCCCCACCCACATCCTGCTGATTGGCCCATTTTACAGAGAGCTGATTGGTCCATTTTACAGAGAGCTGATTGGTCCGTTTTGACACGGTGCTGACTGGTGCGTTTACAATCCCTGAGCTAGATGCAGAGTGCTGATTGGTGTATTTACAATCCTTTAGCTAGACATAAAAGTTCTCCAAGTCCTCACCAGAATAACTAGACACCGAGCACTGATTGGTGAGTTTACAAACCTTGACCTAGACACAGGGTGCTGATTGGTGTGTTTACAAACCTTGAGCTAGACACAGAGTGCTGATTGGTGTGTTTACAAACCTTGAGCTAGACACAGAGTGCTGATAGGTGCATATACAAACCTCTGCCTAGACATAAAATTTCTCCAAGTCCCCACCCTACGTAGGAACCCAGCTGGCTTCGCCTAGTGGATCCCGTGCGAGGGCCGCAGGCGGATCTGCCCACCAGTCCCGCACCGTGCACCTGCTCTCCTTGCCCTCGGGCAGTCTATGGGACCAGGCGCCAAGGAGCAGGGGGCGGCACCCATCAGGGAGGCTCGGGCCACGCCGGAGCCCACGGGGGTCGGGGGTGGGGGAGGCTCAGGCACGGCAGGCTGCAGGTCCCCAGCCCTGCCCTGCGGGGAGGCGGCTGAGGCCTGGCGAGAATTCAAGTGTGGCACTGGCAGGCCGGCAGTGCTGGGGGACAAGGCGCCCCCTCCGCAGCTGCTGGCCCGGGTGCTAAGCCCCTCACTGCCCCAGGGCAGCGCTGGCCGGCCACTCCAAGCGTGTGGGTCCCACTGAGCCCGTGCCCACCTGGAACTCACGCTGGCCTGCCGGCGTGGCAGCCCCAGTTCCTGCCTGCACCTCTCCCTCCACACCTCCCCACAAGCAGAGGGAGCTGGCTCCAGCCTCGGCCAGCCCAGAGAGGGGCTCCCACAGTGCAGCTGCAGGCTGAAGGCTTCCTTGAGCACAGCCAGAGTGGATGCCATGGCCTGAGGAGGGGCCGAGAGCGAGCGAGGGCTGCTAGCACGTTGTCACCTCTCACTAGCATCCATCTCTTTTTCGGCAGAGCCCAAAGAGGGCAAAAACCTGGTCCTTGGAGAAGTCACTCACTCACATAAATTACTCAGCCCTAGCTCGGATGCCCTTTTACGAATGAGATAATAAATTCCAGGATCACGAAAGCCATGCCAGTTGTGTTTTCTAGGACTGTAGAAGTTCGGAGCCCTCAAAAAGACCCAGGGCTGTTTCCTCCTGCAGGCTGTCCCTTGCTGTACCACTGACCTGCTGGGACACTGAGCTCGCCACTTGACCTTTTTAGCTTTCCTTTAATTACATCTGTCAGTAACAGCATCGCCTGGGACAATCTCAAGAACTTTGTGATCTCTGAAATTTTAATTTTCTGTGGTTTGGTTTGTTTGGGCTTCAGGGATTAGAGAACTAGGCTTTCCCAGCAGGGAGCTGAGAGGCAAAAACTGAGCAGCTCATACATGCTGGGCCCTTTAAACAAAACATCTCACAGTCCAGCACAGTAGCCCAGCCAGGTACGATCGCGTGTCCTGCTGCACAGATGATAAAACCAAGGCTCAGAGAGGTTTAGCCACTTGCTCAGAATCACATAGCTGAGCAGTGACAGAGCAGGACTTTGAATCCTCATCTGCCCTAATTCCAATGCTGTGATTTTGCTATTTCTGTCTCTCAGGGAGAGAGAGAGAGGAATTACTATTTTCCAAGACCTTCATAGAAGGAAGTTTTACACGCAGCAGACATTTTCAGATTTCACCACATTTGTTCTGTTTTTCCGCATTTAGATGGCACCATAAAACCAAGATGCTCAAAGTGAACAGAAAATTAAACCAGCAGAGGTTTCTACGTCTGGCTGGGCTCCTGATAGCTGTGGCAAGCTCTTATTCTGCATCAAGCTGACTGGGTCGGCCCAGGCCAAAAGTCGGCCACCTGGAAAGCAGACGTCGGCAGCCTGCTCCACACAGACTTACTGCTTTCTCGGAGGTCTGCCTGCATCTTAAAGCTTCTTATCAGCACCAAATTGAATTAGGTCATTCAACTGTCTGATTAACATCGCCAGACAACACACATCCTAAGCCACAGAGATTCACTCATGGCTCCATTGATTCCATCAGGGAAATAAAAGATACTTTATCTGTGGCTTTGGACAAGGGTTCCATTGCCTTTTGTTTTCAAAGTTGGTGCTTTGATGTCAGCCTTCAAGTCATTGTAGGTGTGGTCTTAGCCTTTCTGCATCTCATGGTCAATCTATCTTATTTTCTCAATTTACATTAACAGTGATCAAAACACCTGGCCACAGATCGAGACAAGAACACAGTGAAATCATGCCAGTCCACCAAGAACTCTCATTCATCACATATTCTGCTCCAGGGACCCATCCCTTTGGATCTGGCTTTGGGGCTATAGAACATTAGGTGGCTTCTGTTCTCATAGGTAAAGGAGGAACTCCAAGACTCCGACTGCTTTGAGGCTATTTTCCCCAATACTGTGGGATGAAGCAAAGCCTCCAGCGGGATAAAGATGTGGGCTCTGTCTAAAGACCAAGGTTCTTATTTTATGACACGAACAAAACCAATGTCGAAAGTCCACACTCCAGTGAAAAAGGAATTTCTTGTTGGGTCCATTTGTGTGAGGCTACTTTATGAAATAAAAATCAGATTAAACTCCTTTTTACTCAGATGGCCTGGGAGCATGAGAGAATTACATCACCTGTCTGACCTCAATAAGCTCTGTGTGGGCAAATGGATAGAGCAAGATGATGCAATTTGTTGTGTGAATCAGTGTTTTGAATGCAGATGTGCCATGGGAGAGCAGAGGAGACAAGAGGATGTGGGCTGACACTGGAGCCCTGGAGAAGGAGTTTCCCCTGACCATGTGCGCCATCACTGAGAACAGCAGTCAGGAGACACAAAAGACACACAGGTCTGGAAGCTGCTCCCACCACCTACTCCATCCTTGGTCAAGAAAATCTGTGTGAGCTTGGGGTAGATTAAATCACCTAGGGAAAGTCAAAAGAGCCAGGCTGGCTTATCAGAAAGGATTGTGCCTGGGAGATTAACAAAACACTTCACTACCTGTAGCTTAAGCAAATCAGAGTTTATTTGAAGCATATTATAAGAAGGCAAGAGATAGAAATTGCAGACTTTGTGAAGTGGTTCAATTTTATCCCATTGACCTCAATTCTATGTTTCTGCCCCCATCATTGGCACCTGGCTGTCTGATGGTTGCACAATGGGAGCTGTGCCTCCAGGTATCATTGTCTATGCTCCAGGCAGAAGGAAGAAGGAGGTGCAAAAAACAACATGCAGAATGAGACAAAAAAGGTAGGCAGAGTTCTAAGACAGCCTCCCAAGTTTTCCTATCCTTATTTTAGATATTGTCTATAGGATGAGATACCTGCCTGTGATTATATTATGCTCCCTGGTAAATGATTTTTTTTTTGAGACAAGGTCCGGCTCTATCACCCAGGCTGGGGTGCAGTGGCGCAATCTCAGGTCACTGTAACCTCTGCCTCCGAGGCTCAAGCCATCTTCCTTCAGCCTCCAGAGTGGCTGGGACTATAAGCATGCACCACTGAGCCTGAGAAATGTTGCAGATGTCATTAAGGTTACTAATCAGTTGACTGTGTTCATCATAAGGGAGATTATCTGAGTGCACCTAGTCTAATCACGAGAGCCCTTTCGAAGCAGAGCACCTTCTCTGGCAGCAGAAGAGGTTTGAAGCACAAGAAAGAGTGGACTGATTCCTTGCTGACCTTGACGATGGAGGCACTCGTGCAAGGAGTGCAGGTGGTCTCCAGGAGCTGAGAGTGAGAGGCTTGGGTGACAGCCAGCAAGGAGAGAGGGATCTCTGAGAGTGGGTGGCCTGGGTGACATAGCCAGCAAGGAGAGAGGGACCTCGGGCCTCCAGCCCCACAGAACTGAACCGGATTTACCAACCCTCTGAGTGATCCTGGAAGCGGATTCTTTCCCATGGCCTCCAGATAGGAGTCCAGCCTAGCTGGCACCTGGATGTCAGCCTTGTGACACCCTCAGCAGGAAACCTAGTTAAGCCTGCCTGGACTTGTGACCTTCAGAACTAGGAGCTGACAAGTGGCTGCTGTTTGAAGGAGCCATGCTTATGGTGTTTGTTATGGCAACAATAGAAAATGAACACACTTTCTTCCTACGCAGTTTGGAGTTTTATCTGAGATGGAAGGCACCTCCCCAGCAGACTCCTCCCAAAGTCTGACTAGACTAATTGGCTGAATCACAGACCCACAAATGAAAACAAATGAGTGGCACAACCACCAGTGTTTCAGCAGGCTTGCCTTATTCAGGCAGTACAAACCCAGGGAGGCAGGAGCCTGGGGCAGGGAGGAAGAGAGTCTTTGCTGAACTGGCAGGTGTTGCACCATCTGGACTGATGACTCCGCCTTCTAAATCTAGCTTCCGAGAGGTTGTGGGAAGGAGAGAGTCTCAGAGGGTCCATGGTGAAGGGGAAAGGAAGAAGAATTTACCCCGGTCCCCACCTCCCACTCATCAAAGGTTCACCCCTTGTGTGTTACCCCTGGAACTTCCCAATGTGCATATGTGAGTGTTAAGCAGTCTTAACTCCTGCAGTGTCTTGAACCTCAGGCCAACAGGGGTGCCCTGGTGCAGGTGTCAGGGGACACCCCTGATGACCCTTCTGAAAGATGTGCCAGCTCATGCCCACATGGCACAGCCAGAGGTTCCACCCAGGAGAAGCCAGCAGAGCCTACACTGAGCTGGTCACCCAGGTGGAATGCAGTGAGTGGTCAAAGCGCTAGGGAAAAGGGATACCCAGGGATGTGGGGCAGAACGCAAAGATTATCTGACACATGCAGCTGGTGTCGTCCGTGCCCCCAGAATGTACAGGCTGGGATGCCGAGAGCTGGGAAGACAGGAGGATGGTGGCTCAGGGGGCCTTGGACTGTGTTTGCCAGAGAGCGAGTTGGCTGGGCCTCATAGGCAAGGTCCACCAGCACTGGGGTTAGCTCTCACAGGTGCAGGCCAGTTACCTGGAAGAAGATGCAGAGTGCAAAAAAGGAACTGGGTAGGGCGGGGATCAGGAAATAACCCTGTGTGGGTTCCGGGCGTCCACCTGGGCCTGGCTATGGGGTGGAGGCTGCTCATCCACGGAGCTCTGCCTTGGCCTCACTCTGCCTCCTTTTTCTCATGGTAGTAAATTTAGTTGACTAAAAAATATATATCTTACGTATTAATTATGAAGAAAATCAAGTTCTATAGAAAAATACAAAGAAGAAAGCAGTAAGCTCCCCCTTTCCTCTTTCCTGCCACCAGCAGGTAATTCCTTTCAGCTTCTCTGTGAGCCCCCAGACCTCTCTCTGTGAATATACTCAGTGTCACCCTGGGCATGTGTGGGTCAGACTTGGCCACCAGGGTCCATCCTCCTCCTTCATGGGCCTCCTTTCCTTATGGGCAATGGCCTCTCCCTCACTGTGTGTGGTCTTGATGTGCAAGCACAAGAGATGCCCAGTTCTGGTCCCGTTTGAATGACTCCTCCATGGGAGCCAATGAGGGAAGCACTTCCACTCTCTATGCCTCAGAGTCACAGGTGAGCAAGTGACCTACATGGAGCCAAAAGTCAATGGCTCTGGAGCTTTGAATGCTGAGTTGTATGTGATGTGAGTGAGTGCTGAGTTGCATGTGGAGTGAGTGAGTGCTGAGTTGTATGTGATGTGAGTGAGTGCTGAGTTGTATGTGGAGAGTGAGTGCTGAGTTGTATGTGGAGTGAGTGAGTGCTGAGTTGTATGTGGAGTGAGTGAGTGCTGAGTTGCATGTGGAGTGAGTGAGTGCTGAGTTGCATGTGGAGTGAGTGAGTGCTGAGTTGTATGTGATGTGAGTGAGTGCTGAGTTGTATGTGGAGAGTGAGTGCTGAGTTGTATGTGGAGTGAGTGAGTGCTGAGTTGTATGTGGAGAGTGAGTGCTGAGTTGTATGTGGAGTGAGTGAGTGCTGAGTTGTATGTGGAGTGAGTGAGTGCTGAGTTGCATGTGGAGTGAGTGAGTGCTGAGTTGCATGTGGAGTGAGTGAGTGCTGAGTTGTATGTGATGTGAGTGAGTGCTGAGTTGTATGTGGAGAGTGAGTGCTGAGTTGTATGTGGAGTGAGTGAGTGCTGAGTTGTATGTGACATGGGTGAGTGCTGAGTTGTATGTGGAGTGAGTGTTGAGTTGTATGTGGAGTGAGTGACTGCTGAGTTGTATGTGGAGTGAGTGAATGATGAGGTGTATGTGGAGTGAGTGAGTGCTGAGTTGTATGTGATGTGAGTGAGTGCTGAGTTGCATGTGGAGTGAGTGAGTGCTGAGTTGCATGTGGAGTGAGTGAGTGCTGAGTTGTATGTGATGTGAGTGAGTGCTGAGTTGTATGTGGAGTGAGTGAATGATGAGGTGTATGTGGAGTGAGTGAGTGCTGAGTTGTATGTGACATGGGTGAGTGCTGAGTTGTATGTGACATGGGTGAGTGCTGAGTTGTATGTGGAGTGAGTGTTGAGTTGTATGTGGAGTGACTGCTGAGTTGTATGTGGAGTGAGTGAATGATGAGGTGTATGTGGAGTGAGTGAGTGCTGAGTTGTATGTGATGTGAGTGAGTGCTGAGTTGCATGTGGAGTGAGTGAGTGCTGAGTTGCATGTGGAGTGAGTGAGTGCTGAGTTGTATGTGATGTGAGTGAGTGCTGAGTTGTATGTGGAGTGAGTGAATGATGAGGTGTATGTGGAGTGAGTGAGTGCTGAGTTGTATGTGACATGGGTGAGTGCTGAGTTGTATGTGACATGGGTGAGTGCTGAGTTGTATGTGGAGTGAGTGTTGAGTTGTATGTGGAGTGACTGCTGAGTTGTATGTGGAGTGAGTGAATGATGAGGTGTATGTGGAGTGAGTGAGTGCTGAGTTGTATGTGACATGGGTGAGTGCTGAGTTGTATGTGGAGTGGCTGCTGAGTTGTATGTGGAGTGAGTGAATGATGAGGTGTATGTGGAGTGAGTGAGTGCTGAGTTGTATGTGGAGTGAGTGAGTGCTGAGTTGCATGTAATGTCAGTAAATCCTGAGTTGAACTTGTGTGGAGACCCAGGGTCCCCACAGCCCTATCACCTCTTGATTTCTCTGCACCCATTTGTCTCAGAGGCAGACAAGCACCATGGACAGAGGTGATGAGTTTCGGTGCCTTTGGATGTTTGGGGAAGTGAAGAGAAAACCTCACCTTCTGACCAAGGTGAAAATTCTATAGGAACTAGATGGAGGTGGCCCCATTTCCACTGTTACTGCTAAGTTCAGGGCATAGCATTGACCTATTTGAAGGCAACGATGGTGGTTATTTCACATTCTTGTTTTGAAGATCTCATTGAAATAGAAGCATGCAAATTCATAGAAGTTAAAAAATTTTGTTCAATTATAAGATCTCCAGTAATGTAATACTTTTCAGAAATACTTTCTTCTTCCATAATGGGTGCACAGTTTACAGAGTGGTTCTGAGAAGATCATGCTGACTTTAGTAAACATGGAAGATTTTCTCCTAATGAAAAGTAACCATTGCTTAATTTTTAAACCATTCCTTACATCTTAAACAGAAGGTTTGCTAAGAAAATTGTATGTTTTCAGGATTTTAAGATACATCTTCTAAGACACTTCTGAGAGCCATCTCAAAATCTTGTCAATTTTCTTAGCAAACCTTCTGACTATACAACTAAAAAAGATTCTAAGTTTGTAGTTCCTGAAGGCTGGCTAAGAGGTGTTAACTGGGTGAGAATGTTAATTCCTGACATGTTCAAAGCTTGTGTGTCATTTTTAGGATATTAATAATCTTGAGATATCAAATATGGCATTGCTCAGAGATCAGAAGTTACAGAGATGCTGGGAATTTAGGCAGGTGGTTTAACAATCCTGAGAGCAGCAAGAACCTCAAATACAACGAAAATGGGGCAAGCAACTTTAAGGCATATGACTTCAACCTCATACCCTGCCACCAAGAAGTGAAACTTAACACACAGGCAAATGTATCTACAAGTCCAAAATCTTTGAGATGGCATTTAAAATTTTAAATTTCTTTCCAGCGACAGAACGCTAGGACCTTATTTATCTGCCCGAAATGCAAGACTCTTGACAGCAGGGACCATGCCTGTCTTGTTCACTGAGTATATCCCCAACAGTTGACACAGTATTTGGCCCAGCTTACACCCTGAATAAATACTTGTTGAATGAGCTATGAATAAAGCAGCCCCTATATTAGAGACCACAAACTTAAATCTAGGGAGCCCCACTCGCCAAGATGAATGCCTTAAATAGAGCAGGTGTCAGACAGCAAGGAAAGGTGGGGACTGTGGCAAATGGAGACCTGCACCATCCCGGTCAAATGGTAGCTAGTGTTCAACTCTGGCTTAATGTTCCCAAGTGCAAATGGGGAGCACAGTGTGGCTGAATTGACTGAGTTTTATGTAAATTGCCCCAATGGTTAAGTGTTGGATACTAATTTCATTTCTTTAAAACACAAAATAAGCTTTGAAAAGGCATCCATGGTCCAATGAGTCTTTTCTTCTTTCTATTTTGCTGTATTTGTCCTAAATAAACAAGCAGAACCCCAGGGGGAAATTCCTGCATAAAATTCATCACAGAAACCTTGTTAGCAAGTTACGCTTTCCATTTTCATGTTTCTACCAATGCAGACAGGCTTAAAATCCTGAAAATCCCTGGCACATGGGTGGACAAAACTTATGGATTCTTAGAAGCACGGCTCTTCCTCACAATTAAAAACCTGGCTGACAACTGTCATGAGATTATACTTGGACAAAGATGTATTGGTTTGGGCACTGGAAGGAAGTGAGGCTGCTTGAGATTTGGTCATAAATTAAAAGCAAACAAAAGGACACTTTGGAATCAGGAGAGAACAGAAGTAGGGAGCGACTGGGGTCTTCATGCAGACATAGAGTCGCTGCTGTCCACGGAACCCATCCTTCCTCCAGGGCTGAGGACTCTGCTGGGCTGGGGCTATGGCTACTCCCTTGTTACAGAAGGGCTGGCACCATGAAAGAGGCCTCTCTTAGGACTGCGTCAGTTTCCCTGAAAAAGTAAAATTCTCTTCATCATTGTCACCCATGGAGAAAAACATTTTGGAATGTTATATGAAAAATGCAGACACTGCAATGAGATGCTGGATGTTGCTGTTTGGTTAGGATCTGTCTCAGTTTCCTGATTGGTATTCTGGGGCCGCCATAACAAATTACCACAAGCTTGGTGGCCCAAAACACAGACACTTACTCTTTTACAGTTCTGGAGGCCAGAAGTCCAAAATCAAGCTGTGGGCAGGTCTGTGCTCCCTCCAAAGTCTCTACAAGATGAGGTTCCTGCTTCTTCCAGCTTCTGGTCCTGGGGCATTCCTTGGCTTGTGGCTGCATCCCTCCCATCTCTGTATCTGTCTTCACATGGTCTTCTCCTCTGTGTCAGTGTGTCCTTTTCTGTGTCTTAACAGAACAGCCTCACTGGCTTAAGGGCCCACCTGAATCCAGTATGACCTTGTTACAGGAAAGGGGTCCTGATCCAGATGCCAAGAGAAGGTTCTTGGATCTCGCACAAGAAAGAATTCAGGGTAAATCCGTAGAGTATAGTGAAAGCAAGTTTATTAGGAAAGCAAAGGAATGAAAGAATGGCTACTCCATAGACGGAGCAGCCCCAAGGGATGCTGGTTGCCCATTTTTATGGTTATTTCTTGACGATACGCTAAACAAGGGGTGGATTATTCATGCCTCCCATTTTTAGACCATATAGGGTAACGTTCTGCAGTTGCCATGGCATTCCTAAACTGTCATGGCGCTGGTAGGAGTGCAGCAGTGAGGACAACCAGGGGTCACTCTGGTGGCCATCTTGGTTTGAGTGGGTTTTGGACGGCTTCTTTACTGCAGCCTGTTTTTATGCAAGGTTTTTATGACCTGTGTCTTGTGCCAACCTCTTATCTCATCCTGTGAGTTAGAATGCTTTAACAGGGAATTCAGCCCAGTAGGTTTCAGCCTTATTTTACCCAGCTTCTATTCAAGATGGAGTTGCTCTGGTTCAAATGCCTCTGACAATTTTACCACCATCTTTCCCTTAATTACACCTGCAGAGATTCTACTCCCAAATAAGGCAACATTCTGAGGTTCTGGGTAGACATGAATTTTGGGGAGACACCATTCAACCCAGTACTGGATTGAAAGGCAGAATCATGGGGGGATGGGAAGGGGAGATGATGTATTGTTCCCTACCCCCTGTATCTGTCAGCATCTCAGTAGGTAAGAAATACACACTCAAACTGGGAATGTGGAGAGAATTTTATAAAGGGACTGTTTATAAAGGTGTGGTCGGGGTTTGAGGAAATCAAAGAAATAATGCAGATTTGGGGCTGGGGAGAGTGAGGAGCTGTGATCACTCCCAGACTTAAGGGGACAAGGGGAAGGGGTGGTTCTGGGAACACGGAACAGATAAATAGAGAGTAAATTCGATGGGCGCTTTGGCCTTGGGTAACAGATGCGGGCCGGCCAGGATGCTCTCACGGGAGGGTGTGGGGAATAAATGCCCAAACTTACTTTCTTCCCACTCTCCCGTCTTCTGTTGGTGCCTCCTATCAGCCAAGCCCAACTGGATGCTGAAGACAGAAGCCCATGGAGGCCACCTCCCTGGGCACAAAGATGGGGGGAGCAGGGGCTGGGGAGAATCTGCCAGGAAAGCAGAAGATCTCAAACTCAGCCTCTCAGCTTGGAATTGGTGGAGAGATAAGCGCAGGAAGTGGATGGATGCAGAAAATCCACCTGCTTTATTGTTGCATCAGCTGGATTGGAGGACATGACCTGACTGGTGGCCAGGTTGGGGTGTTCTCATCTGCTCCCTCCAGAATGGACTGCACCCACCTAGAACTAGCCCCCTCCTTACAGGCCTAGAGGAGAGCAGAGGAGAGGCGGGTGGGTGGGGAGTGGGGAGGGTGCTCTGAAAGGAGGGTAGGGAGGGGCTGAGCTGCGCCAGCTGTTCTTCCTCCCAACCTACCTGTCAGATAAACACTCCTCCTCCGAGGGTGGGAGTCAGTGAGGGCAGAGAGAAGGGTGGGTCTTGCCCCAGCAGTCCTCCTCGTGCCAAGGCTGAGAGGAAGCTCACATTATCATGGAGAAATGGGAGATGGGAAGATCAAGCGGCCTCCCTGCTAAGGCAAATGTAACAAATTATGTATAGCAAGGGTGCACAAACTACAGTGAAGAGGCCAAATCCAGCCCTCTACCTGTGTTTGTAAATAAAGTTTTATTAGCACACAGCCATGCCCATTATGTATGTATTGTCCATGACTGCTTTCCTGTTACCATGGCAAAATTCAGTAGTTGTGACACAGACTGTACAGCCCTCAAAGCTAAAAATACTATCTGGTTCTTTATGGAAATGGTCTGCCAACTCCTGCCTATATAATTTGGAAAATCTTTTCAGTTGTCCCCCAAATACAGCATAGGATGCCGAGGGTACTGGGAGATTCCCTGTGACAGGCTCTTAGGAGTTCAGACCATCTGAGGGGAGAAGAAAGTCACATTTCCTATCCTGTCCTCACCTTGGGGACAAAGAACAGCACCCTGCCCACTATTTAAACTGTTGTTTTTCTCTCTCTCAGAAGAAAGGATATAGTTAATTTTGTGTATGTGAAATGTGTATCTAATGCAAATCTAATTTTTGTTAAAATTTTATGAAATTTTGTATAAAGAAAACAATGAAGTGAGCCATTTAGAAGCTTTGAAGGAATAAACCAGTGCATTTAACATGTCATAGAAAATAAGGGAAAGAGCCTTTGTCTCTGACACCATCACCGAGTCCAGCACAAACCCTGGGTCTCTTCGACCCTGGGCTTCCCACACAAATATACATATTCATGTTATGTATCACGAGTTGATTATTCTGTTACTTGTGGTCAAAAGCATTCCTATTATGCATATAACTTGAATCCCTATAAATAATATCAGGTAACAGTACAAATAAAATAGACACAGAAAAAAAAGTCAAAATGATATTAAAATGTTACCAGGGGCAGGACCATGGGCAGTTTCTTTTTTCCTTTTTACTCTCTCTTACAAATTCTTCACATTGAACAGCTATTTCTTTTATAATCTGAAAGAGAACGCATCTGCTATTTAATGGAATGTTGTTTGACAATCTACAAAACCAGTTGCTTCCCAGTAGAGCTGCCTTTCCCTGGAGGGTACTGAGTGGGTGTTTCCAGCAGCATCTCCTTGGAGGCTGCCTCTCCAGAGAGCACTGCAGTGGGTGGAGCTACAATTCAAGGGGCACCATCGTAAGTGAGGGGTGAGAGTTAATGCCCCTTCCCTGAAATTTCAGGATTTCAAGCAGGCTTATGTTCATGCTTGCGCATTTGAAGTGAGTCAAGTGAGTCACTGTTTGGCAGAATTTTTCTTTTCCCAATTGAAAAATCCAAATTCCCTCATTTACTTTTGAAGTCCCCAATTATTTTCTAGCTGGTTGTGATGAAGATGAAAAAATCCAGCCCAAAGAACCCTCTTTGAGGAATCAAACGTATAGGCTGGGCAGGGAGGGAACTCCAGCCAGGTGTTACTACAGCAGCAAAGGGAATTCACTCCCCCAAATGCCGTTGTCCTTCTCTCCCTACCTATGGGTCTCGGGTGATGCAAACAGATTAGAGTAGACATCTATCCTTTTGCCAGTTGAAGAAAAAAAATAGAAGGAAATAAATGTATCTAATTCCCTAGGAGCGCAATTCCATTGGCACACCCCGTCTGTCCAGGACTGTGGGGTGTTGGGGCCTGTGTGGAGCCCTGATCTACTCCAGCATTTTTAGAACAGTGGCTGTGGCCCACTGGGGGCTCATAACGTTGATTGAAGATGCTGTTCCCAGCATTTAAAAAATGAACTAGAACCAGATAAAATAGGGACCACCTGAGCGCACAATCTGTGGTAAGTGTAGCAGGTACAATCAATGCTCTCCCAGGCCCCATCAGCAGCCTTTCCACTCTTTCAGAGCTCCCTGCCGCTTAAGCCTGCAAGAGGACACTGGGGTACAGATGACTCCCTAGGGTCTTTTTGCTTTTAACAGCTCACACTTGTGAATCTCCTTCAGGGGCCAGCTGGAGCCACTGCCTGACTGCAGAGAGAGCCTGAGATACCTGGAAATTGACATCCTTTCTCGGGGGGCTCTTGAGCCCTTGATGGGCCTTGCTGAAAGCCCAGATCCCTTGCCTTGAGGTAGGACAATTTGGAGGAGCAGGATCTGGACTGAGGTGACACAAGGGAAGCACCCAGGTGCAAGAATGATGAGACATTCGTGCTTCAGGTCACACAAATGTAGGGTCATAGTGGAGGCTCTGGGAACAGAGTGTGAGTTCATTGCTGGCTCTTGAATCTGCCCATCAGGGTCTGTTTGGGAGGAACTCAGCTATGTTAGGCGGAATCATGATATCCAAAGATGCCCTCGTTCTGATCCCCAGAACCTGTGAATATGTCACCTTACCCCTGCATGTGAGTGTGTGAATGCAGGCATGTGCTTGTGTGTCTTTGCAGACATGAATCAATTAAGGATCTTGAGAGGGGGAGATTATCCTGGATTATTCAGGTGGGGCCAGTGTGGTCACAGACTATTCATAAGGAAAGAGAAAGACAGGAGTCAGAGAAGAAGATGTGTGATGGAAGCAGAGGTCACGGGGATGTGGTGTTCTGTGCGGGAGATGCGCAAGGGAAGAAGAAAAGACACACACACAATACCTTTAAGGGCAAACAACCTCTATCCCATGTAAATGGCAATGCAGATATAAGTAAATGATATAATAAGCAGATTGATATAATAAGCAAATTTACACTCACCAGACTATGGAGGATTCAACATGAGACTGGGAAGCAGCAGCCTGGGCTCCAGAGTCGGCCACTCGTCCCTGCACAACCAAGGAGAGATCTCATGAAGCTTCGGCACAGTCTGGGACCTGAGCTCTTTTTGTAACGAGTTGTTTGGCATGAGGCCCAGTCACGAGGGCCCTTCACGACTAGGCTCAAGGAACACAAAAAGGTCAACCTGTTTTTGTGATTGGCTGTTGTTTTTCAATAACCGATGTATACGAATAGATTGAAATAGAGATTTATCCAAAACAGCGCTAGATGAACGAACGCCTCAAGGGGCTCACACAACCTGTTCCGGGACTTGCTGGCTATTGTTTGTGTTCACGTTCAGTTGAGTTCAAATGTGAAATTTAACTTTTCTTCCACATGTGACCATGAGCCAAGGGATGCGGGTGGCCTCTAGAAAAGGTAAAATAGTGGATTCTCCTTTGGAGCCTCTGGAAGGAACTCATCCCTGCCAACACGTTTCTTTTAGCCTTGTGAGACACATGTCAGACTTCTGACTTCTAGACTATATGAAAATAAATGTGTTGTTTTAAGTCACTAAATTTGTGATAATTTGTTGTAGCATCAATATGACACTAATACACTGGCTTAAGAAAATAAGAATAATGTTTATTCAGGAAGCCTGTGTCATGTGTGCAAGTATTTGTGCATGTAAATGTAAATGTATGCATGCATTTGTCTCTGTGTGCATTTGTGTTGTGAGTGTGTGCATGCATTTATCTCTGTGTGCATTTGTGTTGTGTGTACATGCATTTGTCTCTGTGTGCATTTGTGTTGTGAGTGTGTGCATGCATTTGTCTCTGTGCATTTGTGTTGTGAGTGTGTGCATGCATTTGTCTCTTTGTGCATTTGTGATGTGTGTGCATGCGTTTGTCTCTGTGCATTTGTGTTGTGAGTGTGTGCATGCATCTGTCTCTTTGTGCATTTGTGCTGTGTGTGCTTGCATTTCTCTCTGTATGAATTTGTGTTGTGACTGTGTGCATGCATTTGTCTCTGTGCGCATTTGTGCTGTGAGTGTGTGCATGCATTCATCTCTGTGTGTGCATTTGTATGTGTGAACGTGTGCATGCATATGTTTCTGGGTGTGCATTTGTATGCAGTGAGCATTTGTGCATGCATGTGAGTGTATGCATGTGGGTGTGTGCATGTGTGCATTTGTGTGTGTCTATGTTTGCATGTGTGCACTGGGTCACCATGTAAAGTGCACTTCTTACTGAGGGCTGTGGTCAAGAGATTTGAGGACCTCTGACCTAGTCCCTCCTCCTCCCACCTTAGGCCCCACCACCTTCAGGGTTCTGGGTGCTGTGCAAGTTTCAGGAGTCACAGTGGTGCAGAAGACAGATCCTGCCCTTGTGTGGCTGATATGCTAAATGAAAGTGGATGGAAAATATTTCTTCCACTTCCCTCTCAGGCAAGACAACCTGAGAATATATTTTCATCATCTTCCTCAGTGATCTGTTCCCATACAAAAGTTTCTCCTTGTCTGAAAACTCTCCCTAAATTGTAACCCAAATCTCTCTTGCTGCAGTTTAAGCATAGGTCAGACCTTCATTTATGGAAAGGAAGAGACAGGGGATGTCTAAATTCATGCATGTTCCCAACTTCACGAGTTTGCACAAAGTTGTAGGGCCTGATGTGCCCTCTCTTCTGTCCTCTGCCTAGCCAGAATTCTTATTCATGGTTTAAGACCAAGGTTGACTCCCACTACTTCCAGGAAGCCCTCTCGGATTTCTCCAGCCCTTTCTGTTTCCAGGACTCATAGCACTAGCTGTCACTCAGCCTCAGCAGGTAAACTGACCATGTGCAGTGAGAACCAGACCCTGAAGACCCTCCAGCTGTCATTGCTCACTGGTTGTGGTCTACTCCTTCCCCTGGGGTTGAAATCCTTATCCTGAGATTTCACACTTTATCTTCTGTGGACTTCAGAGTCTCCTTGCCCTTCCTTTGCTCCCTTTCTTCTCCTCTTTAGCCAGTCAGGCCTGTGCATGATTTCGTCAGAGTGCAGCTTGACACAGGCAGAATGAGCCAGTTCTTGATTTGGGAATTTCAACAGCAACGTCTTGTGAACTCAGAACAGAAAGAGTTAGAAGAATGGATTGGGGGGAGAATCATCCTGTTGCCCAGAAACTAGATATATTCCCCCACACTTAGAATGGTGAGTGGAAGAACCATGTTTAGTAGTACATTTCTAAGGTAATGCAGCTGCTACAGTCAACCTCAAAATGTTAGTGGCTTAACCAGGAGAAGTTTATTTTCATTTACATGAAAATCAGATTGGTAGCAGGGGGAATGGGGATGGAATGCAGGAGGCTCAGCTTCACATAGTCACTCAGGGCCCCAGACTGTTGGTGGAGACACTGCCATGTGAACATGTAGATTCCCAGGTTCCTAGGTGTTGACAACCAGATGCTTGATGAAATAAGAGAGAATAGACAGTGATGCTGGAAGATTTTGTGGGCTAGGCTTGATGAGTACCTACATCACTTCTTTCCACGTAGAGCTGGTTAGATCCAGGCCACATGGCCACACCTAACAATAAAGAAGAATGTGGAATGCAGTTTAACCGTGGAAAGGAAAAAAGGCAAATGGGTGTGATGAATGGCTATTCAAGAGTGTGGGACCTTGTGAATGGGCATGACTTTTACTGAGAAGATACAAAGACATTTTGTACAAACCACCAGGAAGAAAAAATGGCCCTGAAGAGGTGCTCAACTCACCCTCTCTTAAGCATTGAGAATGTGTATGCAGACTCCTACAGGGTCATCACCCTAAAGCAGTACAACCTCCGTGGTAGGAGAGAAGATCTTTCCCATTACTTAGACTAGAATTTGCAGTGAGGTGCTCAAGGACCTGGTTTGGGTCATCACTCATTATGGAACCCATCTCTGTGGATGAGGCTGTGACACAGGCAGAATGAACCAGTTCTTAGTTTGGGAGTTTCAACAGCAAGATCTTGTGAAGAAAGAAAAGGAAGACTTAGAAGAATGGGTTATCCAGGCTGGAGCTCTTATCCATCCCCAGAATCATGAACTGGCTCAGCTTCCTGACCCATAGCGGAGGGGCATGTTCCTAAGGGAAAATGATCCACAGGCAAAACCAACAGGTGTCCACTATGACTGCAATGGCAAGACTCACCTCCAATGGCAGTCCATACACTCCTCCTGTTCTCATAGAGGGGCTTTTTGGAACGGGGGCGGGGGTGGTGCCTAAGACTCCGAGAGAGCCATGGCATCTACAAGAAGCAGGGCTGCCAGCATTTCACAGCAGCTGCTGCTGAGAGTGACTTCTGTCCTCTGCGGTACTTCTAATTACGCAGATATGAAGAGGGCGGATCGTATCTAGATTAACAGCCAAGAATAAATAGATTTTGCATGATTATTGTTAAACTTTTCTTGCCTTGGTGCAATTTGGAGCTGCCTAGATACAGGACCACAGCTGCAGGGCACCCAAAAGAATCCTGTAATCAGCTAACAAGGAGAAGTGATTTTTAACTCCCTCCTCTCTCTGGTTGTCTTTTCTTTCTTTAACCAATCCTCATCTTCCTTTATTAAAAAATAAGAATATAAATATTCATCCAGAGCCAAAGGGAAAATGAAGAGAAGAAATGAAAAGGGAAAAGAACAGCACAAGGAGGGCTTAAGGGCAGGACTCTGGCCAAGACCACTTGGCATTGAAGTGCCATCTTGGCCATTGACTTACTGTGAAGCTTTTGGGCAGGCTTCTTAATATTCCTGCATCTTTGTTGTCCACTCCGTAAAATGGGAGTGATTATAATTCTAACCTTGTAAGTTTGTGGGGAGGATGAATCGACTCAGACAGGAACACCCCCTTAGTAGTTTCTAAACAAATGACCTTCAGATCGAGGAAAAGGAAGCAGAGAGGAAGGGAAAGAGTAGAAGGAGATCCAAGACAGGAAGGCCAATTCTAGAGGAAGAACTTAGGTGGAGACTAAGTCAGCAGTAGCAGCTGCTTTTCTCCTCAAGTCACCCAGAGATTTGCACGTGAAGGAGAAAAGTATTTCAGTTCTACAATTTGGTGAACAAAAAATTGCAGCTTTTCTTAAGTCCACTTATCTCTGTTGAAAGTTCCTAAGTCTCAAATTATCTGAGATGTCCAAATGCTATAGACTTAATGCTTCTGTCCCTGTAAAATTCATATGTTGAAACCTAATTCCCAATGTGATGGTATTTGGAGGTGGACACCTTGGGAATTTGTCATAGGGTATAGCCCTCGTGAATGGGATTAGTGGGTCTCTTATAAAAGAGACCCCAGAGAGCTGCATTTCTTCTTCCACTATGTGAAAGCCAAGACAGACATCCATGAACAAGGAAGTGGGTTGTTACCAGACACTCAATCTGCAGGTAATTTGATCTTAGACTTTCAGCCTCCAGAACTATGAGCAATAGAATTCTGTTGCCTATAAGCCACCCAGTTCATGGTATTGTATTAGAGCAATGCAAATAGACTAGGACACCATCCCTTTCCCTGGCATTCTCTCTATGTTCCAGGGAGCCAGTGGAACACAAGAGTGAGGTGTTACTGAGGAGTGATTGATGGTGGACGCTGAAGCCATGCTGCCTGGGACTGAACCTTGAGTCTGCTGCTTATCATCTGTGTGGTCTTTGCAAGTTACACAAGGCTTCCCTGTGCCCCTGTTTCCCCAACTGCAAAATGAAAATAATAAGAGGATGTAATGCAGATAGCCGTTGTGAGGATTAAATGAATTCACACAGAGTACGTTGAAGGCATGACTTCAGGGAGCATCATTTACATAAAAAATATTTACATGAAACATACTATAAAGGCATCCTCTGGAGCACAGAAAATGCCCTGCAAAAGGCAAAGTCATTCCCATGCACGTGGGAGAACACATGCTGGCCTCATCTCCCCATTCCACGGTGCGCAAACCAGTGAATGGCTTTGCCCAAAGCCAGGTCCAATCATCACTCCTTGACACTTCTGCCTAAAGCAACCCAGGAAAAGTAGCCCTGGTCTCCATGCAAAATGGGTGCGGCTAATGAATTACTTACTGGTATCTCAGAGACATCTGAATTTCCCTTCCATGAGTCTCCTTTCCAGTAGGTGACACCGAACCTCAGATTCCCATGCATTTGGGGTTAAAATGCATTATCCAAAGAGAGTTATTTAAATGTGCATGTTTTATTTTAGAGGGGATGTAGTAGCTGATTATGAAATCAGAATAAATCAGTTAATAGAGAAACACACAGTAGCGCCTTAGACCACTTGGGGAGCTTGAAGTCCCAGTGTGCAGGACTTTCTTCCCCCAGATATCCTGGTTCACTTGGTCTGAGGGGTGTGGCTTCGACTTGAAGCCTTTTAAAAATCTCCCCAGGTGATTCTGGTGTGCAGCCAGGGTGAGAAGCTGGACCTTGAGTGAACAGGACCAGAACCATCTGTGCTGACGGAGGAGGCAGGAGGGCCTTTGGCAGGAACAGGGCTCAGCGAGGACAGGTACAGGTGTGGAGGACGTGCCAGGAAAGGAAGTGGATTGATGTTCCCAGTCTCAGGGCTATTAAATTCCTGCAATTGCTGGCAGCGTTGGGGCAGTGAAGAAACCCATCATTCATCAGAGGTCCACATTTCCTTCCAGGGAAGCTGCATCCTTGGGCAGGACCCTCTTAATTAGCTTCTCTCCAGTGTCCTCCCTCACCCCCCTTCTTCCTCCCTCACTCCTACCACACTGGCCTTCTCCCCATTTCTGGAACAGAAATCCTTCTCTATCAGGGCTTCATACTTGGGCTCCCTCTGCCCAAGTGCTCCTCTCCTGTAGCTTCCCAAGTCTCAGCCAATCGGGTGGAAGGGACCAGGGCATCACAGTCTTGAGCGGAATTATCCTCCCCAGGGGTCCTCCTGCCACCCCATCTAAGCCAGCCTCTGTCCCAGCCCCCATTCTCATTATGTGCACCTGCTTTTCTTGTCATTCCAGCACCTCACACTCTCTGAAATTACCATTTTTATTCTAACGGTTGATGAGCTCTCTCCTCCCTGGGACATAAGAGACTTCACCAAAGAGACTGGGTCTGTCTTTTTCATCCGTGTATCCTTGACCTCTAGAACAGTGCCTGGCACATAGTAGGTGCTCAATGCACATATATTGGATGAGAAATAAACAAGTTTTAGGTATTTATTTATTTTGATTGTGGTAAAATACACATACTGTAAAATTTACTGTTTTAGCCATTTTAAAGTGAACAATTCAGTGACATAGAATAAAGTCACCATGTTGTGCAACCATCACCAGCATCTAGTTCCAAAACTTTTCCGTCACCCCTGTGGGGGCTCAGGATACACCACCCCAAAATATGACTGTAGGAGACCAGAATATGCCACCCCAAAATATACTTCTTTGGCATATTTTTGAACGGATTATTTTGAGAAATTGCAGACATGGGAATAGCTCTAAAAAGCTGCCCTTTGGTGAAAGAAATTTACATCTATAAAGGAAACCTACATTAGTAAAAGTATCCACTCCTGGAAAACTTTTACTACCCAAGAAACCTTTTATCTATGTAACAAGACAGTCTTTATTCACAGTAAGCTTCCTGCCCTTACTCTCCCAGAACCTGTTTCCATGCATCCCCCTCCCCCCAGCTCGTAAGAAGCCCCATGTCCTCCTTCTTTGCTGTAGCTCGGGATGCTATATAAGCTTCAACCACCTTGCCTTTCTTTCTTCTTTGAGCCTCATATTTTTGTGGGACTCCCATGTGTATGTATGTAATTAAAACTATTTTTGTCCTGTTAATCTGCCTTAGGCTAATTTGTAGCCCAGCCAAAGGGCCTAGGATAGTGAAGGAAAGCCATTTCCCCTTTTCTTCATTCCTGAAGGAAACCCGCTCCCACCAGTACCCGTTAAGTATCATTATTATTTTAAACAGTGAGATGCCTTTCACTTTGACAGTTTGTACTGAATGGCAATGTTTAATAAATATTTTTAAGTGTGCGTTTTTCCTTTCTCAAGAGCCGGCAATCCATCCTGATATTGCCACATCAATGTGCTGAGCTTCTTCAAGGAGATCAATGTGCAGACTGTGTATTAGGCTTGTAAATTCAACCAGCTGTGGAGTAAAACTCACTGAAAGACTGTCCTATGTAGGTTCCTCACGTATTTCAAAATCCCTGGGGCAACATACTCAAGACTTTATCATTTAGAATTGAGGTAATAGGCACTTCATATTTACTGTTTTATGCTTAACAAGTTATATTTGAGATTGGAAGTCAGAATCTCTGAGTGCCCATAACAGCTTTGATTTCATTGCAGTGAGATTTGTCCAAGTAGAAGAAACACAAGCAATTAATGTTTCAGCAGCATTTGGGACAGCTTTTGCATTTAGGAAAATAAAATATAGAATCTGATAAGTGGAGGGTGATTATACTCGGGGGAGTTAAATGCTAAGGTGGTTGGAATGCCAGCCACACAACTACCTTCTCACCTCCGGGGATGGGACAGGTCCCAGAACACTGGGTGAGAAGTTTGACTATCCAAGGGGGAAATCACAGCTAAAGGACACAGCAGAATTTAGCGGGGAAGCCTCAGGGATGAGTGAGGAGTTTCTATCTGGTTCTGTGGTTGCTCTGCTGTGTAGCTTTAGAGAAGTCAGCAGGACTGTGTGGCTCAGTTCCTTTGCCCATCAAATGAGAATAAAGCCTCCTCCTCCTGCCTTCTCCACACTGCAGAGTGGCCTTCTCACAGCATGGGTTAGAGACACATACTCCAATGCCCAGAGGCCTCCACATCATGTTAGGATTTAACTAACTCCTCTCCTCTGCATCTCAGACGGGGCCTGCTGCCTACCACTCTTAACAGGAACGAAAAAATAGCCAATCTCTTTGCTGTAGAGTTTAGTTCTCTGGCCAAATGCAGTTGAGAAAAGCTTCTTAACTGGCTTCTCAACTTCTCAACTTTCCAGCGGCTGGAAAGCTGGAATGTAAGTGTAGTCAGAAAAAACACTTGCAAAAATTAAAATAGCGAGGTAAAATGATAATATGGGCAATTATAATTCATTTTCTGAGAATTCCTTGCTCCCAAAGGAAGTATAAGCATCATAGAAACAGTTAACCCTTAGGCGTCCAAAGTCCAGCGGAAAGAACAAATCATCAAGGTTTCAGGAGAATATCGTTAGCTTACGTTAGAATTTGCAACACACAAGTGCCTACAGGGCCAGGTAAGTAATTGAAGAGAGGTGGTGTAATAGGCAGTGGTGGGGATGGTGGCACGTTGGAGACATTATGCCTCTATTAGTGCCCTATTACTGCTGTGACAAACTGCCACAAACCTAGTGGCTTAAACCAATGCACATTTGTTACCTGATATTTCCAATGATTAGAAGCCTGAACATGAGCTTCACTGGGCCAAAGTCAAGGTGTTGCCAGGACTGCATTCTTTCTGGTAGCTCCAGAGAAGAATCTGTTCCTGTGCCTTTCCCAGTTTCGGGTGGATGCTCGAATTCCTTGGTTCACGGCCCCTTCCTCCCTGAGAGCCATGAGCATAGCATCTTCCCTTCTCTCCATGAGTCTGACCTGTGCCTCCTTCTTCCACATTTAAGGACATCTGTGACTACATTGGGCCCACCTGGGTAATCGAGGCTAATTTCCCCATTATAAGGTCAGCTGATTGGCAACCTTAATTGCACCTGCAACCTGATTGTCTTCTTGCTACATCACCTGACACATCCACAGATTCTGTGGATTTGGATGTGGATGTATTTGGGGAGCTACTGTTCTGCCTGCCACAGTGTCCCACTTCAATACAACCATTGCATATAAAGTTAAGTCTAATCATGCCACCCCCCAACAAGCTTTCCACTCACTCCCCGTCTCAACTACAGGAAAAGCCCAAGCATTTAAAGCAGCCTTAAAGACAGTATGCCACCGGGAACCCCTGTTAGTCCTCCCAGCCCATCTCCTGCCGCATTCCCCTCTGCTCTTCTCTCAGCCCATACTGCCTGCTGGGGTTCTCTCGGGCCACAGGGCCTTTGCACACCCAGTCTCTGCTCACTCTCCCTGTTTGCTCAGTTCCTGCCTGGCTCCCTCACCTTCATCAACATTTTGCTCATGTGCCCCTTTGCAGGGGGACCTCCTGCAACCCTCTCTAAAAGTGTAGCTTCAGCTCCTGTTCCTTCCCTTTGTTGCCTGGGTTTTCAGTCCTTGTCATCAGCGAACATCAGCGCTGCTTATTTATTTATTTTGTTTGTTGTTTGGCTTCCCCTACTGGAATGCAAGCTCATGAGGGCCGGGACTTTAATATTTTGTCTGCTGCTGTGTCCTGTCTTCCAAAAGACTACCAGGAGGGCCAAATAGTAGAAAAGAGAGCTTTGTTGTGTTACAGGAAAGGGGTCCCAATCCAGACCCCAAGAGAGGGTTCTTGGATCTTGTACGAGAAAGAATTCAGGGTGAGTACATAAAGTGGAAGTGAATTTATTAAGAAAGTATAGGAATAAAGAATGGCTACTCCATAGACAGAGCAGCCCCAAGGGCTGCGGGTTGCCTATTTTTATGGTTATTTCATGACTACACGCTAAACAAGAGGTGGATTATATTCATGCCTCCCCTTTTTAGGCAATAAAGGGTAACTTCCTGACGTTGCCATGGCATTTGTAAACTGTCATGGTGCTGGTGGGAGTGTAGCACTGAGGACGACCAGAGGTCACTCCTGTTACCATCTTGGTTTTGGTGGATTAGAGTCGGCTTTTTTACTGAAAGCTGTTTTATCAGCAAGGTCTTTACGACCTGCATCTTGTGCCAACCTCCTATCTCTTCCTGTGACTTAGACTGTCTTAACGTCTGGGAATGCAGCCCAGTAGGTCTCAGCTTCATGTTACCCAGCCCCTATTCAAGATGGAGTTGCTCTGGTTCAAACGCCTCTGACAGTTGGCCATATCGGTTTGCAAACCAAGGAGAAACAGTATCTTGTATGGGCCAAAGGTTGTTCTCTTCAAGGAGGGAAGGGGCAGGTTGGGTTTTCTGCCTCCCAGGGCCCATATTCCACAGTAGAATCATACATATTCAGCAGGTTTGGAGGGAAAAGCTATACATGCTTGTAAGAGGAGCTGAGTGCATGTGTCGTGGATAAACACACATATAACATACAGCCCGTGTTCACTTTGGGGTGGGCTTTTAGCATGAAAATGTGGTGAAATTTGACTCTTTATATCTGATAATTTGCCTGATATCTTCTATTGCTAGGGAATTTAGGAAGAGTGTGGTTTTTCTCATAGTCATAGGAATTTAGAAATTTGCCAGCAGGTAACTTCTGTTTCTTTCTTTATTTATTTATTTATTATTTTTTATTTATTTATTTATTTATTTTTTTTGAGACGGAGTCTCGCTCTGTCGCCCAGGCCGGACTGTGGACTGCAGTGGCGCAATCTCGGCTCACTGCAAGCTCCGCTTCCCGGGTTCACGCCATTCTCCTGCCTCAGCCTCCCGAGTAGCTGGGACTACAGGCGCCCGCCACCGCGCCCGGCTAATTTTTTGTATTTTTAGTAGAGACGGGGTTTCACCTTGTTAGCCAGGATGGTCTCGATCTCCTGACCTCACGATCCACCTGCCTCGGCCTCCCAAAGTGCTGGGATTACAGGCGTGAGCCACCGCGCCCGGCCCACTTCTGTTTCTTTAAACTTAGAGTCTGTCTCAGTTGATAAAGGGTCTCTATTTTGGTCTCTCAGATAAGAGTCCCCAGTGCCTAAAATAGTCCTAACATATAGTAGGTGCTCACGTATTTTTTTGTTCAATTAGGGACAGTGTTCCCTATTTAAAGCCATGGGCATCCTCTGCGGATTATTGCCATGTGGGAAACAGCCCCAGGAGAACAGGAATTCAGACTTCATGATTTTTTTATGGCAGTGAAACACTAGAAAAACACAAATGGATCAAATCTATGTCATTTAGCTGCACACAGTTCATGGGCTGTTTGTGGATAGTAGAGAATGACCAGAAACAAAAAAGAGAGACCTGTAGAAAAAGGTGATTCTGGGATCATATAAGACATCTTGAGACCTGGATGGAAAGGTCTCACCGGTGGTCCCTCTCTGGATCCCCTTCACAAAGTCATCCCCTTGAGTGTTTTATGGATGAATTGTGACCTGTCCCAAATTCATTTGCTGAAGTTTTAACTCTCACTACCTTAGAGTATGACTATATTTGAAGGTAGGGCCTTTAAAGAGGTAATTATGGTTAAATGGGGTTATAAGGGCTGGGCTCACAGGCCAGTACAACTGGTGTCCTAGTGGGAAGAGGAAGAGGCACCAGAGATGCTCAGACAGAGCACAGGCCACATGAGGACACAATGGGAAGTCAGTCGTCTGCCAGCCCTAGAGAGAGGCCTCAGTGGAAACCAAGCTCCGGCACTGAGATCTTGGATGATATGGTTTGGATGTTTATGCCCTCTAAATCTCATGTTGGAGGTGAGGCCTGGTGGGAGGTGTTTGGATCCTAGGGGTGGATTCTGATAAAAGAAAAACTTCAGCCGAATTAAATTGAAAGGAGTTTTATTGAGCAATGAATGATTAGCGAATCAGGCAGCCCCCAGAATCACAGCAGATTCACAGAGACTCCAGCACAGCCACAGAGTGGAAGAAGATTTATAGACAAATAAAGGGAAATGATGTACAGAAATCAGAAGTGAGGTATAGAATGGCTGGATTGGTTACAGGTTGGCATTTGCCTTATTTGAACACAGTTTGAACACTCAGCAGCATATGAATGGTGGAAGTATGGCTGCTGGAATTGGCTAAGACTCAGCTAATTGTTACGGGCACATACTTCTAAGTTAGGTTTTCAATCTTACCTACCTAGGTTGCAGTTCATCCATGAGGACTCAAACATAGAAGTGTGGAGTCCCTCTCAGGCCATCCTTAGTTCCCTTTACAATTCCTTTTGAAGGGCTCAGTGCCATCTTTGCAGTAATGAGTGGGTCCTTGCTCTATTATTTCACGTGAGAGCTGGTTGTTTAAAAAAGCCTGGCATTGCCAGGCACAGTGGCTCACACCTGTAATCCCAGCACTGTGGGAGACTGAGGCGGGCAGGTCACCTGAGGTCAGGGGTTCGAGACCAGCCTGACCAACATGGTGAAACCCCATCTCTACTAAAAAGACAAAAATTATCCAGGCATGGTGGTGGGTGCATGTAATCACAGCTACTCAGGAGACTGAGACAGGAGAACAGATTGAAACTGGGAGGCAGAGGTTTCAGTGAGCGCAGATCATGCCACTGCACTCCAGCCTGGGTGACAGAGTGAGGCTCATTCTCAAAAAAAAAAAAAAAAAAAGCCTGGCATTCCTCTCTTGCTCCATCTCTCACCATGTGATATGCTGGCTCCCCTTGGGTGTTAGTCCATTCTCATATGGCTATAAAGAACTACCTGAGACTGGGTAACTTATTTATAAAAAAAGGTTTAATTGGCTCATGGTTCTGCAGGCTGTATAAGAAGCATGGCTGGAGAGGCCTTAGGAAACTTATAATCATGGCAGAAAATACAGAGGAAGGAGGCACGTCGTACATGGCTGGAGCAGGAGGAAGAGAGAGTGAGGTGGAGGTGCCACACACTCTTAAACAACCAGATCTCATGAGAACTCTATCACAAGATGGCACTAGGGGCATAGAGCCAGACCATTAGAAACTGCCCCATGATCCGATCACCTGTCACCAGGCCCATCCTCCAACACTGGGAATTACAATTCCACATGAGATTTGGGTGGGGACACAAAGCCAAACCATATCACCTTGCCTTCTGCCTTGATTGGGAGCTTCTCAAGGCATACTGGAAACTGTGCAGACGCTGGTGCCATGCTTGTGCAGCCTGCAGAACCATGAGCCAAATAAACCCCTTTTCTTGATACATTACCCAGCCTCAGGTATTCCATTACAGCAATGCAAACGGATTAATACACTGGACTTTCAGCCTCCAGAACTGTGAGTAATTCCTTTGCTTAAACTGCCCAATCTGTGCGCTGCATTTTACTTTGCTTAAGCTGTATTTTTTGCTTAAGCTGCCTTTTTCTGGCAGCCCCAGCAGATGAATACAAGTGTCTTCATGAAAACAGTTGAAACAAGGGCCTTCCAACTGCTCCGTTTGGAAGGAGGTGCATTTTCTGAGGTTCCACATACACACACACATACACACATACAGTCTTGCACATGCACTATTTTTTTTTTTTTTTTGAGACGTAGTCTCGCTCTGTCGCCCAGTCTGGAGTGCAGTGGCGCGATCTTGGCTCACTGCAAGCTCCGCCTCCCGGGTTCACGCCATTCTCCTGCCTCAGCCTCTCGAGTAGCTGGGACTACAGGCGCCCGCCACCACGGCCACCTAATTTTTGTATTTTTAGTAGAGACGGGGTTTCACCGTTTTAGCCAGGATGGTCTCGATCTCCTGACCTCGTGATCTGCCCGCCTTGGCCTCCCAAAGTGCCTGGATTACAGGCGTGAGCCACCGCGCCCGGCTTGCACTTTTGCCTCTAAGGAAAATACACTGTACCTACCAAAGGCCTATGGAAAAATGTCAAGCACTTCAGAGTTTGAAGTCTGCATTGCATTACCGGGCCTTGAATGAGACAGAGGCAGGGATGTGCTGTGATTTTGGTCACCTCCTTTAATTCTGTAATATGGAAGAGGAAAAAAAAGTAAGAACAGTCACCATGCTGGTGGTGGTAGGTGGTGATTTGCCCCATCGGGTATGGAAACATCTTGAGCTCTGAGAATTTTACTGTATCGCTTTGGTGCAGAAACACGCAGCTGCATGAAACAGAAATGGCTATAACTTATGTACATAAATTTTATATTTTATATTTAAGTATCACTGTCTTTTAGCCAAGAGAGTCCCACTGTCTTGTCTACCAGGTGCTCTGAGGAGGGTAGTGGGGTAAAATGATGCAGAAGAGTGCCTGGCTTGGAGCAGGAGAGCTGGGGCTGAGGAAGCCCAGAGAGAAGATGTGGCTTCCTGGTCTCTGATTGCCAGTGGTCCTCCTTTTCCAGGTATGCCCTTGGTCATAAAGTATTTGGGAGGACTTCACCATCAATTTAAAAAAGCTTCCCCAGAAACAGAGAGTTCACTCTGTTACTGATGAGTTACCATGGTGGCTCCCGCATAACAGACAGCACATTTCTAGGTGTCTGATCTACTTCTGCCAGAAAAGTTATGATCACAGCATCCTAATCTCCTTTGGAGTTTATTTCTCCAGTCTCTTCCCTCCCCTCCACTCCCTCCCCTCCACCAGCTTCCTTTCTCTATCTCTTCACTTCTCCATCTCTCTCCTTCTTCCTCTTCCTCCCCATCTCTCTCTCTCTCTTTCTTTTTCCTGTACAGTTCATAAGATCTCATGGGTTTTTTCTTGCATGTAGAATGAATTAAATTCTATAAGCTAAGTCCAAATTCAAAAGTCAATCCCAAACATCATGTCCCCCACCCCTGCCCACTGTGGAAAGCCCACTGTGTTTAGCTTCTATTAGAAAATTAGCATCAGCCTAAATCTTCCCCAATGTTGTCTACCACTCTGAGAGCAAAGAGCAAGAGTTCCAACTGAGAGGGGCCATGCCCAAGGCTGCCTACAGAAAGGAGAATGCCGAATACTTCTTATGTGCATGTCTGCAAAGTCAGATAACAGGGTTTGTTTGAAAACCCACCTTGTGAGGTCTGGGGAGGGGCTGACAGAGAAGACAGAATGTGGATTGAATGTGAATATTTAAGATGCAGATATTGCTCATGCTTCTGTTGCAGTTTCTGCCTGTGTACCTTGCTTGGCTGGAAGACTGGACTGATATTCTGAGGTTCTCACTGTGACCCAGAGCCTTTCCTCACTTCTATTCCTGGAGGAAAATCAATACTCCCTCTTGATCACCTGGCAACGTTGACCATGCTGACTGTTCAGCTTCAGAGCTGCACAGGTTTCTGACAGCTGGCTCATCACTAATAGACTCATCTCTCAGAGGATGGGAATGTGCCAGGAGGAATGTGGCATGATAAGCTGATGCTGGCATCCCAGGACTGAGTGCAAAGTCAATCAGAGGAATCAGAAAACATTTTCTCCATGACTAGCCAGCCTGAGGATGCTTCAGGTTTTCTATACACTCAAGGTGGTGGCCAAGCCAAGATATGGAAAGGAGGACCCTCCCGTCAAAGTAAAGAGGGGTGATGTGAATCCATTTGCATGTTTTAAATTTGTCAGCCTGAATCTGGTGCCCATCACTTCAGGGCAGACATGAGGAAATTTTACTTGGTTTCCCAAAGTATTGCTCCAAGTAGAAGTTCCCTTTTTGGAAGAATATGCAACTTTCTTGGGAAAGATCACTCTCTCGTCACTGTCACTGGTGCTGGAGAAGAGCATCTTTGCTTGGCCTTGGGTTCTCAAGCCTCCAGCTCCTCTTCTGGGGTGTGGGGCCAATTGAGAGGCAGCTCCTGGGTGGGCAGCACCGGGATGATTTGGTGGTCCAGTGTTACAAACCTTCCCTAGACTTGGAGTCAGCTGCAGCACACCCAGCTATGCCTTGAGCCAACAGTCTCAAAAAGTAAAAATCAAATCACCCCCAAATATAAATTTTCCTTTTCAAGTCATTTAGCCTACATTGATCTCATTTGGCTTGGCTCTCTCTTTTTTTCGGTTTTGTTTAGAGAGTCTCACTCTGTTGCCCAGGCTGGAGTGCAGTGGTGTGATCTTGGCTCACTACAACCTCCGCCTCCCAGGTTCAAGCAATTCTCCTGTCTCAGCCTCCCAAGTATCTGGGGTTACAGGCCCCCGCCACCATGCCTGGCTAATTGTTGTATTTTTAGTAGAGACAGGGTTTTGCCATGTTGGCCAGGCTGATCTTGAACTCTCGACCTCAGGGCCTCTACTCACCTTGGCCTTCCAAAGTGCTGGGATTACAGACATGAGCCACCATGCCCAGCTTCATTTGGCTCTCTTAACAAAACTTGAATTTAAAAAATATTCATATTCTATATTAAAGCAATTAAAAATGGCCATGTGCTGTGTTTAAAACACCAAATCCTGATTCCTCTCTAGCCAGTTCAGAGTGATCTTTAGGCAGGAGGCCAGGCAGAGTTGATTCTGAAAGCCCTCTCCTCCTCTTGATCATGTGATGAAAGCTGTTCTGACCCTTCATGTCCTGCATATTCAGCTGCGGGTCCTCACCTCTGCGAAGGCTTCCTTGATGTGGCTTGTAGACCAGTCACTTCAGTGTCTATCACTGTGCCCTGGGAACAAATGTGAGGTGACGTTTTGAATGTCAGGGTCAGGACTTAAATGCTGCATGTAGACTATGGTTTACATGGTGTTTAAAGAGAAAGGAGAAGGGGCCGAAAACCATGGAGATTAATACGAGTGTGGTGGTTAATACTGAGTGTCAACTTGATTGGATTGAAGGATGCAAAGTATTGTTCCTGGGTGTGTCTGTGAGGGTGTTGCCAAACGAGATTAACATTTGAGTCAGTGGACTGGGAAAGGCAGACCCACCCTCATTCTGGGTGGGCACCATCTAATCAGCTGCCAGCATGGCTAGAATAAAAGCAGACAGAAGAACATGAAAGGACTAGACTGACTTACTCTCCTGGCCTACATCTTTCTCCCATGCTGGATGCTTCCTGCCCTGGAACATGGGACTCCAGGTTCTTCAGCTTTGAGACTCTTAGACCTTCGACCACAGACTGAAGGCTGCACTGTCGGCTTCCCTACTTTTGAGGTTTTGGGACATGGACTGGCTTCCTTGCTCCTCAGCTTGCAGACAGTCTACTGTGAGACCTCACCTTGTGATCATGTGAGTCAAGACTCCTTAATAAAGTCATGCTTATACCTACATCTATCTTATTGGTTCTGTCCCTTTGGAGAACCCTGACTAATACAATGAGCAAGTGTGTGTGAGGCTGTATGTGAAGGGGAGAGGGATGATGAAGACACCTTAGTGTCGTGAAGGTAGAAACACTGGGGGGAGAACAGTAATATTTACTGGAAATTTACTAATTCTGGTCAAATAGAAATAATTGTCTTTTTTTTTTTTTTTTTTTTTTGAGACACACAGGCACACTCTCACTCTGTTGCCCAGGCTGGAGTGCAGTGGTGCGATCTTGGCTCACTGCAAGCTCCGCCTCCCGGGTTTACACCATTCTCCTGCCTCAGCCTCCCGAGTAGCTGGGACTGCAGGCACCTGCCACCATGCCCAGCTAATTTTTTGTATTTTTAGTAGAGACAGGGTTTCACTGTGTTAGCCAGGGTGGTCTCGATCTCCTGACCTCATGATCCACCCACCTTGCCCTCCCAAAGTGCTGGGATTACAGGCATGAGCCACTGGGCCCAGCCGTAATTATCTTTTCTTTCCATGAAATTTTCAGCAAAATCAAAAGTGTTTGATAATGTTTTATGGAATATATTTTAGGGAAGGAATGAAATTAATATTGCTTAAAACCGTTGAGCACTTACTTAGTATGTACCATTGTATTCGTCTGTTTTTGCATTTGCTATAGATACCTGAGACTGGGTAATTTATAAAGAAAAGAAGGTTAATTGGCTCATATTTTTGCAGGCTGTACAAGAAGCATGGTACTGACACCTGCTCGGCTTCTGAGGAGGCCTCAGGAAGCTTCCAATCATGGCAGAAGGCGAAGTGGGAGCAGGCACATCACATGGGGAAGGCAGGAGCAAGAGCGTGAGTGGGGAGGTACCTCACACTTTTAAACGGCCAGATCTTGTGAGAACTCACTCACTATTGCAAGGAAAATACCAAGGGGGCTGGTGCTGAACCATTCATGAGAACTCTGCCTCCATGATCCAATCACCTCCCACCAGGCCCCACCTCAACACTGGGGATTACATTTTAACATGAGATTTGGGTGGGAACACACATGCAAACCTTATCAACCAGGAACTCTTCTTAGGACCTTGCTTGCGTTAAAATGTCAAAGCATTGTAACGAACCTGTGAGTTATTATCACTATGCCCATTTCACAGAGGGGAACCTGAAGTTCAAGTGTGTTAGGCAACTGTCTCAAGGTCCCCACAGACGGTGAGTGTTGGATCTGGTGTATTGGTTTCCTGTTGTTGCATAAACTTAGTGGCTTAAAAAACCATACATTTATTCTTTTTCAGTTCTGGAGGTCAGAGGTTTAAAGTCAAGGGGTGGACAAGGCTGCATACCTTCTGGAGGCTCTGGCAGAGAATCTGTTTCCTTTCTGTTTCCAGCCTCTGGAGGCAGCTGACACTCCCTGGATCATGGCTCCTTCCTCCATCTTCAAAGCACATCCCTCCCACCTCTGCTTCTATCATCCTGTCTCCTTCTCTGACTCTCTTGCCCTTGTGAGGAACTTGGGCCCACCCAGATAATCCAGGATAATCTCCCATGTAAAGAGTGTTAGCTTAACCATGTCTGCAAAGTCCCCTTTCCTATGCAAGGTCACATAATCACAGGTTCCGGGGGTTA
The DNA here is from genome assembly GCF_000001405.40 of Homo sapiens. NCBI lineage: Eukaryota > Metazoa > Chordata > Mammalia > Primates > Hominidae > Homo > Homo sapiens. Next base: position 128,215,791 of record NC_000012.12, on the reverse strand, counting down.
GGATGTGGGCATCGTTGAGGGCCATTATTCAGCCTAACAGAGCTGAGATTTGGACAAGCTGGTTTTAGTCCCAGAGACCTCACTCCTAGCCACCACACCATCTTCCTCCCAGTCCAGGTAAACTGATGAATCATGCTTGATGGTTGAGAGAGGCTTGGCCAGCCTTACTGTGAGAAGGCAGACAAATCTAGACCATATTTGTACGGTAAAAGACAGAATATGTAGTTTGTTAACTGGCCAGGTAGAATTTCTTCTGCATTGTCTCAAGACCAGGTGGTCGTTAGAGCTTAGCATTTGGAGCATAAGGGGGGTTTCCTAGCAGCCAGCCTTTATATTGGAAGACAGTGCGGAGGATTAGTAAAAATCCTTCCAGCTGCAAATAACAGAAAAACCAACCCCAAATACCTAAATGTCAAGGAAAATTTAGCATCTAACAAATCAAAATGTTCTAAGTGGTGGAAGCTCCAGAAGAGGTTAATGTGTAGCAGCTCCAAATAAAGTCTCCACAACTTTCTGCTTCCCTGGGTCCTCAGGCTGGCTCCCCTCACTTTGGCAGATGGGGCTGAAGTTCCAGGGCTGCTGTCAGGATCCAGCCATGTTCTGTGTTTCTCCTTTTCCAGCCTTTAGAGGTGGCTGACATTCCCTGGCTCATGGCTCCTTCCTCCATCTTCAAAGCACATCCCTCCCACCTCTGCTTCCGTTGTCCCATCTCCTTCTCGGACTCTACCTCTTCCAGGGAACGCCCAGCACATTTTCTCTCACATCTCGTTGGTCAGATGCAGGTCACATGCCTACCCCTAAACCAAACACTGGTGGGGCAAGGGACACCATGATTGGCTTAGAGTATTCTGGATTAACCCCTGATCTAGACATAGATGAGGTCACCTACTCTGAGGGGAGGGATGGATTTTGGGTTTGGAGCCAACACCTTTTGCCACAGGTTGGAACGACATGTTTGGAACAGGGAATGGAAACATGTTGGAGTTCACTCTCAGACCAGCAGCGTTTCCCAAACACACATTGTGGAGCTCAGATTCACTCACCAGAAGGCACCTGTTCACTGGGGGAATTCAAATGGTCCCTGTGAGTGCTTGAAAGTCGGATCGTTCCGTTCTTCAAGACCAGATACACCTTGGATGAACACACCTAGACACAAACCCATTTACTCTGCACCACATCTTCAGAAGCAACTTAAAAAAGAGTTTCAACAGGAGTATTTGAATGTATCTTTTGATAGATGTGCAGAAACAGGGGTAATTGCTTCTGAAATGGAAAGTTTTGCAAACAACTATATCACTATTAACAGTGAAGAGCATTACCATTTTTTTATTTCGACTTTTTGATAGGGTGAAATGTCCTTTGGAATGTACAGTGGAAGATCAGCAGCAGCATCTCTGCTGCTTGAACAATATGTTGCATATTGCTTCATATTTTTGCATGTTACATTGTTGCATGTTGTTTCATAGTGTTGCACGTTGTTTCATAGTGCTGCATATTGTTTTCATATTGCTGCATGTTGTTTCATATCGTTGCATGCTATATTGTTTTGTTTCATATTGTTGCATGTTATACTGTTGCATACTGTTTTATATTGTTGCATGTTATTTCATATTGTCACATGTTATATTGTTGCACATTGTTTCATATTGTTTCATATTGTTGCATGTTGTTTCATATTGTTGCATATTGTGTCATATTGTTGCATGTTCTATTGTTTTGTTTCATATTGTTGCATGTTGTTTCATAGTGTTACATGTTGTTTCGTATTATTGCATATTGTTTTCATATTGTCTTATATTGTTGCATGTTGTTTTATATTGTTTCATACTGTTGCATGTTATACTGTTGCATACTGTTTTATATTGTTGCATGTTATTTCATATTGTCACATGTTATATTGTTGCACATTGTTTTATACTGTTGCATGTTGTTTCATATTGTTGCATATTGTTTCTTCAGCAGAACAGCTTGAGGTTTTGAGAAAACAGACTTTTAACTCAAGATACTTTGACAAACAAATGCCTGACCAGAAAGTTGTTTAATTTTTTTCTATCCAAATCTCTTAAAAGGGGAAGGATTTATAACAGAATCACTACAAAATTGGCTGTGTGTGTCCCTAGGACATTGCGGTCCTTTGGCTAAGATCAATGAGAAGAGACACTTCTCACGATGAAATAGGCAGGAGAGGTGGTGGGGAGTCTAGTTTAAAATCTTAAAATATTTCTCACGAGTGTGAGGTTCAGAGTCTATGTGACTCTCACCCTCCTCAATTTTATTTTGTTTTCAGGAAACTTCTATCAACTCAGAAACCCTTCTAGGCACTGGATATGCCTTCCCCATATTCCATTTGGTCCCTCCTACCAAAACAATCAACACCCAGTAATGATGCAGCTGTGCTGATCCTTAGGTCTTGGGTATCCTAACAGCCTGGTGTGAGCTGATCTGCAATATGATTAAGCACTTTTCAACTGGCCCCAAGTTTTAGAAGATCCTCAGCCTTGTACTTGGAGGATTAATACATTCAGTGCTGGCTAGTCACATTTTGAATAAGATTTTTCTCTCTCTTTAAATGTCACCTCTTCTAATGCATAACCTTATAGTTGTTTATAGGTCATGAGCTATGAAAGTCTAGCCCAAAGCTTACTCATTACACTTGAGTTGAGTGGAATTAAAAGGCTGGACTAGATAAGCATGAGACATTTAATTTAAAAGTTAGATTTTCTTAAAAACTTAGAAGAAATATCTTTTTTCTTTGACAAATTAATGTATGTTAATGGAAAAAGAGGGGAGTATGCTTCATCCATTTAGTCTAAAGGATTTATCAGCAACATAAACAGTCTTCTTTTTTGGAAGGAGGTCAGGTATAAATGCAAGCCTGTCCCAAGGGACCTTCTCTCTTTTGGCTTCAGGGAAAGCCTCCAATAGCTCCTGGACAAGACTTGACGTTCACCCTCCCCTCCTCTTCTTCTCTCAGCCCTTACGCATCTGTTGGTGTGGGCTTGCCCTGTGTGACTTCCTCCTCCATCAATATTTCATCAACAGCTTTTACTGACCGTGCTTTAAAATCCACCATGCTGGTGGAAATAGTTCCAAGTTGAGAGAACCGAGAGGCCTCAGAAGTGTCTTGTTTCTGTGATTGCCTGAATCTCAGGCCAGGCATTTGCCATCTGGGCCTCAGTGTCCCATCTTTATAATAAATTAATTACACAAGATGAGCACCAAGGCTGCTTCCAGTGCTGCCATGCCTTGATTCCAATTTATAAATAATTTCAGCACCTCATAAAGTGAATCTAAATTCTCAGCCTGTAATTCTCAGGCATGGTCAGACAGACTCATGACGGCCTCATCTTAAAAGTTTTAAAAATGTTAAAAGAAGACTAATTTAAAGTTGAGCCCTGAAATTTCTATTTTGGAATTTCAACCTCCTCCTTCACATTCTGTAAGACCATTTTTTTTCTTAATCATTGGGATTAAGGGCAATAAAGTGGGACTGAAGGAAATGAGTGTCCATTTGGGGACAACCAAGTGCTGCAAGGGTTGCTGGAATGGCTGTGGCTCTGAACAATCAGGTTTATCAAGTATACAGACATCTTGGAGTCAAGAGTGCCTGTCAAATCTCAGACCCAACACTTACAGTGTCAGGGTACTAATACATGGCAGTGACTTGTTTAGACCTGGGTTGTCTGCCCCACATTAGGGCTCACAGGGAGGAAATTCCATTTTGAATATATTGAATGACAAAGGAAAGATTTGGAACTTTAAATGCAAATTCATGCGCACTGACAAGAAAATTCGGATAGCAGCAACAGTCAAGCATTGGCCATTGCCCCCATCTTGTGTTCCCTCCATTCTGCAATGTCCAAGGAGACGATGAATCCATACACTTGTGCACCCAGAAGCTCAGTAAGTTGATCTTGAGAAAAGGAATCAGATCTGTCAGTTTCTGGCCCTCGGTCCTAGTTGAGTGAATGGTGTTCTCCAAAATTTATGTCCACCTAGAAACTCAGAATGAGACTTTATTTGGAAACAGGGCTGTTGCACCTGTAACTAAGGTAAGAGTAGGTGATACTGGATTGGGACAGGCCCTAAACTCAATCATCACTGTCAAGATAAGAAGAGGAGAAGACATGAAGAAGTGGAAGAAGGTCATGGGAAGATGGAGACAGAGATTGGAGTGAGGCAGCCACAAATCAAGCGTTGCTGAGGATTGCCAGGAGTCCAAGAAGCTTGGAAGAAACAAGGGAGGGGTCTTTCCTTGAGCCTTTGGAGGTGGAATGGCCGTTGCACCATCTTGATTTTAGACTTCTAGCCTTCCAAATTGTGAGGAAACATTAAACCCATTAACATGGAATATGGTAAGCCTATGACCCAGTTTCTGGCAATTGACTATAGTTGCCCTGGGAAATTAACACACTTTTCCCAGCCCAGAAACCCAAACCTGGCTCAAGGTTTGTGTGTGGTGCAGACATCATAGCACCTCCTTCTACACTTTCAGATCCTCTTTTTCCTCACTCCCTCACTAACACTCCTTCCTTCTTGTGTTTTAAGCAGATTCACCTGAAACATGCCTTTGACGTTTATCCTGAGTCACTTTTCTATTAGAGGTTACCATTTCAGAAAAAAAAGGCAACAACAGAAAGATATGAATGGCTTGAATCTTAGCAGATTTATAAAATTTAAATTCAGAAAAATATATCAGAGATATAGAAACATTCTGCCTTCTGTGATAGATAGTCTTCAAATACAGTCATCAATAATCCCATCTAAGAAGTCTGAGTTTGCAGAGACCTCCATACTGAAAGGAACCTTAAGCTGCTTTCCTGGAGAAGCACTGGTGCTTCAGATATGCAGTCCCACCATGTGAATGACCCTGACCAATGCCATGGGAGCAGAAGAACCGCCCAGGAGAGCCCTGTCCAAATTCCAGTGAAATAATACACTGAGAAATGATAAATCATAAATCATCAGAAATAATAAGTTACTTTATGCCTCTAAGTATTCAAGTGACATGGCAATCAATATGCAAAGCAACACCTGTTCAAATTCTACAAAATTGGGAGAATGATAAGTTTTTCATGAGTACAATTCTCTCTGCCTTAGGATGGTCATTCTGGGGCTAAGAATATCCTTGATCAGTTAACATTGACTTTAGACAGTTGAATGAGAAATCACTTTGGATCAGTGGTTTTTGGCTAGGAGTGGCTTTGTCCCCTCAGGTCATATTTGACAATGTCTGAAGACATTTTTCTTTTTTTTTGGTCTCATCTGGGAGAGTTGGTGCTGGTGGGTAGAGGCCAAGGATCCTGCTAAACATTCTGCAATACACAGGATCGTTCTCCCCAGCAGAGAATCATCTGTCCTCAAATGTCAACAGCACATCATAAATATAAATTCCAGTAGAATATGATAATAAATATAAACAGGGCTGAGGTTAAGGATCCCAGTTTTGGATCATATGGTCCTGTATATATAGTTTTTGCATTTAATTCTATATATTTGACAATTACCACACTTATATAATTTGTAAAATTCCCCTTCTAGCCTTCTAAAAATATAATCTTGTTGATCAACACCTGGTAGAGATTGTAAAATAAAAATAAATAAATAAGGAAAGACATACACTTAAGAACTGAAGTGGTTTGTGTGTGTGTGTGTGTGTGTGTGTGTGTGTTAGCATTGGCTGGGAAAACTGTGTAGAAGTTTTAAACACAAAGTGATATTTTGTAACTGTACTTGTAGTTAATTATGAGAAACTTTTTTTTCCAATTGAGTAATTAAAATTAAACATAAGCCAGGTGGTTTGTAGATATGTTAAGGTTGTTGTATTTGCTACAGATGTGAAGGAATATGGAGCTAAAAAGGCTGATGTCGTTGAAAGCTGGGGTACCAAAACACCTTGATAATGAAGTGCTTTGTCCCACCACTAGGCACCAAGCGCCTGTGATAATGAGAACTTCTGATGTTGAGGGCTAGCAGTGCTGGTCAGGGATTCCCTTTGAAGCCATGTGGTTCCTTCCTATGCAGCCATCTGCAGGTGGGGCCAGAGAGCTCAGTGGCAGGACTTGGGGGCCAGGTCAGAGAGCAGAGCTGCCATGTCTCAGACACCAAATATGACACCAACTCCTGCAAGATGGGAATGGTGGATGAATCTCAGGCTTCCCCTGTCTGACTTTGGGGACCAGTTCTAGCCCAGATGAGAGAAATCGATGAGGCATGAAATGAAATACTTGTGTCAATGACAAAAAAAGTCAGTGTTGCATTGTGTTGGATTCAACATGAAGAAAAATAAATAGAAGCATCAATATATCAAAGTAAAAAATGTGTGTTCAATCTTTATTTGTTCTGCTGAGAGAATACTAAACATGCAAATTACCTTTAAAAATTGTAAAGTGGTTAAATTGTATATAAATATTGAAAGGGAAAATACTGTTGTTGGCTTTAATTATGGACATTAATTGCATGCACATAGGAGGTGAGTCCTTTTTATGTTTGCCTGAATTCTGGCATCACCACTAGCTCATATGGTACTTATGAAAAATTTTTAAAATTCTGGTTCTTCCTGATGACACTTTTCCTACTATCTGTGAGAAAATTGTTTTAGTACACTGAGTCTAAACCTCACAGCCATTGGGGGGTAAACTTTTCATAACAAATGCTATATTTTATCAAATTGAAGTTTCTTTTGATTGTCAGAATTATCAGTATTTTACAAACCACCAGTGAAAAAATGCTGCCAGTTACAAGTGCCAGATGCCATTGCTTTAAAATGTTTCCAAATTATAGGACTGTTAAAGTATGGGGAAAAAATGTATCTTGGAACTGGTGACTCAGGTATTGCAAATCTATAATATTGATTGATTGTGAATATTGGCCCTTTATATAGGGTGGTGCTGTGCAGTGCACAACATGGACAGCCATTAGTGGTGGCCCTGTTGAGTATTAGAATTTAGAATCAATATTCCTCTGCCTTTCCAGATTCTGGTATTTGTTGATTTCATGAATCCTTCCCAAGACAGGCTACAAGCATTAGACCAGCAGGAACAATGAAAGTCATGAGTGAGACAGAACACAGCTTCCAGGGTTCTGAGTGTGGGTTCTGCAGTACACACATCCTCAGTTTGAGGAATGAGGGAGTCTCTTTAGACTTTGAAGGAGGCCACACCTGCTGTGCCACTTCCCAGCTGTGTGGCCTCAGGAAACTCCCGGAGCCTCAGCTTCCTCAGTTATGTAAATGTCCATGATAACAATACACACCTGTGCCAGGGGTCTCTGAGCCCACCCATAGACTAGGTAATTCTCTAGGAAGACTCCTAGGACTCATCATATAGTCATACTTAGAGCTATGACTTATTACAGTGAAAGGATACAGAGTAAAATCAGCAAAGGGAAAAAGTGCATGGGGTAAAGTCCAGGGGAGACCAGGCACAAACTCCCAAGACTCTTCTCCCCCTGTGAAGTCGCACAGGATGCACTTGTTTCCTCCAGCAAATGAGTTGTCACAACATGTGCAAAATGTTACCTATCAGGGAAACTCTTTAGAAACTCAGTGTCCAGGGTTTTTATTGGGGATGAGTCAAGTAGACATCTTCTCTCTGCTATGCACCAAAAATTCAGACTCCAAGAAAGAAAGCAGGTGTTGAGTAAGACTGGACAAACTGTAGACACAATTCAATGGCAGTGAGCCACCTTATCATTTAGGATAAGTTTTATGTCAGTGTAGGGAGATGATGACCAGTCAATTTGCCAGATGCCAGCCTAGGTCCAGCCTTGCAAGCAGATCTTTTCCAAGGATAGCAGGCACAGCTCTTCTGTGCCAACTCCTTTCTTCCCAACCTCCCTCAGGGTTATTTGCAGATTTAATAAAATATTCCATGCAAAGGCCGGGCACGGTGGCTCATGCCTGTAATTCCAGCACTTTGGGAGGCTGAGGCAGGCAGATCACGAGGTCAGAAGATCGAGATCATCCTGGCTAACATGGTGAAATCTTGTCTTTACTAAAAATACCAAAAATTAGCTGGGCATGGTGGTGGGCACCTCCTGCTGAGGCAGGAGAATGGCGTGAAACCCGGAGGCAGAGCTTGCAGTGAGCCGAGATTGTGCCACTGCACTCCAGCCTGGGTGACAGAGCAAGACTCTGTCTCAAACAAAAACAAACAAACAAGCAAACAAACAAAAATTCATGCAAAATGCTGTGCTCATTCAATGCCACTGAGATTTCTTCCTTTCAGAGTTCCCTGAAGATCAAGCCTGAAGTACATGTTTGCTAACTGGTAAGCTATGCTAGAGTATGCAACACATTCTATTTCACAGGGAAATTAAAAAATCTAAATACTTTTCATCATATATACATTTGAAGTAATTTTGGAAGAAAAAGTATAGATTTTTGCTCCTGTAAATCCAATATATTCTCTATTGGAATGTGATAGGAAACAGTCCTGTATATAAAATAATAGCCTTTCAGCCCTGGAAATAAATGATAAAATCACATAGTAAAAGGAAATATATTAGCAACAGTGAACACTGGAATGTGTAGAAGAACATCACAAGTAGCTGGTAAATGGTGTCTCACACCTTGTATATTTTGTTATGAAAGCAAATACCAGTTCTGTAATGCAGAGGATGTTGGTGACTAATCAGCAAGCCACAATATGCAATAAATGAAAATTAGAATGAGCTCCCCCACTCTACTTGCAGGAAAAGCAAATAAAGCAACAAGAATAACAACAGAAATCCGCATAAATTTGACTGTTTTCTCACCCAGGTTGCCATAGCATATGTAGGCAAATCAATATTTCAGTAAAAACAAATAGAAACACACAAGGGAAACAATAAAGAACCTCAAATCACACTTACATATGCAGTAAAAACCAATATTTTCCTGACTGTTGGTAGACTAGGAAGCCATGTGAAAAAACAATAAAAAGAATTCTAATAGAATTAGCATGAGTCCTAATTAAGGAACTTCTTAGACCTCCCATGTCTCTTTGAGCTATAGGTTATGGTTCCAAGAGATAACATTTTATATCTAAAATGTTAAGCCAACACCTTAAACTCCACTTCTCATTATCTGATTGGGCAGCCAGAAACAGACAGTTGCCTGTGGCCAGGAGAACTTGTCTTAGACAGAAGTCCCATGAGGGTAAGTACTTTATCTGCCTTCTTTCCCATTGTATCCCAGTGCCTAGAACAGTGGATGACTCCGAGAAATCACATAACACAAACTTGTTGAATGAATGGATGGATAAATGATAAAGGTGGAATTTAACTCTCTAGGCATTTGCAAAAATTTGGAGGTAACACAATGAACTTATTCTAAGATGTGGCAGAGGAGACTGTACCTACATAGCGAGTATTGCCTATATCTCAAAGCTCAGATAGAGACTGTTATCTCTATCCTAGATTTTGCCTGCTCCCCTTGGAAAAGATCTGCTTGCAAGACCGGACCTATGCCAGCTTCTGGGAATTTGATTTGTCAACAGCTCCCTACACTGATGCAAAACTTTTCCTAAATGATAAGGTGGCTCACTGCGATAGAATTGTGTATACAATTTGTTCAGTCATAACACTTGCTTTCCTTGTGAGACTCTGGAGTTTTGGAGCATGGCAGGCAGAGGGTGCCTACTCGACCCATCCCCAATAAACACCCTGGGCACTGAGTCTCTAAAGAGCTTCCCTGGTAGGTAACATTGTGCACATGTTGTCATGACTCATTGTGAAAGGAAACAGCAGGCTGTTGAGGCTGCGCGTGTGGAGCGCGTGCATGTGTGTGTATGCGGTTGTGCACGTGTGCTTGTGCATGTGGAGTGCATGTATGCATGTGTGTGAGGTTGTGCATGTGGAGTGAGTGTATGCGTGTGTATGTGATTGTGTATATGGAGTGTGTGCATGTGTGTGTATGAGGTTGTGCATGTGGAGTGTGTGTATGTGTGTGTATGTGGTTGTGCATGTGGAGTGTGTGTATGCATGTGGATGAGGTTGTGTATGTGGAGTGTGTGTGTGCATGTGTATGTTGTGCATGTGGAGTGTGTGTATGTTTGTTTATGTGGTTGTGCATGTGGAGTGTGTGTATGCAGTTGAGCATGTGAAGTGTGTGTGTGCATGTGTATGTGATTGTGCATGTGGAGTGCGTGTATGCATATGTGGTTGTGTATGTGGAGCATGTTTGCATGTGTATGTGGTTGTGCATGTAGAGTGTGTGTATGCATGTGTATGTGTGTATGTGGTGTGCATGTATGTATGTGCATGTGGTTGTGTATGTGGAGCCTGTGTATGTATGTGTATGTGGTTGTGCATGTGGTATGCATGTTTGTGTGTGTATGTGGTTGTGCATGTGGAGTGTGTGTGTTTGTGGTTGTGTATGTGGTGTGTGTGTGTATGTGTGTGTATGTGGTTGTGTACGTGGAGCATGTGTATGTGGGTACATGTGGTTGTGCATGTGGAGTGTGTGTGTTTGTGGTTGTGCACGTGGTGTGCACGTAGTGTATGCATGAGAGGGAGGCAGAGACAGAGATCAGGAAAAGTCATCATGTGTTATCTTTGAGTGTTAGATTTTCAGGTGATTTTTAAAGATGTAATTTTGGCAACAAATGTGATTTTTAAAATAAAAATATGTTCATTAACTTTTATCAATAACATCAAACCCACTTTGTTTCACGAAACACAAAGTCACAACTGAGCAATGAGCAGAGAGGATGTTGCCTAGCTCTGGCCCTCAGGTGATTTTCTTCTCTCCGTTTCCCGAGAGCTGATTGATGTCACAATTCCAAGATGACTTGTAAGTGCAGGACAGAAATGAACCACGCGCATCTCATCATCACACTCCCTAAGTGATGAACGTTCCAGGGGCTGTTTCTTGCCAGGAAAAGCTCCAGTGTCTGGTTTCAGGCACCTGGTCACCTCCTCCTAACCTCTCCTCCTCTTGAGCCATATTTCACAGTTACAGTTTCCCAGCCAGCCTCCCCTGTAAGTGGCTCCATTCACTGCTACTTGGAGTTAAGTTCAGCAGCTTAGATTTTCATTCTTGGAGGAGGTGATTTTAAGCCTAGAAGGCGTGCATGAAGACGATTACCTCCTCTAATTCAGTCCAGAGAACAGCATCTCACCTGTGGCTCTTGCTGGACCCCAGGGCTTGGTGTCGTACAATTACAATGGTGATTGGGCCTGAGAAACGGAGGCGGCATCTGGGAAAGGATGATGCCCTGACAGCCACAGGTGGCCAGGAGGGAGACTGCCAAGTCAGTGGAGGGCACCCTCTCAGAGGGACACTTCTGTTACAAAGAGCACCCCTTACTCAGAAAGACTCGGGCCCGCCAAGGGAAATAGATGGTCTGTGGCTTGGGACAATATTACTCTGAGACAATATTAAAGCCCGAGGACCTGGGATGAAAGACAGCCCAGCTTACCCTTGTCTGGACCTGAAGGATGGGTGTAGGTAGAGGACCAAGGCTTCTGCCACAATCCAGGAAGAGACTGCCCAGGTGAGCTCTTGTCTCCCCTGCCTCTTCCTCTTCCCCCAGCAATTTCCTTAGTTGTACAATTTGGGCAAGACAGTGAAATGGCCCGTGCTTCAGCTTCATTATTAGCAGAAGAGAAATAATATTACTTAACTCAGAGGGATGTGTGAGGACTAAATGAGTTAGCGGATACAGAAGGACGAGCAGTGACTAGCACACAGACATATTCAATAGCCCCAGTAAACAGTTATTGTTGGTAGTTTCCTTCTCCAGTGTCCCTTGCTTGCACTCATGTGACCAACACTGTAGCCTCCACTGTTCTATTACTGGACAATGAAGCCATTTTCCTTTTAGAGCTAAAATTCAACATCTTCCATAGAAAGCTGAATTTTAGTGAAGGGGTTTTCTGAATATCCCCAAAAGGGAATTTTGAAGTTGAGGGACCTGTATTTTGACTATGTCTTATAAAGTTTTCTTTGCCTCAGTTTTTTTCTGACTTATAAAATGTGGATATTAATATCTACCTGTATGTGAAATTTAAAAGAGAAAGGTAATAGGTAATAGAGTGGATAGAGCCACCTGGGTTCAAATCCTAATTTGCTCAGAGTGACCTTCCCTCTCCATATTTCAATACTCAAATCTGTAAGTTGGGGATAATAAAATGCATTTGGAGAAGTAATTGTAATAATCTCGGAAAAAGTCTAAACACAGTGACTAGTGTGCAGTCATTACTCAATAACAATTATTGTCATTAATGTTACTCAAAGTCATACTACTTTAATATGCAGTCCTCTTCCAGCTGCATGTGAAAGAAAGATTAATTCAAAATTGTTTAAACAAAGTGAAAACATGTATTGATTCATGTAACTGGAAAATCCAAAAGTAGAATCCTTCAAGCTTCAGGCTGGAAGGAGTCCAGGTCTGGATCTATACCATCAATAACCTCCTGTATGTCTCTATCTCTATCTTTATCTCTGTCTGTTCATCTCTTAGTTGTGCTTTCTTCTGAATGATCTCTCAAAGTGATGGAGAGATGAACATTAGCAGTTGTAGACCTATGTTCTTTCCCTTAGCAAGAAAATAAAATTTATCTTTCCAATAGTTTTGGTTACTTTTCTGAGTAATTGGAGTGTTAATAATTCATCAGCTCTGACTGGCTTTGCCTGGGCCACTCGCCCACCCCTAAGCAAATCCCTGCTTTCAGAAGGATAGAATGCTTTGTTTGGCCATGCCTGAGCCATGTGCTCACACCTGGTGCCAACGGTGAAGTTAACTTACTTAAGCAGCTGGCCGGAGAGTGGGCAGGAGCCACTCACAAAAGGAAAATGTAGGTGCTGTCACCAGAGTAGATTGTTCTGGTCAGGAAAACCTAGTTGTTCTTTCACAACAAATGATCCTCATGTTCATCTCTCCATTACTTTGAGAAATCATTCCAGAAGAAAGCAGAATTAACAATCCTAAAATCTCAGTGGTTTAACAAAATGAAGACTCCCCTTCAGTTCTGGGAGACTCCTTCAGGGAACTGGGCAATGGCCCACACCAGCAAGGAACCTAGTGACCTGCTTGGCTCCATCTTGTAGCTCCACTGCCTCAAACTGGGGGTCTCCATGGTTGTGAGGCAGGGAAAGCCAGGGCTGGAGGGTCAGACACTGGATCTTAAATGCTTTGGCCCAGAAAGTGACACATGGCACTTCTCTGACATAAAGGTCATGATGAATTGACCTCTTTGTTGCTATATAACTTCTATTTCTCTGGTTGTTTACTTTGCTGTGAGGCCTATTTTATTTAACATTAATATAGTCAATCCTTAATTTTGATTAATGTTTGCATGATATGTATATTCATATTTGTCTTTTTATTTTCAATCTGCCTATATCATTATACTTGAAATGTTTTGCTTGTACATAGCATAAAGTTATGTAGTATTTTAAATCCACTCTTCCATTCTCTGTGTTTCAATGATGTATTTAAGCCTTTTATATTTAATATAATTATTGATATGTTAGGGCCCAAGTCGGACATTTAATTTTTTGTTTTCTGTTTGCTTTCTACTCTTTTTCCTTTGTTTTCTTTTTCTTGCCTTTGACTTATAAAATGTGGATATTAATATCTATCTGCATGTAAAATTTAAAAGAGAAAGGCAATATAACATAGCAGATAGTTATCTGGGCTCATATTCTAGTTTACTCAGAGTGATCTTTTCTCTTTATGTTTCAATATTCAAATTGTAAAATGGAGATAATGGACTGCATTTTGAGGATTAATTAATTTTAATAGTTGAGAAACAAATGCTTGAGTTTACTTGAACAATATTTAAAATTCCATTTTGACTTCTATAAAATATTTTTGAGTCTGCTTTTTGGTAGTGCCTCATTAAATGATTGTTCTAGAGATTCATTTACATACACAACTTATCAAAGTTTACTGGTGTTATAATTTTCTCATTTCAAGTAATAAATAAAAAATCTTATCTCTCTTTAAGAGTCTTACCTTCCAACATCTATAGTATAATTACCTTAACTCTTTCCTCTACATACATTTAAGACCGCATCATGCAGTGTTATAATCTTTGCTTCAACCAGCAAACATTATTTAGAAAACTCAAGATGAGAAGAAATTCTGTTGTTTTTACATGTATTTTGGCTTGTTAAGTTCTTTCTTCCTGATATTCTTACAGTCCTTTTTAAAATTATTTTCTTTCTGTTTAAAGAACTTCCTTTAGCCATTTTCTTAGGGTAGATCTGCTGGTGACAAGTTCTTTTAATTTTCCTTTATATAAGAATGTCTTGATTTCCTCTTAACTCCTGAAGGATACTTTTACTGGATATAGAATCCTGGGTTGACAGGGATTTTTTTATTTTTAGCATTTGAAAAATGCTGCACTTCCTTCTGGCCTCCACAGTTTCTGATGACAATTCTGTTGTATTTAAAATTGTTTTTACCTGTAGGTAAAGTGTCATTTTTCTCTTATTTTTTTAACATTTAAAAAAAATCTTTAGTGCCTAGAAATGTGATTCTGATATGCCTTGGTGTGGATTTCTTTGTGTTTACTGCTGCTTAGGGTTCACTCAGCTTCTCAAATCTATATGTGTATCTATTTTATCATATTTGGAAAGTTTCCAAGCATGATTTCCCCGAGCGCTTATTCAGCCCTAACTTCTTTCTCATCTCCCTCTGGGACTCTGGTGAGCAGACTTTTTGTTATAATCCTACGAGTTCCTGAGGCTCTTTTCACTATTTTTCAGAGTATCTTCTCTTTTTGATATTGAACAATTTCTCTGTTTCTATCTTCCAGTTTACTGATTCTTTCTCCTCCATTCTGCAGTTGAGAACATCCATTGAAGTTTTTAAATTTTTGTTATTGTACTTTTCAGCTTGAAAGTTTCTGCTTGGTTCCTCCTTTTCTCTCCCATTTCTTTGGTGAGATTTTCTAGTTGATAACTGAGTCTTTCTGTTTTCTAGTTGATAACTGAGTCTTTGTTTTTCTAGTCTTTCTAGTTGATAACTGAGTGTTTCATTTGTTTCAAGCATGTGTCCAATTGCTGTTAGGAGCATCTTTATAATGACTGTCTTAAATCTTGGTCAGATCATTCTAACATCTCTGTCATCTCAGTGATAGTATCAATTGCCTTTTTTCATTCACTTTCAGATCTTTCTAGTTATTAGTACGACAAATTATTTTCAGCTGAAACCAAGACATTTTTGTATTATGTTGTGAAACTATATTTAAAACTCCTCATTTCACTGTTTTATTTTTTACTGATACCACTTGTCAGCCTTCTTATGCAACACAAGAGCAGAAGTGGATATCCCCACTCAGCCTTCATGGACACCTGAGCAGGAAAGGACATGGCCCTTGTTACTGCTGGATGAGGGTGGGGGTTTTGGTTCCCACTAGGTCCCTACTGATTCTTCCCTGGCTGGGAGGGTGGAAGTGCCTCATCACAGTTTCTCTGTGAATATGCTGACACCATGGGGCTGGAAGTTACCCTCGTTTCTGCTGGGTGCTATTGGAAATTGGATTCTTCACTAGGCCTCTGAGGTCGAGCAACCACAACTCTCATGTGATGCTGAGTGAGCTACTTTTCAAAGTTTGGCAGTTTCTTAAAAAGTGAAATATAGACCTACCACATAACCCAGTCACACTCCTTCCAAGTATGTACCTAAGAGAAATGAGTGTGTGTGACCATACAGGTATAGTATATGAACGTTCATAGCAGCCTTATTTGTAAAAGCTCAAATCTGAAAACAATGTAAATGTCCATCAACAGGTGAATGCAGGTCTTGGAAGAGAGATGTGTAAATGTGTGGAGGTTTAGATCCTGTCTTCATCTGAGAGGTAGAGAGAGACAGAGAGGAAGGAGGAAAGAAGGAAGGGGATGGGAGAGGGAGACAGAGAAGAAAGATATTTCCTTAATAGTTTCCAAAATGTCCCAGACTTGAGTCTTGTTGCCTGGGCTTGTATTGTTCTAGCTAAGTACAGTGGCCATTGTGGTAGAAGAAGTTAGGTTGGTCATATGACCATCGCTTGGACTTGGAGGATGGGAATGTTCCTCTGAATCCCTTGGCTTGAGAGTGGAGAAATGGTGGGTCCTGAAGGGAAAAAAAATCAAAGGCTCTGTGGCCAGAAGAGAAAGAAAGAAAGAAACACTGGAAACACTGAGCGGGTACAGGAACAGCCAGCCTAAACAGAAACCCTAGCTTCATTGTACAAACTGCTAGAAAACATGGCTTCTGGTGCTCTGTAGGGAGGGAAAGCAACAAGCCTTTGTGTTAGAGCTTTGGCCTGTTCTTATCTTTATGTGCCCATGAGGAAGAACATATCCCCCAAGGACACCACTGGCTTATAGATTTGGAGCTTTGTTTGCTATCAACATCATGTTCCACAAATTGGGAAATCAGAGGAATGTTAAGCTAAGTTCTGGTGTAAACAGCATTCTTGGAGAAGATCTTGTCATAACCGTCAGGCAGTAAACTCATTACCTGCCAGATTTAAATCAGCGACAGATAGAATATGTACCATTAGCTGAGAGAGAAGTCAATGAGATGGTCTTAGGCCAAGGTTATCTTCATCCACTCCATGTAATGTGGATTTGATTGAAATTACAGTCCTTCAGAAAATGCCATCATTTTCTACATACTCACTTGAAACTGAAGGTATAGTTTTGATTTATAGCTCAATCTCCTGTGTACTAGAGTGATATTTTAACACAAGAGACAAAGGTCTTTTGAGATGCTTTTTTATTTTTATTTTTTGTAGAGATGGGATTTTACCATGTTGGCCACGCTGGTCCCGAACTCCTGGCCTCAAGTGACCCACCCACCTCGGCCTCCCAAAGTGCTGGGATTACAGGCATGAGCCACCGCACCCAGCTGCTTTTGAGATACTTTTAAAGAACTTTCACTTATATTCTTACTTAAAATGCCTACAGTTTGGGCAAATGTTACTCTTTATGACTGAGACTGATCATTCCGCATCATCTTGCTGTCCTCCTTGAGGCCATGGGGCTGTGGTCAACATTGTGGACTAGAATGATCACTTCCCCCTAATAATAATTGTTAACCCTTATTTACAATTTATCTTACACTGACTTAAGAATTTTGTATTATTACCTGACATGAGGTCCAAGAATTGCACTATGAAATTCTCCATTTTACTGATGTCATCTCTGAGGCACATATTTGAGAAGGACTACGTCCACCGTGGTGGTGGAGTGGATGTGTGAAACTAGGCCTGGCTTCAGGCCCTCTGAACCACAAAGTGTGTTCCATACAAGTAATTACATCCTCAGTGTTCTCCCACACCCCTGTGGGGAGACTTACAATGGCTAGAAAGGCTCAAAAACATTTAAGAAAGGAAAATGCTTATGAATGGGTTCTTAGGGTAGAGGATATATTCATTTCCCATTGTTGCTATAACTAAGTACCACAAACTTCATGGCTTAAAACATCATAAACAATGCAAATTTATTCTCTTTTAGTTAGGAAGGTCAAAATTCCCAAATGTCTCTTAAGGGGATAAAATCAATGTATTGGCAGTGCATCATCCATTTCACAGGCTCCAGGGAAGAATCCGTTACCTTGCCTTTTCCAGCGTGTAGACACTGCTGGCCTTCCTTGGCTCTTCTATTCTTAAACATTGTTACCTCTGGTTCCATCCCCACATCTCCTTCTCTAATTCTAACCCACCTGCCTCCCTCTTGTAAAGACTCTGGTGATTACGTCAGACCCAGCTGGACAATATAGACTAATATTCCCATCTCAAAGCCCTTAACTCAATCACATCTGCAGAGTTCCT
Organism: Homo sapiens; assembly: GCF_000001405.40. NCBI lineage: Eukaryota > Metazoa > Chordata > Mammalia > Primates > Hominidae > Homo > Homo sapiens. The sequence goes on along the minus strand of NC_000012.12, from coordinate 128,198,040 downwards.
TTTACTATGTTAGATAACATTCAAAGTTTCTGGGATTAGGACATGGACATCTTTGGGGCCATTATTTAGCTGACCACATAGGTGTGGTTGAAGTGTTTGCTTTGCATGCCCTGTACAAATTTTCCTTTCTTCTAGGAATAGCAACACGTTTTCCTTTGAGAAACCATGCATTCCTGAGGATGAACCCCAATCTGAAGAATATAGAACCAATGGATTTGGAAAGACAGCATTCTAATTTTATCATTTGAGTAAAGTTGGGATACAGCTTTAAGATTTAGAATTCTGTGAGTGCATAAATTATTGACATATGTGATTTGTTGTAGAGTTACTGCCACATGCAAACAAATATATTCCATCTGGAATTTTAATGTTGTGTTAGCATAAGTATTAACAATGGTGGTCCTCAAAGGTAAGTCTTCTTATTTAGAAAGGATTTAACTCACTCTTCTGAATCTCAAAAAAGTATTAACTGCCTTTCAAAACCCTCTACGTAAATGAAGGATAAATTTTTCTAATGTCCTTAGAAAACAAATGTAGAAAATGGGGATTGCATAGAATCTGTGCTCAATAAATGAGTGTAGAGTTAATGAGTAGAAGGATGAGTAAATTTGGCTTCACAGAGCTACCAGCCCCTCTTCCAGGGATGTGTAATGCAGCCACTGAGAGCTGGGGATCTGGGGTCTCACTCATCTGCATTTGCAGACTGACTCTAATAGCTCACTGGAGTCTCAATTTCCTTTGACTGTTAAATAAGGACAACCATAGTCATGATCTTTAGGGCTGCTGTGGGTGAAATGTGATGATGCAAGCAGTCTGCCCCAAACCACAATAGGATACCATTTCACCCTCACTAGGATGGCTATAATTAAAGAAAGAAAACAATCAGTGTTCGCAAGAGTATTGGAAGATTGAAACTCTTGCAAATTTGCTGGAGAGAATGTAAAATGGTGCAACCACTGTAGACAACAGTTTGGCAGTTTCTCAACAAGTTCAATGTAGAAATATCATGAGATCCAGCAATTCCACTCCATATATAGTAAATATCCCCAAAACTGGAAACAGATACCCAAACAAATACATGTGCATGTGTGTTCATAGCAACATTATTCCAAATAGCCAAAGGTGAACACAACCCAAATGTCTATCAGTGGGTGAATGGACAAACAAATTGTGGCATATCCACATACATGATATTTACTCATAAAAAGGAATGAAATACTGATTCATGCTACAAGATGCATAAACCTTGAAAATATTGTGCTATGTGAGAGAAGGCACACACAAAAGATGACATATTATAGACTCCATTCCTATGAAATGTGCAGAATAGTTAAAGCCATAGGGACAGAAAACAGGCAGGTGATTGCAAGGGGACGGTCGGGGTTGGGGGGTGTAACTGTTTAATGAGCATAGGGTTTTATTTTGGAGTCCTGAAAATATTTTGGAACTAGATATATGTGGTGATTGTACAACATTGTGGCTATACTAAATGCCACTGCACCACACACACACACACACACACACGATCAGCAAGAAGGTGAAAATAAAAAGAAAACTGCTTAGCAATGCTCTGGATACATTATAAAAGACAAATAACTGATGACAGTTGTTTTTCCCCCATCTTCTCTTTCTTTTCCTGCTTTCCTCTTCCACCCCTTTCCCCTCTCTCCACCTCTGCATTCTTGTCTTGCCCTGTGTCCGTCAGTCTCAGATGGTGGCTCAAATGTGGAGAAAGTTTAGTAAAGAAGCTACTTGCAAAGGGTGGGGGCAGGATGTTGGGAATAAAGGGATGTCATTACATCCCAGGGTCATGGAGTCCCTACCACTCATGTCCGAAGGGGCAGGAAGAACCCTTTGGTGGTGATGCTACACCAGGATTGAGTAAGCACCCTTCTCTCTGATCTGCACCCTTCTCTCTGATCTGCTGGAGCGTCTCAGTGGTCAGGATTGAGTAGAGTAAGCACCCTTCTCTCTGATCTGCTGAAGCGTTGCAGTGGTCAACCTGGTTGAAAGCCATGGGGTGAGGGAGGGCATGGAGGTAGTCCTCTCAGGTCAGCCTCCCACGGCAGAGAGTGAGAGAACACGACAGGAGGGTGAATGGAGGGAAGGAGCCACAGAAGGTCTCAGACGCAAGAGAGCCTCTCTTTAATCCTCAGTTCTCCAGGGAGTCTTGGCAGTGGGTAAAAATGTAGACAGAATGTTATCAATGATTTTTGTAGGTAGGGACAAGTGAAAGTCCTAAGGTGACTGCAAGAATAATACTTTTTTTTTTTTTTTGAGATGGAGTTTTGCTCTTGTTGCCCAAGCTGGAGTGCAATGGCGCAATCTCGGCTCACTGCAACCTCTGCCTCCCATGTTCAAGCAGTTCTCCTGCCTCAGCCTCCTAAGTAGCTGGGATTACAGACGTGTGCCACCACGCCTGGCTAATTTTTTGTATTTTTAGTAGAAACGAGATTTCACCATGTTAGCCAGGCTGGTCTCGAACTCCTGACCTCAGGTGGTCCACCGGCCTTGGCCTCTCAAAGTGCTGGGATTACAGGCATGAGCCACCACACCTGGCAAGAGCAAATCTTTACAGCATGGCAAAACAGCTCTCATAAGCAGGACAGTGATGACCTGTGTTGTGGTAATGTAGTTCATGGACAATGAAAGGTGACTTTGCTCCCACAGACTTGCCTTCTATAGCCACGGCCATGGGTAAACTGAGTTAGCCAGCTTCACATGTACCACCTACCTCAAATGGTGACACCATTAGGCATTCGTGGAGAGATTATTTTCCATTATCTACCTTCTTAGTCACCTCTAGTTTCCAATTGACTGGTGTAATAAAATGAAGACAAATTGAGGCCAGGCACGGTGGCTTGCGCCTGTAATCCCAGCACTTTGGGAGTCCGAGGAGGGTGAATCAAGAGGTCAGGAGTTCGAGATCAGCCTGGCCAATGTAGTGAAACCCCCGTCTCTACTAAAAATACAAAAACTTAGCCGGGCTTGGTGGTGCATGCCTGTGATCCCAGCTACTCGGGAGGCTGAGGCAGGAGAACAGCTTGAACCCAGCAGGCGGAGGTTGCAATGAGCCGAGATCGTGCCACTGCACTCCAGCCTGGGCAACAGTGTGAGACTCCATCTCAAAAAAAAAAAAAGAAAAAACAAAACCACAAAACAAAACAAAACAAAAAACAAATTGAATATGAATTGATGACATCAAATGCATCACCGCATTTGTCTCCTCCCAGTTAGGATTTCGAAAGATAATTTCTCTGAGCTTCACAGTGGCATGGCCTCTTGAAGCTGGGGGGCTGCCAAGTGCGGTTTAATGTTTTTAGATAGCACACACCCTGTTAAACCCCGCGCCATCAATCAGAACCACAGTAATCACAGAACTTGGGTTCTCATATCTGAAACCAAGAAACATTTAATGAGGTCAGTTGGAACTGGACATAAGATGTTTACACGGCTATGATTTGATCTATTAGGCAGTTCATTGAAATCTATGGAGATTGGTGCTTTTCCATTTTGCGTATCTGCCACTTGCAATCTTCATCAAAATGAGCCTGTGTCTCCTGACCCAGTTACTCTTTCATCAGTGACCTGAGGTGGAGCAAACCAACATGCTCAAGGCACTTCAGGCTTTGGGATCAAGGCCATGTTCATGGCCAAATGACTGGACAACTTTGTCCATGCATAACTCAGGTGAGGTATTACTCTGCCCTGCTGCAGACTAACAAACGCTGACTCTCCAGCTCAGCCTAACTCAAGAACACAAGGATTAGTGTCCTCTCGGACTCCCCCAATGTGTTCATCACTGAATTTTCTTTGTTCTTGGCTCTGGAAGAACTGGGTGTCAGATTCTTTTTCCTTTTCATGCAGCTCAAAGGTTTTCTCCAAAGGCAGTTCAGAAATGACTTTCCTCCGACTCCGTGACTGGTGTCTCCTAATTATTGCCTTTGCTTATGGTTATTACTCACTGCAGGGACATGCCTGATCCACAGCAACTCCTGACCGTGGGTCAGTGAGTGGCCAGTGCTCACCGATGCCCTAATGAAGTTGGCTGATGTTCTATGTGGTGCGTCTAAATATACCACTTCTCTAATGACCACAAACTCAGTAGCTATCTAGCACATTTCTCTGTTCAGGTGGTTTTGGCATTTTTAGGCAAGAAGAAACTGCTATTAGGGACTGACAGAAATGTGCTGCACTTAATTTTTATACCTGCATACAGAGGTGTTGAAAATCAAGATCAAGTGAGGTCAAAGATACATCACTATTGGGGATGACATGGGCAAGGTAATTACCTGCTCTCTGCAGGGACAGCATAGTCTCTGTCACAAAGTGGCCTAAGAATACAATTCTGGAGAGGAGAGATTATTAGGGAGACTGAGGTTTAATGAACACACCGGGAGGTTAAGTTTTTGCATTCAGTGAAAACTAGTAAAGGGAAGGTACTTGTCACTCAATGCCAGAAGATGAGAGGAGGAGATGGGGAATTCTATCTGACATCTATCAGCAGCAAACTATCCAGACTTCACTTGTGAAATATGGACCTTGTCAACTGGTAGGACACAGATAGTCCTGCTCACTTTATTAAGGCTGGGAGCAGTTTCTTTGTACTACTGACCTTTCTAGGGGAGCAGTGATTACCACAGGACAAGCTCTGGTCACTGTCTCTGCCCAGCTGCCCATGTTGGTTCCCCAGGGCAGGGGCTGTGGATGGCTATCATGGGGTGGCTGCACTGGAATCGACCGGGGCCAGGCTCCTTCCTCTGCTGAGTCTGACTGCAGGCTGAAGGCTGTCTCCACACTCAGGGGTGTCAGCATCAGTCAGGAGACGGCGGTGGTCAGACAGCAGCTGGGCACAGGGGAGCACAGAGCTGTAGGCCCAGGGTCAAGGCACTGAGTGATGGGCCAGGATTCTGCAGTGATACAAATGTTTTTGGGCTGTTTCTTTCTGAATTAAAAGAGCCCCACATGTCTGACGGATTCACCAGGGGAAGATACAAAGGACAGGGTCGCAGGGCTTGATAGAGTCTGAACAACTGGACTCAGCCATTGACAATGTCCAGAAACATATTTCCCCAATCCGAGCTTTTCCCCAAAAACTTTAGTTCACAGTTCCTATTTTGTTGATGAGTTTTACTTATGAAAAGTAAATGTACTTATGGAAAGTATAATCCACTTGAAAACTCCAACTGGAAGCTTATATAGAAAATTCTCCAGCCTTATAAACTATCAGGGGTCATCGGTGAAAATGTCCACAGGAGTGAGGTGGGTAATGTAAAAATGGGAGGAGGAAGAGCTGGACTTGAAATTCACTGGGGGCCAAAACCAGTGAACCGGTGGGGGCAGGTAGGGCTGAGGGCACCCTGCAGGAGCCTGGCCCACTTGGGAGCAGTGCCGCCCACGGTCAGGGGCACAGGTGCAGCTGCACTGTGTTTCCTCATCTGTAAATGGAAGGAGACTTAGAACAATAGTGATAATACAACCCACAGCACAGGCCGGCTGTGAGGTTCCATAGAGACGGCAGGAACCTGGAAAAACGCCCATCACAGGTAAGTGCAACGCTAGTGTTAGCTATTATTATTTTACTTCCACTTTTCCAGAGAAAGCAGCTGTCTCGATTTTTAAAATGTGAAATCTAATTTTAAATGTGAATGGTACATTTAAATTACAAACATATTACATATATACACACATATATTCCAATGAAACAGTTCATTATGAATATGTAACAAATAAATGTATACATATATACAAATCATACATATATATATATATATATATATAAATGTATATATTATGTAATAAATATATGAAAATGGAATACATAAAGATATAGTATATCTGAATTTATACATGCATACTTAAATGTATATATGCTAAAATATTTAATAAAATATATAAATATATAGTAGTACATATTCCCCATATAGCAGATATTATATATGTCATATATAACACTATTATAGGCTATAAATAATAAATTATATATTATATAGGGTATATATATATATAGAATTCAATGAGTTAATATATATACAATGAAAGGACCTAAAAATGTAATATATATTATATATGTAATGTGTAGTAGATTATCATGTGTAATATATGATAAATAAAATTTATTATCAACATACAATGCATGTATTCCAATGAAATAAGGCATGTTCCCACGGTATATTTGGGCGGTGCCATCTCTGACCTAAAATAACTCGCTCTGACATAATCCCTGAGGAAGGATGCCTGTAAGAGCCCATGGTTCCCAGCATGCTCCTGCAGAGCCGGGCTCACCCCCTGCCTCCAACAGCCCTTCTAGACGCAGGCTCCACCTTTAGCCTGTGGAAGAAAGAGCAGCCCTGGGCATCACGTGACCATCCCCACCCCTCGCCCCCCTCCACTGCTGATTGGTCCAGGGATGAACGTCTGCTCCAAGGCTGGGGAGGGGGACCAATTGGGCACTCTCAATAATACATCCAAGGCAGAGATTGGGCCAATGGGTGGTGATCTCGGTCTGGGCAGAGATTGGGCCAATGGGTGGTGATCTCGGTCTCGGGGGGCCGGGGCGTGGAGTGCGGACGGGCAGCCGGTTGGGCTGGGCCCGGAAGGGTGTGCAGTAGAGCAAGAGGAGGAAGTGGAGGGAAAGGAACCAGATGCTTCTGAGACAGGCTACCATCTCTGCGTGCAGTCCCCGCGGAATTTACGCACTTTCGTCTTGTGCTCTTAGATGTTCTCCAGGTAGACTGCAACCAACACCTTTAGAATAAACCCACCTGTGCTTGGGCCAGCCTGAGAGGTCTTCATTCCTTGCTGTCCAGAAAACCTTCAAAGGCTGCAGCATAACCAGCTTCTAACATTGTCCACTGGAGCAGGTTATTTAATTTCTCTTTCTCACATGCAGAGCAATAGTGGCCAGGAGCTCCCAGCAGGCTTCCCTCAATCCCTCTGGCCAGACGGGAAACGTTCCCAAGCTCTCCCTGCGTAACCGGCTGCAAAAGTGGGGATCTGGCATTCTCAGCTTCCAGCGAAGGAAGGAGAAGGCCTTTGAAATCAGGAGGAGGGGCTGGGAATGGCTTCTGGGTGGAGAACCAAGACTCTGCATTAGTTGAGCCCAGAGGTCAGGGCTAATTTGTGAATCTCTGTGGCCCAGCGTCCGGCCACGCACACCGGAAGGGCTCTGTGCACACATATTCACACCAAGGACAGTGGCAGGAGTAATTGATCCCATTTCTGGGCTGCGTTATTGAAAGCAGCAGGGGGCGCTACTCCCATAGCAAACAATGCGAGTGGGGCTACGGAGAGCGTGCAGCCGGCTCCGAGACCCCTGAGCGGCAGGTCCCGTGCTGAGGTCTCTGCTTAATTATCTGATTCGCTCTCCATTATCTGGGAGGAGAGGGTTTCCCCGCTTCATAGCCCCCGTACTTCTAAAGGAATCATATTTGTAACAGGTCTGTGAGAACGGGCTTCAGAGAAGATGAGCTTCTGGGGCAGGGCTAGGACTGCAGAAAAGACAGCTTTTATCACTCTAACACAGGTGTGTGCTTCAAGGCACCTGCGGCCCTGACGCCTCACCCCACTGGCCAGCGTCGGGGTCGGTAACCACAGGCAATGGCTGGCATCTCACCAGACACCCGGGAGCTGGAGAAGTCTAAGAAACAGAGAGAGATGCTGCAGGAGCGTACTGATTCGAATGACCAAGAACACACACACGCACACACTCTCACACACACGCACCCCACACACAGAGTGCCACACAGTCACACACGCACAGCACACAGAGCTCCACACACACACACGCACACACTCTCACACACACACCCCACACACAGAGTGCCACACAGTCACACACGCACACCACACAGAGCTCCACACACATACTCGCACACACTCACACACACACACACACGCTACTCAGACACAGACTCATACACACACAGTCACATACACACACCACACACAGTGCCACACACACATGCACACACTCATACACACACTCATGCACACAACCCCCCACAAACATACTCTAACAGTCTCATAGTCTCACACACGCACACACACCACACAGAGTGCCAGTCACACACACACTTATATGCACACACGCATGCACACAGCCCCCACACATACTCTAACACAGTCACACACACTCACACGCAGGCACATACATGCACTCGCTGACATTCACACACACAGCTACACACATACTCTAACACCGACATCCAGACATACTCTAACACTCTCTCACCCCTACACACTCACACACCTAACGCATACACACATGCTTTTGCTCACACAGTGACAGACATATTCACACTTACACACCTATACACACCCGCACACTAACACTGGTCACACTCTACCACACATACACACACACTCCGCTCACACCCTCACATTCTCACACACACTCCCTCACACACCCTCACATTCTCACACACATGCCCTCACACACCCTCACATTCTCACACGCCCTCACACACCCTCACATTCTCACACGCCCTCACACACCCTCACATTCTCACACACACTCCCTCACACACCCTCACATTCTCAGACACACGCCCTCACCCTCACATTCTCACACTCACACATGGCTTCACACACCCTCACATTCTCTCACACACTCCCTCACACACCCTCACATTCTCACACTCACACACGCCCTCACGCTCGCATCTCACTCTCACACATGCCCTCACACACCCTCACATTCTCACACACACTCCCTCACACACCCTCACATTCTCAGACACACGCCCTCACCCTCACATTCTCACACTCACACATGGCCTCACACACCCTCACATCCTCTCACACACTCCCTCACACACCCTCACATTCTCACACTCATGCCCTCACGCTCGCATCTCACTCTCACACACGCCCTCCACACCCTCACATTCTCACACTTACACACACTTGCTCTCACATTCTCACACTCACATGCCCTCACACACCCTTGCATTCTCACACACGTCCTCACATATATGTCCTCACACATTCTCAAAAACACACGACCTCACACACCCTCACATTCTCACACTTACACACACTTACATTCTCACACATGCCCTCACACACCCTCGCATTCTGACACAGACTTACACACTCATATTCTCACATTCGCACACACCCTCATGTTCTCACTCACGCCCTCACACACTCACATTCTCACACACATGCCCTCACACACCCTCACATTCTCACACTCACACACCCTCACACACCTTCATATTCTCACACTCATGCCCTCACACATTCTTACACTCACACACTCTCACACACCCTCACATTCTCACACTCACACACTCCCTCACACACATTCTCACACTCACACACGCCCTCATACACTCTCACATTCTCACACTTACACACAACACTTACACACACACACGCAAGGCATGGCAGGGACAGCTGGTTAATCACCAGAGCTTTATGCCACCTTCTGTAGTGTGGAGCTCATCTGTGAAGCAGTTGCCCAGCCCCTGGCCACACTTCACATCCCCTTTGCTACCTGTTGGGGCCACGAATCTATTTCTGGTCAAAGGAACGTGAGCAGTATTGCTAGAGAAAATACAGGTGGCTAGATAAAATTGGGATGTCAGGCAAGCAATGAATACCTTTTGTGTTATGGAATATACTTATCCTAAGCATTGCATGGACCTACTTATACTAGAATAATTATTATTTTCTGGGATCCCTTCCACAGAGACTTTGGGAGCCGAGGTGAAGATGGCGCAACTACCAGAGGGAGAGCTGGATTCTAGAGTCCCCACTTGCTTGCCTGGAAGGAGATCTGCTCAGAACTGCCAGGATGTCAGAACACGGCTCTGTACGAGCTCCTGAGATCCAGGGCTGTAGTTGTGAGAATTTGTCCTAATGCCTCTGGTCTTTGCCTGTGCTTCAGCTTATTTGGGGGAACAAAACCAATCTGATTGCTCTCAACATCCAGTTGTCACTGATTGGGTTCAAGGAAATTATTTTATCTTCAGAAAACATTTTGTTATTTGAAGCAGCTATATAAGTGAGATAAATATATTTGATACATATGTACAGATTTATATATATATAGCACCAAACATACATATATATTATATATATATATTTCATATAAGCGTACATATGCCTTCCGGTCTCTGAAAAGTGAGAGGAAAATAGGAAACTAATAATATTTGACCCCTGTATCATTCAGGGCCCTGGTTTGAACAATGCACTGAAAGTGCTTCTGGAAGAGGACTTAAGGAAGGCACTATTTACAAAGGTGTGGACAGAATTAAGGGAAGCCAACGGGGTGGTGAAACACACAAGGCTGAGTAACAGGGGAAGCCTTCCAGCCCCCAGTGGGACCTGTCAATGGGAGGGCCAGGTCACTGGAGCCTGAGTGATGGTAGAAGGGCCACCCAGGAGAAGCCGTGTCCCTTGGTGGAGGGACACAGTCACTTCCAACGTGTGGCCCAAAGTTGCAGGGGGCGGGTCTGGGAAGCAGAGTTGTAAGTATCCTGATCTTTCTCATCTTCTGCTCTCTGATCTCCTTGGTGCCTCCCGTTCATCAACCCAATCTGGATGCTGGAAGACAGGGGGTTTAATTCATGCAGTATTTGAATATTACATCCCTGAGATGCAGGGTAGGGTGGAGAAAAGCTGAGGGTGGACTTGGAGGGGCGCAAGAAGAACACCCAGTTCAGCCTCTCACAGAAGTCTTTGACCTTGAAGGAGACCTGCTCCACCATTACACTTTCCCCTCAGTGATCATGTTTGGCAGGTGTATTAGTCTATTCTCATACTGCTAATAAAGACATACCCAATATTTGGTAAGTTATAAAGGAAAGAGGTTTAATTGACTCACAGTTCCACATGGCTGGGGAGGCCTCACAATCATGGCAGAAGATGAAGAAAGAGCAAAGGCACATCTTACATGGCAGCAGGCAAGAGAGGGCTTATGTAAGGGAACTCCCATTTATAAAACCGTCAGATCTCATGAGACTTATTCACTACCATGAGAACAGTATGGGGGAACTGCTCCCATGATTCAATTATCTCCACCTGTCCCCTCCCTTGACGTGTGGTGATTATTACAATTTAAGGTGAGATATGGGTAGGGACACAGCCAAACCATGTCAGCAGGTATCATTTTAAAGGACATTAATCCCTCAGGGCCCTGGTCAGTCTCCAGTTTCAGGGAGAATGTGGCTTCTTCAACAGAAGAGATGGAATTCCCATTCTCTTCTAAACAAACCCTGTTACCTTGTCCAAAATGGAAGATACTTGATATTTCTGTGTAACTTCAAGGTTTTCTGAAGGACTTTTCAAATGGAGCTAAATTGATATGGATAAAGGGCCTGGAAGAGAATGTTTATTTTGTTTTCCTAATCAGAGAAGAAGCTCGCATCATTATGGAAGACACTCAGAGATGGCTTCAAGACAGTGTAACGTGAACTGTCTTCACAAGGATACTGGAGCAGGGAGATTCTGTCTCTCCACACAATCTGGCTGGGAGCCCAGGAGGCTCATCCGGTCTAGGAACGGTTTTTTCCGTGTTCGTCTTCATTAATAAACAAAATGAACAAAAAAGTGACACATTCGAAACCTGTGAAAGTGGCACCTTATCCTCGCATTTTGTTCCCTGAAATCAGATATTTAATCCCAAATGAATATCTAAAATCAAGAAGCCTCCCAGGATATAGTTCTCTACCCAAGAGCTGCTCCTGGAATAAAGGCCAGCCCCCCAACAAGTACTCAGCATGCATGTGGCTGGCCATGGGATGGTTCCCAAGGGGCAGATGTCGTGAGCTGGTGGTATACAGATGAAGTTTGTTGGTACTGTGCAGCATCTACAAACAAATTAGTTGACAACAATTAGAAATTGATTTAGCCATAAAACAGAATAAAATCATGTCCTTTGCAGCAACCTGGATGCAGTTGGAGGCCATTCTCCTGGGTGAACTAACTCAGAAACAGAAAACCAAATATCAAATGTCCTGATTAGTGGGAGCTAAACAACAGGTACACATGAAATAAATCTGGAAACAATCGGCACTGTGGTCTCCAAAGGCAGAGAGAGCGGGAGGAGGGGGAGTGTTGAAAAACTACTCACTGGGTACAGTGGTCACTATTTGGGTGATGGGTACACTAGAAGCCAAAGCTCCACCATTGCACAATATGTCCAGGTAGGCAACCTTCCCATGTACCTCCTGAATCTAAAATAAAATAAATTTTAGCCTAGGCGCAGTGGCTCACGCCTATAATCCTAGCACTTTGGGAGGCGAAAGTGGGTGGATCACTTGAGGTGAGGAATTCAAGACCAGCCTGGCCAATATGGTGAAACCTCATCTCTTCTAAAAATACAAAAATTAGCTGGGCATGGTGGCACGTGCCTGTAACCCCAGCTACTCAGGAGGCTAAGGCAGGAGAATCGCTTGAACCCAGGAGGCAGAGGTTGCAGTGAGGTGAGATCACGCGCCATTGCATTCCAGCCTGGGCAACAGAGTGAGACTCTGTCTCCAAAAAAAAAAAAAAAAACGAAAGAAAGAAAGAAAAAAAAGTTAAGACAAAATAAATTTTAAACCCTTAAAAATTTTGATTTTTTTAAATATAAAAATACAGATTACAGATTTGTTGCTTTGCCTTTAAAACAGTCCACTGATATGGCACCACTGGGAGCCTGTTCCCCTGAGCAGTGATAGTCCTTCTGATGAGGCCTGCATTCTGCATTTCAGCACAGTCCCCACCAATCTCTATTGTCCCGTCTTGTCAACTGAGAATGAGCTGCCTTTTATTAGCACACTTGATCCATTTTTTACGTATCATAAATCTAAGAGAAAAGTAAAACTTATCTTATATCCCTATACCTACAAAAGTGAGAAAATGAAAAATAGAGTCAGTGGTCTTTGAATTTTAAGAAAAATGGGACAGAGGAGGATTCTTTAGGGAAGAGATAAATATCCCCACATTTAACAGGTACATTGTGTCTAGGTCATTGCACTCCTTTTGTCGTGCTGCCTTCACAAACTAACACAGGCGTGGGTGGCTTAAAGCAACAGAAATTTATTATCTTACATTTCTGGAGGCTGGAAGTCTGAAGTCAAAGTGTCAGTAAGGCCAGGCTCTCTCTGAAGCTTCCAGGGGAGGATCAGTTCTGTGCCTTTCTCTGTGTTTCTGATGATGCCAGCAATCCTTGGCATTTCTTCATTTGCAGGCATATTGCTCCAGCTCTGCCTCTCTCATAACCTGGTGTTTCTCCCATTGTCTGTGCTCACGTTGCCTTCTCTGCGTGGGTCTGACTCTGTGCCTCTTCTCACAGGGAAACCGGTCATATTGGATCAGGGCCCCCCTAAAGACCTCATCTTAACTTGATTACATCTGCAGAGATCCTATCTTCAAAAAAGGTCACACAAGTACCAGGCAGGGTTCAGACTTGAACGTGTCTTTCTGGGAGATGTAATTCAGTCCACAAGGGTCACGTGAATGCCTCTTCCTGCTGTATTCAGTTTCCTATAAGCCCGGCTCCTTTAGGCGTCTTCTTTGATCATCTGCGGTATGGGCTGAAAGAACCACTAAAATGGCTTATGCTCATGCTGGAGTGGAAGGACTTGGGGAAAATGTTTATCAATGGAGTAAATGATGGATGATACAGAGAAACACAGAACCAAGCTTCACGTTGAATAATCCAGAGTGTTTCCAGACAGGAGAAACAATCTGAGCTAAGAGGAAAGGGGGATCTTCCTGAATTTCTGGATTTTAAAGGAAGATATAATTGGGTTAGCAGAAGTTAATACAGGTGCCTTTCATATGATCATCGTCCACTAAGAAGCACATATTAGGCTGGGTTGCAATAGCTCACGCCTGTAATCTCAACACTTTGGGAGGCTAAGGTGGTAGGATGGCTCGAGCCCAGGAGTTCAAAACCAGCCTGGGCAACATAGCAAGATCTTGTTTCTACAAAAAATAAAAATAAATTAGCGGGGAGTGGTGGCACATGCCTGTGGTCCCAGCAACTATGGAGGCTGAGGCAGGAGGATTGTTTGAGCCCTGGAGGTTGAGGCTGCAGTGAGCCATGATTGCACCACTGCACTCCAGCCTGGGCAACAAAGTGAGACCCTGTCTCAAAACAAACAAACAAAAAAAAGGAAGCCCTCTTTACATTAGGACTCAGCACACAATCACATGTTGTTACATATGTAACTAAAAATTAAATTTGAAGGAAAATATTTTGTTTTGGGTATGCATTCCAATATTTTCTATTCTATTTCCTTTATTTAAAAATACTGATAGAGGTGTTTTATATTGATTTTATGGTGCACTAAGTTTATGGGCCACAGTTTAGACCTAAAGATGGAAATCTCCACTGAATGAGACTGAACTAGGATCCTCCTAGATCTGGCTTCTTTCCCTTTCCTCAATGCTCATTGTCCAAGGCTGCTTCAGACTACCCAGGCACTGGGACATCTGTGTGGTACAGGCCTGGGATTTGAAGCAGTCACAGCCATCTCTTCCACTGCGTTGGTGCCTGATTTTCCAGCCAGCCTGGGAGACCTCTCAAAGTTTCTGGTTCCTAATGGACAGAAGCCACTCCTGCTTCAGGCTTGCTTCTAAAAGGTCTATAAGATGGCTCTGGCCAGGCATGGTCGCTCATGCCTGTAATCCTAGCACTTTGGGAGGCCGAAGCAGGTGGATTGCTTGAGTACAAGAGTTTGAGACCAGCCTGGGCAACATGGTAAAACCTCATCTCCACTAAAAATACAAAAGTTTGCCCAGCATGGTGGTGTGCACCTGTAATCCCAGATACTCAGGAGTCTGACGCAAGAGAATCGCTTAAACCCAGAGGCAGAGGTTGTGGTGAGCTGAGATTGTGTCACTGCACTCCAGCCTGGGCAAGGAGACTTTGTCTGAAAAAAAAGAAAGAAAAAAAAAACATGGCTCTTACCTGGACGAAACAAGTGGGAATTGATTGGTGTTTTGCTTCTGCTAAAGAAGGAAACAAACCCACCCTATCCCTTGATGAAGAAATCTCATTGGCAGCTACCATTTTAAAGGACATCAGTTCCCTCAGGCTTCTCAACAGTCTGCAATTTCAGGGAGAACCAAAACAGGGGGAAGAAGGATGTTTATGCTTTTTCAACAGAAGAGACGGAATTCCCATTCTCTTCTAGATGCAATCAATACTGGTCCAAATGGAAGATACCTGAAATGCCACCCTTCAGTTGGGAAGAAGGAGAAATAATAGCTTGATTCTTGCATTGTGTGTTTGCTGTATTGTTTAAGAATATTCAATCCAACTATGGACAATAAGAAAAAGAAACAAATGAGGGGGATATGCACAATTCAATATAGGGGCTGTCATACCTAGATAAGGTAGAGAAAGCATTATGTGAAGAACACAGAAAGGAATGGAAGAGGCCGGGCATGGGCTAAATAGTAACAGACCACATTAGACAGCAAACATTTGTCACAAACTGAACACACAGAAGGTCCCCAAATCAATGATGCATTAAATATTCGTGAGTCAAAAACTGTACAGCCATAAAACATTTAGAAGAAAACAGGAAAATATACATGGGACACTCAAAGTACTTAATATTAATGATGCTGATAGGTATCACCTATTCTTGAAATATGTGTCCTTAGAACAAGAGAGGTAAGTAAGATACTTGATCAACAGGTGAGGGTAAGCCTCAGCCATTGATGTAGTGCACCTGTTCCGGGGTCTCTTAATAGTGCAAGTGTGTTGTGCTGGCCCCAGGCATCTCAGACTGTTGGGTCTTTTTGTGTAACATCCACACTATTGCTTGTATCCACAATAGACCACTGTTGGGAGGAAGAGAGAAAGAGAGAGGAGAGAGATGAACAGAGGAGGGGGAGTGGGAGAGAGAGAAAGAGAGAGAGAGAGAGAGAGAGAGAAAGAGAGAGAGAGAGAGAGAATGTAAGCATCACATAATCCAGGATTGAAGTACTGGTGTGGTCCTTCCCCTGCTTGCGTGGTATCCCAAGAAGTGTGTTAACTTTTCCTACCTGATTCCCTTGCTTCTGTTTCTCCTTCTTTTCTTTTCTTTCTTTTTTTAAAAAACAAGTCTTGTTGAGATATCAGTTACCATCATGACCACCCTGTTGCAGTGCATAATTCAGTGTTTTTTTAGTATACTCAGAATTGCAACATCACCATTATCTAGTTTTAGAACACTTTCATCACCCTCAAAGAAACTCCCTGCCCCAGAGCAGCCATTCTCATTTCCTCCCAATTCCTCAAGCACCTAGCTTCCATTATTCAGCTTTCTGTCTCTATCGATTTGCCTAGTCTGGATGTTCCATATAAATGCAGTCATCCAGTGCATGGTCTTTTGTGTCTGGCATCTTTCACTTAGCATAAGGTTTTCAGGGTTCATCCATGTGTCAGTACTTCATTTCTTTTTATTGTTAAATAATATTCCATTGTATGTATTTGCCATATTGGTTTTGTGATGGTTAACATCGAGTGTCAACTTGATTGGATTGAAAGATGTGAAATATTGTTCTTGGGTGTGTCTGTGAGGGTGACGCCAAAGGAGATTAACATTTGAGTCAGTGGACTGGGAAAGGCAGACCTACACTCAATGTGGCTGGGTACCATCTAGTCAGCTGCCAGCATGGCTAGAATAAAAGCAGGCAGAAGAAGGTGGAAAGATTAGACTGGTTAAGTCTTCTGGCCTCCATCTTTCTCCATGCTGGATGCTTCCTGCCCTGCCCTCGAACATCGAACTCCAAGTTCTTC
Organism: Homo sapiens; assembly: GCF_000001405.40. Taxonomy (NCBI): domain Eukaryota; kingdom Metazoa; phylum Chordata; class Mammalia; order Primates; family Hominidae; genus Homo; species Homo sapiens. The sequence continues at coordinate 128,181,308 of NC_000012.12, read as the reverse complement.
AGCTTTTGGACTCTTGGACTTACACCAGCGATTTGCCAGGGGCTCTTGGGCCTTTGGCCACAGACTGAAGGCTGCACTGTTGTCTTCCCTACTTTGGGGGTTTTGGGACTCGGACTGGCTTCCTGGCTCCTCACCTTGCAGACAGCCTATGGTGGGACTTCACCTTGTGATCCTGTGAGTCAATACTCCTTAATAAATTCCTTTCCATATATACATCTATCCTATTAGTCCTGTCCCTCTAGAGAACCCTGATTAATACATGTTTATTCATTCGCCAGTTGATGAACATTTGAGTTGTTTAGTCTTTTTGTGGATAATGCTATGAACATTCATGTACAATTTTTATGCTCTCCTTCTTGCTATATGTTTCTTAACAAAGCATTTACTTTGAGCATCTTAATTTGGTCTGTAAGCCTCTTGGATGCAGGACCCCCTAGAATAGCATGCTTGGAAGCGTATCTGGGGGGCGCCATAGCACTAGGTAATTTCCCACAAGACAATTCTATTCTGTGGCCATCCAAGATGCTGCCTTCCAAGGAATGTTTGGTTATGGGAAATAAATGCCAATTCACAAGTTGTAACTAAATGGGAAAATCAGTGCCTTGAATATAGATGAAATTAATAAACGCTTCACAAGGAAGCTGCAGGAGCAATATCTGTATCAAAGCTCCCACTACCTAACTGGTTACAGTCCAGCTTCTAAGACTCCAGGCTAATAAGCCCAGCCTTGACTCCTACTAGATCCTATATATGCTAAGCACTGTTTGCCTCCCTTTGTGCAACCAAGAGATTCCTGCAAAGCCTGTGTGTGTAGATAGCAAATGGTCATCTGCACAGCCTGGCAGCTACAGACATGCTGCATTTCTTGTATATAATGCCCCTCATCAGAATTTAGCAAGAAGAGACTCTGAAACAGTCACATGACCATCCTGAACCAATCACTGTAGCCAAGGGATGGCATACATTGATTGGCCACACTTGTGTCATGTGACACCCCCACCCTGCCTCCAAATGGAGGGTATTCGAATTTAGAGTGGGCAGAGGTGGATTCCCAGTGAAAATTCCATGTTATTTTTGAATCTCAGGAGAGGATACAAGTTAGGGAAGAAAATACTACACACAGCAGGTGTGCAGGATACTTATCCACATTTCTGAATTTTCAGGAGCATTTAGAATTTAGTTTCTGAAAGTGTTCAGTAGACATGAATCACAAGACACGTTCTATCTTTTGGTTAGAAACTATTTTTTCATACATAAATCTTGTAAAATATTTTCTTCAGAAGAAAACAACATAAGCATAAAATGATATATACATACAGATACACTCAAATGAGTGTGTGAATGCATGTGTACACACACAAACACACACACACACAGAGTAATTTGAGCAACAATTTATTTTAGAGTACCAGCCACTCTCCCAACCCTGACTGATATGGTTAGGCTTTGTGTTCCTACACAAACCTCATCTTGAATTGTAATCCCCAGGTGTTTAAGGAGAGACCTGGTGGGAAGTGATTGGATTATGGAGGTGGTTTTCCCCATGCTGTTCTCATGATTATGAGTGAGTTCTCACAAGATCTGATAGTTTTATAAATGGTAGTTTTTCCTGCACTGACATGCATTCTGTCTCTCACCTGCTGCCACGTAAGGCACACCTGCCTCTTTTTCACCTTCTGCCATGAGTGTAAGTTTCCTGAGGCCTCCCCAACCATGCAGAGCTGTGAGTCAATTAAGCCTCTTTCCTTTATAAATTACTCAATCTCAGTGGTATTCTTTATAGCAGTGTGAGAACAGACTAATACAGTGACCCTGGTGTCTAGAGTTATATTTTATTCATAGGTTCATTGCTATTTGATTCCTCACTGTCTATCAATCAATATGCTTACCTGTTTCACTCCTATTTCTATTTCTGAAATGCCAGCAATGATTAAGAATTTTTTATAAAGATTTTCCCAAAGCCTCCTGCATGAATGTGTCTTTTAGTCTGTTAAGAAACCCATTTCGACATCTGCCCTTGGATTGAGTTTTTAAAGATCCTTGACATTTATTGACAGACAGTAATTATTCTGAAGACACTGACTCCTGCCAAGTGCATGACTTGCCACTGAGTCATCTTCTCCATCCACAACCACTCCCCTTGCAGTGCCATTTACAGGAAGGAAAATTTCAGTTTACTCCACGCTGTGCTCACTCCTGGCCCCCTTTAAGGATGGCTCTCTGCCTATTTTCTTCTTGGATGGATCTTGAGGATGTCAGAATTGAGGAGAGAGGCCCAGGTCATTAGCATTGAGGAATAAATTGCTAGCGAAGCCAAGCCATGGATTCAGTATGAGGATACACCCTGAGAATTAAGGTGGCTGGAAATTTGGTTCTCTCAAGCATACTAAGCAAAAGGCAATTGCCTAATTTCATGTCCAAGTCAGGATGGATCCGAGGGGGACATGGGATACTACCAACACATAGACTGTGAGAGTAGACATAAACTGAATTTCCCTGGGTGAACCAGGCGGTATAGACACTTGCCTAAGGGGCATTTCCCTACCTTCACATTTTTTCTGAGACAGGGCCTTGGTATGTTGCACAGGCTGGAGTCCAAGGGAGTGATCACAGCTCACTGCAGCCTTGACCTCCCATGCTCCAGTGATCCTCCCACCTCAGCCTCCCGAGTAGCTGGGACTACAGGTGCATGCCATCATGCCCAGCTAATTTATTTTATTTTATTGTAGAGATGACGTCTTGCTATGTCGCTTAGGCTGGTCTCAAACTACCCACCTCAAGCAATCTTCCTGCCTCAGTCTCCCAAAACTCTGGGATTACCACCACACCTCCTACTTTCACATTTTAGCTCTTACTGTTCACTCACCTTGGAATATCTCTCCTCTCTTTGTTAGCACACTTTATTCAGCTCAATGCCACCTCTTCTCCATAGCCCTCCCACACACAATTGAACTCCCACCAACATTGCTCACAGCTGGCAATGTTTCCCCACCACTGTTTTTCATTTCTGCAGGGGCTTCCCTGGAGGATCCAGTCTCAGCTGGTTGCTCCTCACATGTGATCCCTGCCTTGAAGCCTGGTTCCTGGATGGAGGAACACAGCATCTCTATTGCTTCTCTGTTCTCAGAGCCACCACAGCACTTACCAAAAGCGGTAGGCGATGTTTGCATGTGAGGATACACATTCCCTATATTGGGAAACCGAGGATGTGTCAAAGATTGCCGAGTGACTGATTCCCAAAACTTGGAGTAGAGAAATTTTTTAAAATTAAAATTTGAATTTTTAATCTTAAGTACTGGTTTTAATTTTTACCTAGTGAATACCTTGAATTAAACATCCCTATTTAACTAGTAGTCTATTCCACTGCGCATTATTTACAATAGACCATTAATGAAAACAACAGATATCCAAATGATGGGTGTATCCAAAGATGCCCTCAGAGGCATAAATTCTTGCATTATTAAAAACATTACTTAAAAAACATGAACTGATAATGTGACTGAAAACTTTAGAAAAAAATAACATTAAAATAATTTATATAAAAAAGTCTCCCAGGATTATTTGCATGATATAATACATTTAAATAAACATTTTCTTTTAGAATAGTTTTACATTTACGGAAAAGTTGCAAGATAGTAGAGAGTGCCTTCATACCCCTCACTTAGTTGTCACCATTGTTAATATCCTATGGGAGTGTGGTACATGGATCATAGCTAACAAGCCAATACTTACACGTGATATTAACAAACTCCACACTTTATTCAGATTATTTCTGTTTTCCCCTAATCTCCTCTTTCTCTTCTAGGATCTCATCCCACCATATCACACTTAGGTGTCATGGCTAGACTCCCTCATCGGTACCTAGAGGTAACTTGAGGTGTATTCAATTTATAGAGCACTCTGTGGAAAATTAAACAGCTCACCAAAACTGTGTCTTTCAGCCCATTAACACGGTTTACATCTATTTATTTAGGTCTTTTAATATCTCTCAGCCATATGTTCTAGCTTTTGGGGTAAAGATCTTTTCATGAAATTTATCCCTACATATCATAAACTTTTAGGTTCTGTAGTAAATGGTATTTTAAAAAAATCCTTTTAAATTTTTGTTGCCGGTAAATAGAAAAATACTTGTTTTTTTGTATAATGCCTTTAATCTAGCACTTTATCATGGTAGTTTTTTTGTTTGTTTGCTTGCTTGTTTTAAATTTTATTTTAAGTTCTGGGATACATGTGCAGAATGTGCAGATTTGTTACATAGGTAAACGTGTGTCATATCCCGGTAGTTTTGCTTGTTTTTGCCATTCTGATGTATGTATAGTAGTATCTCATGGTTTTAACTTGCATTTCCCTAGTAGCTAATGCTGTCGAGCATCTTTTCACTTGCTTATTTACCAGTGATATATCTTCTCTGGTGAACTGTCTGTTGAATCTTTTGCTCACTGTTTTCATTTGCTCATCTACAATGGGTATTGTTAATCTACTATTTGAAGTTTTGTTGGACTAGTTGATGAAAATGTATACATTATTATTAATTTACATTTTAAATGATAGGTTAGATTGAACCACTTTTTTCTGTATGTCTATTGGTCAAGTGTAGTTCTTCAGGTAAGAGTTTACCATTTGAGTCTTCTGTCTTTGTACGTGTAGCAGTGGAGATGGGATTATTAATTGGTGGCATGTTACTTAATTTTGAGTCATGTTTGCATCCAGAACCAAAATGTTTAAGATGCACAGAACCCCAGCTCTGTGGAAAGTATTTTAACAATTTTCTTATGCCCCATCCATGTCCCAAATATTAGGATATTTGCCTTTTTATTATTGATTCAAAAGTGCTCTTCATATATTGGAAATATTATCCCTGTGTCTCTTAATTTGAGAAGGTTTTCCTTGGGGAGACTCAGGACTGCGCTCTGCTGAGAAAGTCTGGTAATTATTGTGCTTCTTAATGAACTGAGGTGTATTTCTAGTTGGGCCCATGGACTGAATCCGATCAGAGAAGTTAACTTGCAAAGCTCTCTCATTAGCAGATTGCTTTGTAGATGCATTTTTCCTGGTAACAGTAAAATAGCTTCATTCAAATGGCAAAAAAAAAAAAAAATGGAAATATAAATGAGTCTAACTCGGATTCCCAGTTCTTTGTGTCATAAAAGAAAAAGAAAACAGTCAAATGAAGAAAAAAATCCTGGATTTATGCTACAACTTCCATGTGTTTTTTTATATCAGAGAAGGAAGTGTGAAGACAGAAATGGGAATATATATCAATAATGAAACACCAAATGTCTATGGTATTGAACCAATCTAAAGCTTTCCACATAATATTATCAGAAATTGGAAGTGGAAAGCAAAAACAAGATTTCATCTCCTCTCCTAGCCAGTCCAACACCATCATCTGCTCCGTGTCTGCTGCCTACTTTACACATGGATCCCTTCACCCTGCCCCTGCAGAAAAATCCGGGTCCTGGAACTTTGGCCTCAATAGCAGAGTGGTTGTAGGAAGAAGTGTTGGAAGATCCAGAGGTCAGAGCAGGTAGCCCAGTATGGTGGCTGAGCCTGGTATACCTGGTAGTTAGAGCTGGTGCCAGGATACCTGCCTGGGCCAAGTCCTGGTTCTGCTATCCAACAACTGCAAGGGGAAGGTCATGGTCAGGATGTAGACTGCACTCACCTGGTGCCAGAGACTGTTCTATATTCTTTACTCCTATTCATCCACATAATCCTTGCAACAACCCATGTGGCAGATTTTTATTTGTATTATATAAATGGGAAACTGAGGCACAGAAGGTCAAATAACCTGCCTAAAATTACAGAGCTAGTTAGTGAGAGAGCTAGAATTCAAACTCTGGCGGTCTGTTTCCAAAGTCTATGGATCATAAGACACGTTCGATAGATATCAACCCAACAGACCACCAAAAGATATGAACTGTCTGTCTCTGGCCATCTCTGTGACATTGAGCAGGCTATATAAATAGACTTCTGAATGCCAGTTAGCAAAATTTTTCAAATATTTTTATAGTGCCAAGAAAGTGCTGCTTGACTGGGATTATTAGGAATTGCCTTGCGTTTAGAAAGCATGACATATGCCACCATTATATTCAGAGCAATGGCAAAGAGTGATTAAATGTACCAGCTCCCAGACATGAGATTCAAAATAATTTTTAGCTGGTATGGCATAGGCTTTGGCAAACCAGAATATCTGGAACCTAACCTGTGGGCTACGTGCAGTAAACAACTCGTATGGTATCTCACGCATCTGCTCAGTATCAGCCCTGTCAGTTCTGGAATCAGAAAGACTTTGGTTTACATTTGGGCTTTGCCATGCATAGGTTGTAGACTTTGGGCATATCAAGTCACTTCTCTCAGCCTCAGTTTTCCCATCTGTGAAATGGATGAGTATGCTAGCAGTTGGTTTATAGAGATGCCATAGGGAATAAATAGCCATGTTGAGCTTTTAGCATGATATCTGGCATATATCAAGGTCAATAACAATTTATTAATACTACTTGACCAATCAAGATATAGAGGTCAAATATAGCAGACACTTATCAATGTTGAAATGAAGACTAGAACATGGAACTCTGCCTCCAGGCATGGTGTTGCCATGGCAGGCAGAGTGCCATCCTAGGGTGGAACTCAGATTCTAAGACATGGCCTGGGAATGGTTACTTTGCATCACCCAGGGGCTCACACATCTCATTGAATGCAGGACTAGAACTTGGGTTTCTGCTTCCAGGGCTGTTTTTACAGTGGTAGAGTGTGACCAGGGTGTGATTCAGACTCTAAGACATGCATGGCCTGGGTCTGTCTAATCCACAACATCCATCTAGTCACATATTACATTAGCTAAGTAATTAGTCTGTGTTTTGTTGATACTAACGATAGACAATTGATTTGAGTCAGAATGTCCCAGGTTCACCTAGGTTGGCAACATAGTACACAGGTGATAAAGAATAAACCTTGGAGTCAGATTGCTCTAATACTGCCTGGGCCACTACAAACCTGAAGGATTTTGAACAACTTAACTCCTCTCCACCTCAGTTTCTGCCTGCATAATATAGGGAACTTGATAAAATTTAAACCTCATCATATAAAGTGGTTGTGGGGATTAAACAAGCTATGCATGCCAAAGCTTAGCCTAGTGGGCACTTGTTCCAGCCTGGATCAATCAAGACAGCAGACACTATTCAACCTCCAAACAGAAAGAATTTAATAGAGTAGATTGATTATGCAGGTGACTTAAAGACTGAGAAGCCAAACAGATATTATGAAGCAACCAATAGGTAAGTGTGATGGTTAATATTGAGTGTGAACTTGATTAAATTGAAGGATGCAAAGTATTGTTTCTGGGTGTGTCTGTGAGGGTGTTGCCAAAGGAAATTAACTTTTGAGTCAGTGGATTGGGAGAGGCAGACCCACCCTCAATCTGAGGGGCACAATCTAATCAGCTTTGAGTGTAACTAGAATAAAAGCAGAAAGAAGAACATGGAAGGACTAGACTTGCTGAGTCTTCTGGCCTCCATCTTTCTCCCATTTTGGATGCTTCCTGCCCTCGAACATCATACTCCAAATTCTTCAGCTTTTGGACTCTTGGACTTACCCCAGTGGTTTGCCAGGGGTTCTCCGGCCTTTGGGCGCAGACTGAAGGGTGCACTGTCGACCTCCCTACTTTTGAGGGTTTGGGACTCAGACTAGCTTCCTTACTCCTCAGTTTTTCAGATGACTTATTGTGGGACTTCACCTTTTGATTGTGTGAGTCAATTCTCCTTAATAAACTCCCTTTCATGTATACATCTACCCCATTAGTACTGTCCCTCTAGAGAACCCTGACTCATACAGTAAGCAGCTACAGGAAGCTGCTGTCCTCCAGGGCAGGAAGAGGGGCTGTTTATAGTGCCCAGGATCCAGGACACTTGATGGAAGCTGGAACCACAGTGGGCTGCCCAGTAGAAACTGAGACCACAGAGGGAGAGATGTCGGATGTCTGGTGTAGCTGGAGTCCTGGAGGAGATGTGGTCACACTGGCAGTTCTACTGAGGCAGACAGAGAGGAGGAGGAGAAGTACACTGGATTCTCCCTTCCTCCCACCCTCCAACCACCCACCATGGGATGATTCCAGCCAGAAGCCGGTATTACCCTTCCCAGCATAGGAATATCAGCTATTAATGTACATGGTGGACGCAGACTCTCATCTGCAGGTGATCAGTTAAGAATCAACTGTTTAGACCCTGGCACTCTCCTAGACCTTGGTACATGGCTTTACTAAAGCTCTCATGATATTTTGTCATCATTTGTGTGACCACGATTTTTCTAATATATTGTGATCTGTGATGGTTAATATTAAGTGCCAACTTGACTGGATTGGAGGATTTCAAGTATTGTTCTTGGGTGTGTCTGTGAGGGTGTTGCCAGAGGAGATTCATTTTTGAGTCAGTGGACTGGGAAAGGCAGATGCACCCTCAATGTGGGTGGGCACCATCCAATCAGCTGCCAGCTCGGCTAGAACAAAGCAGGTGGAAGAAGGTAGAATGAGCAGACTTGCTGAGTCTTCCAGCCTCCATCTTTCTCCCATGCTGGATGCTTCCCACCCTTGAACATCAGACTCCAAGTTCTTCAGCTTTTGGACTCTTGGACCTACACCAGTCATTTGCCAGGGGCTCTTGGGCCTTTGGCCACAGACTGAAGGCTGCACTGTCAGCTTCCCTACTTTTGAGGTTTTGGGACTCAGACTGGCTTCATTGCTCCTCAGCTTGCAGACAGCCTATGGTGGGACTTTACCTTGTGATCGTGTGGGTCAATTCTCCTTAATAAACTCCCTTTCATGTATACATCTATCCCATTAGGTCTGTTCCTCTGGAGAACCCTGACTCATACATGACCTCAATCACCCTTTCAGCTTCCAGTGCTGCTGTTGGGAAGTCAGATGCCTGTGACCCCTGATCCTTGGTGTGCAACTTGTATTTTCTTTCTGGAAGCTTCTAAAATATTATTCTTACCTCTATTCTTCTAAAATGTCATGATAATGTGCCTGAGTGTGCATATTTTTTAAACCTTTTTAAAATTCATAATTCTAGATCCTTGATGAAACCTTTTAATTTGGAAATAATTGTGATTCATATTTCCAATTTTTCTTTATTTATGCAATCATTTTCTCTCCCTGGTTTCTGCATTCTCTCTTTTTGGAACTCTCCTCATTTGAATATTAAAATTCCTGACTAGATCCTCTAAGTCTGTAACCATCTCTTTTCTTTCATCCTTATACTTGGTTTTTTGTTTGTTCTTCTTTTTTTGTTTGCTTTTCTTTTTAATCTACTCTCTGGGAGGTTTTATCAACATAACATTTCCCTACTTTTTACAAATTTTATATAGCTACTATTTTATTTTAATTTCCGAAAGCCTTTCTTGTTCTTTGAATGTGTAATATAAATATAATTTAAAATTGTCTGTATATTATACTGTTTTGACATATTAAAAAAACCTTTCTTAGTGGGAAGACACTGCCTTTTTAGGGGCTAGCCAATTTTTAGATAGCAAAGGGCCCAGCCCTGGGCATGCCCTTGATATGCAAAGTAACCAATCCAGAGCCAGCCCTCGTCTCTCTGGTCCATACACCTGCAAAGGCAATATTGTTCTCTCTTAATTATTCTAGGGCCAGATATCAGGCAACCAGGATGTTTCCCTACAGCTTAGAGCCCTCCAGAATATTCTAGCTGGCCACTTCTCACCTGCTCACCTGTCCTGCCTTGCCTTCCCTCAGATGCCCCAAGAAAGGCCTTGTCTGTATCTTCCCAGCACTACTGCTTCCTGCCTCCTGACCACCTGGTGTCTTTCCCACATGGTTCTGTGTGGCCTTCTGGGCCTCCTGCCACTAGGACCTGTGAGTGCCATCACCTTCATCTTCCTGAGCCTCTCCTCCATCTCCTCTCCTGGATGCACCTGACTGGCCTCTTAGAAAAGGACATAAAGCAGTTCGTTTTCACAGAAAGAACATCATCTTTCCAAGTTCACAGACTTGCATAAAAATATTAATGAGTTTTTCTTAAAGATTTCTTATGCCTGCATGGTTTCTTTTCTTTCAGATGCCTTTCTTGTGTTTTTTCCCTCAAATCTCCATCTTTCCTGTTAACTCCTTGCTGTCATTCATATTCAAGGAGGATGCACTGAAAGCTGACCAGAAGCTCTGGAGGTGTGGACACTGCTTGACCTCCACGAAGCTTCATGAAGTGTGATCTGCCTGGGTTCTGACCAGAAGCTCTGGAGGCATGGACGCTCTTGACCTCCGTGAGGCTTCATGAAGTGTCATCTGCCTGGGTTCTGACCAGTAGCTCTGGAGGCCTGGACGCTGCTTGACCTCTGTGAGGCTTCATGAAGTGTCATCTGCCTGGGTTGTCATGGCCTGCACACCTATCCATGCGTGTTCATTTCTCCAGGCTTAAGTCTGCTCAGAGAGGCATCCTTGACTCCCCAGCCTGCAGCAGGCTGCTGTGCAGGAAGACTGCCTGCCCGGGAGAGCTTTGGGCATCAGGGTTCTGGGAGAGACTCACCATTCTGTCAGTGGACTTGCACACAATCTCTATTTCTTCTCCCTTGACCAGGCCTAGAGTCTGAGTCTAGGATCCCTCTGGCTTTTCCTTCCCATAGAGCAAGCTCCAGTCTTCTATGGGGCAGCAAGAAGGGATATTGTCTGGCACCACATTCAAGAGGGAGAGATTTTGGAAGGGTCTAAGCTTTTAGGGAACGCCCCCATTTCCTGCTCCACTCATTGCCTCACTCTCGGAGGCATGCTACATGCCTTCAGTGTCGATTCCTGCAACGACTTGAGGGTGGAATGCGGTTGCCTGTTGGAGCTTCCAGCCCAGGCTTGGTTTCAGCTTTCTCCGGCTTGCTAAGTCAGCCACCATGCCAGCCAGTATCCAATTCCCCCATTATCATTGCCTGCATCTCCCTTTTCCCATTTGCTTGGTCCTTTTATTCCTGCTCCGCCCACCCCTTTGCAATTCTTTTACAGCTGTCGTGTCTGGGGATTTCAGAAAGGAGTTAAGGTAAGCTTGTGCACTCAATTGTCTATGTTTAACCAAACATACTGGATTGTATGGAGGGACGATCATGTTAACAGTTCTGTGTACTTCTGAGCATTCAGGAACCCACCCCCAAAGCTGCCAATTCCATAGAAGGGTTGTGCTGAATGAGCAGCCACTCACAAGGCAGCACTGTGAAAATGAATGAGCATCGTCTCTGGAACTAGACAGCCAGGTATAAAGCCTTAGACCACTTTTTCTTGGCTGTTTGGCCTTAGGTAGATTTATTTACCTTCTCTATGCCTACATTTCTCATGCATGAAGAAGGAATGATGATTAAATAACATATCCATAGGTGTTTTTCTGAGAATGAAAATGGTAAGTGCTTCAAACAGGGCTAGGCACTGATGCTTAAACCTTACTCTTGTTTTCCTGCAGGTGAAAGGAAGGGTTGTCACCTGAAGTTTGAAAAGCATTCACTCAAACCTTTATGAGCAGCTCCAAATAAGTTGCAGACAACTACGAAGACCAAGCTTGGCTGATATTTTCCTAATTGCTCCTTCTTCTTTTCTCATCCATTTATTCTCATCCCTCCAGTGACATAAGTTAGGGGAGCGGCGTCTGCCTTTATTTTTACGGCCTTGTTTTCTTGGTTGGTGTCACACTATTAAATCAAATTCACATCCTGGCCTTTAGAAATTCAGCCTAACTGTGACTTTAGTATCTCTGCAGATGGATGAGGGCAAAAGCCATCAGGAAGATGGCTTAAAGTGAAATCCCCTTTCCAGCAGCCCAGAAGACAAATGGAGAGGCGTCGATTGTCACCAGTCAAAAGGTCCATTAGCATTTCCTTTATTTTAGAAATACTTCAGACGCTTTCTTACCCATGCTGGGCATTTCATGTTTGACTTCTTTTTATGTCTTGCTCCATCGACAGAACCCAGACCTTGGGAGTGACCACTGAAGAAATGCTTTTGGAGCAGAATGATCATGGCTCCTGGATTGGGTTAGATGGCTCATTTGATGTTTAACAGGCCTTCTGATGCTACTGCTCAGTATGTGTGCTGCTGGAATAGTGCAATTGAAGTTTCTCTTTTTTTTCTGAAGTCCAATTCATCTGATTAGATTTAAAGTTAAAAGAAAGTGTTTTGATGACTTTGTCTGAATATCTGTCTCATTTCTAGGACGTTCTCTCTCTACCTCTATTTCATCTACTAATCTAATCTTTGTTCCTCTCTTTTTATTTTCCTCTCCTTCTCTCACTCCCTCTCTCTTTCTTAATTTTATTCTTTCTTTCTTTCATTCATTCACTCGTCATCACAGCATGCTCAACTGTGTGTCTTTGGTTTCGTCCCCTCCTCTTTCTGGGAGTCAGTTTCTGAGTCCGTCCTCCACTCCAGCAAATTACAATCCACAAGATACGAGGTCCTTGTCTCCAGCAGCTCAGAGTGCAGATAAATATAAGCCCAGCAAATTGCCCCTCTGTGTGAAAAGCCTGGGGTCCCAGCTGTGCCAACAGGTGGTGATGGAGATGATGATGGTGGTAGCAGAGGTGGGAGGTGGTAACACCAAGAAGAGGAAAGCCACTGCATTCAGGAGAGTCAGGGGAACTTTCTCTTGGGAAATGACATTTGCATTGGGCCATGTTGAATGCAGAGAAGTTTAATACATGGAGAAAGGAGAAAGGGGAATGAGTCGTGAAAGGAAAGGTTATGTTGAAAATAGTGAGGTAGTTCATGTGGATGAAGCCCTGGGAAAAGGGATGAGGGGGAAAGACAGGAGGTGATGCTGGGGAATTGCATCCAGAGGATAGACCTGGGTTTGTCAAATCAATGACGTCAGAGACTCAGCTGGTATTATTGTAACCATTCAATGGGTTCACCTTGCCAGCTGCCTAGACAGAACGGATTTATCAAGACAAGGGAATTTCAATGGAGAAAGAGTAATTCACGGACAGCCAGCTGTGAGAGAGACCGGAGTTTTATTGTTACTCAAATCAGTCTCCCCAAGCATTCAGGGATCAAAGTTTTTAAAGATAATTTGGTGGGTAGGGGCTTGGAAAGTGGGGAGTGCTGATTGGTCAGGTTGGAGATGGAATCATAGGGGGACAGAGTGAGGTTTCCTTGCTGTCTTCTGTTCGTGGGTGTTATCATAGAACTGGTTGAGCCAGATTACTGGCCTGGGTGGTGTCAGCTGATGGATCGAGCACAGGGCCCGCAAAATATCTCAGCCACTGATCTTAGGTTTTACAATAGTGATGTTACCCCCAGGAGCACTTTGGGGAGGTTCAGACTCTTGGAGCCAGAGGCTCCTACAGACCCCTAAACTGTAATTTCTAATCTTACAGCTAATTTGTTAGTCCTGCAAAGGCAGCCTGGTCCCCAGGCAAAAAGGGGTCTTTTCAGGAAAGGGATGTTATCAATTTTGCATCAGAATCAAACCATGAACTGAATTCCTTCCCAAAGTTAGTTCAGCCTATGCCCAGGAATGAACAAGGACAGCTTAAAGGTTAGAAGCAAGATGGAGTCGGTTAGATCTGATCTCTTTTACAGTCATCATTTCCTCAGTTATAATTTTGCAAAGGCAGTTTCATCATGAAAATGTCTTATGGGTGGGGTAATGCTAGAGAGTGGTGAGGATTGTGGTCAACCATTGCTCACCTATGCTTGTTGGAGATGAACATTGGGTTGGCAAAACAAAACATGTCCACTGGGCCACACATTTATAGCTCCTTTGGACTGTATCCCATACACAGAAAGGAGTCAGAGAAAAGCAGTAAATAAGGCATTACATACTCATGCTTATTGTCTGTTCATTTTATGTCTTGGGCCAATGCTTTGGCCCTACAACAAACATTTGATCTTGAGGTGGTATAAAAAATCACTCAGCATCTCCATTTGGCCTGATCCCGTAGGCGTGGTGGCCAGAGAAAGATTCCTAGTGCTCCTAGCATTCTTCATCCCATCCTGGGACATAATCTTCATTGTAGGAAAATTTCCCAAATATCTGCCACTTCCAGACCTGTAGTGATCAAAATACCGTCCCTCACAGATGTCCATTTCCTGATGTGAATGTGTTACCTTAGGTGGCAAAAGAGACTTTACAGGTGTCATTAAATTAAGGATCTTAAACTGGAGAGTATCCTGGACCGTCCAGGTGGAACCAACACAATCACTAGGCTTCTTATAAGAGGGAAGCAGGAGGGTTAGTGTTAGAGAAGAGATACGATGGTGGCAATAGAGGTCACAATGATGAGAGAACACGAAACAAGGAATGCCAGGGGTCTCTAGGAGTTGGAAAAGGCAAGAAAACAGAATTTCTTTCATATCATCTACAGAAGGAGTGCAGCCCTGCAGCACCTTGGTTTTAGGCTTCTGACCTCCAGAACTATAAGATAATAAATCTATGTTTCTCTAAGCTGCTGAGTCTGTGTTGATTTGTTACAGTAGCAATGGGAAACTAATATGATTTCCTTCACTGAGTGATCTGTGCGGGCCAGGATGAGACCTTGGGTGGATTCTAATGGCATATCCTTTCAAGGAAAAAGAAGTCTGCTTGCAACATAACAGACCACTGTTCACCCAGGCGTTGAAAAACTTTAGTGGTTGGCTGCCTTAAAGGTATGTTTTTAAACGTTACTTTTTGAAGAGGACCCTGACATTGCCATAAATTCTGAATGGTACCCAGTGCTGTCATCCCGGCCCATGACTTAGGGAAAGGATCAGGAGAGTGACTGTCCAATCGCAAGCCAATTCAGTTCTACCTGCCACGCTGTATGGTCATGCATGAGAGTGTCCTTAGATCTCAGAGGCCTTGGAGACAGAGCAAAGGAAGATGAAGCCCACACAGGCTGAGGGCTGCAGGAAGGAAGGAAGTTAGGTGAAGGGAAACAACAGGCAGCAGGGGTTTGTGTTTCCATTGCCTCATGTCAGCTTTCCCAACATGTTTGTTAGAGATCCCCACATTCCTGAGGAGCTTTGATTAAGTTTTGGGGATGCCACTCTGCTTTCCATGAAAAGGAACCAGCTTTTGTGCCAGTTGCTGCAGGGAGGGCCTGTGTTTCATGTGCCCTGGTGCAGAGCATGTGCCCTGAAGTGGAATCCTAACATTGTAATTGCTGCGGGATGATTGTGGGCAAGTGACTTGGTATTCTGAGCCTTAGTTCCCTGTCTCTAAATAGGGCTAATCTTGGTACCTGATCTCAGGGTCTCTGTGGAGGGTACCTGGAAGCATGGGTAGTCTAACCCTCAGCACAAAGATCCCAGAGGATAAGGGATGCTGAATGAGGGGTCTGAGAAGGTGGGCTTGAGAGCCTGAAGATGTGGGTTAAGTCCCGCCTCCATCACTCACCAGCCAGCTGTGCAACTTGGGGCTTCTTCAGTTCTCTCTTCTGTAAAATCGGGCCAATAATAAGCCGGGACTGTGTATTACATTATTTAGAAGATGCAAGCCACTTAGAAGAGAGGGTGACTAGCAGTTGATGATGCTCCGTCTTTTTTTTTTAAATATCAGAATTGTTATTCTATAAGCACTTGGTCAGGGCGGGGGTTGCAGCATGGATAGAATTCTGTCAGCAGGATCTGATTCCTTTTAATGCTTTGCAAAATAACATTCCCAGTACCTGCAAAGAACTGAATTCAGCCAACAACATAGATGGGCTTGGAGGAAGACTCTCCCCCAGAGCCTCCAGAAAGGAGCATGACTCAGCTAATTTTGACCTTTGTGAGGGAAAAAAGCAGGTGACCTAACTAAATCATGATCCACCCAGGCTTCTGACCTAATAACTGTGAGATAAACGCATGGGCGCTACTTTAAGCTGGTATATTTTTTAGTAATTTTACATTGTAATGGATACACTATGGAAAGGAAACCAAAGAAAAGAAGCAGAAGAACTGAGAGAGATGCTGTTGCCAAGGCTCTTATAGAACATATGCAGGTTCTTATAGAACATATATAGGTATTAGTGATGATGTTGGTGATGGCAATGATGGTGGTTGTAGCAAAGTTCATGGTGGTGAAGAGGGTTGCTGGAGGTGATGACAGTGGTATTGGTGGTGATGTTGGAGATATGTAGTTATGGTAGAAATGGTGGCGATGATAGAGGTAGTAAAAATTATGTTGGAGGTGATGGAAATGATGATGGTGGAGGTAATAAAGGTGATGATGGTGGAGGTAATGGCAGAAGTGTTGGAGGTGATAACGATGGAGATAATGAAGGTAATGATGCTGGAGGTAGCAATGGAGTTTTTATGGGTAATAGTAGAGGTGATGGAGGTAATGTTGGAGTTGGCAGAGGTGGTGGAGGTGATGATGGTGAAGGTGATAGAGGTGATGATGGTGGAGGTAGCAGTGGAGTTGTTATTGGCGATGGTAGAAGTGATGAAAGTGGTGTTGGAGTTGGTGGAGGTGATGGAGGTGATGATGGTGGAGGTGATGGAGCTGATGATGATGGAGGTATCAGTGGTATTGGTGGTGATGGTAGAGGTGATAGAGGTGATGTTGGAGATTGTGGAAGTGATGAAAGTGATGATGATGGAGATGATGGAGGTAATGGAGGTGATGATGATGAAGGTAGCAGTGGAGTTGGTGATAAGTGATGGAAGTGATTGTGGTGGAGGTGATGGAGATGATGATGGTGGTAGCAGTGGTATTGCTAGTGATGGTAGAGGTAATGGAGGTGATACTGGAGATGGCAGAAGTGATGGAGGTGGTGATGGAGATTATGGAGGTGATGATGTTGGAGATAGCAATGCTCTTGTTAGTGATGGCAGAGGTGAAGGAAGTGGTGGTGGAGGTGATGGAGGTGATGATAATCGAGGTAGCAGTGGTATTGTTGGTGGTGATAGAGGTGATGGAGATGATGGAATTGGTGAAGGTGATGGAGATGATGATGGAGGTAGCAATAGAGTTGTTATTAGTGATGGCAGAGGTAATGCAGGTGAGGGAATTGGGGGAGATGATGGAGATGATGATGGTGGAGGTAGCAGTGGAGTTGGTGATGGTAGAGGTGGTGGTTGTAGGGGTGTTAGCAGTGATGGTAATGGTGGGATGGTGGTGGGGTGTCACTAATGGTGGAGGAGTGGGCCTGAGCAACTGGGGCATCTGTGAGAAATGTGCGCTTCAAAGGAAGATGAGTTTGGGGGATGTGAGGCTGGTGCTTCTCAAGAGAGCATTTGATATAATGCTTTGTCTGATCTGTTTCTACAAACAGCTGGAACATCAATTCATTGCAGGAAAACAGATTCTGTTATTTGAGCAGCTTTGAGTACCATAGATTCATGCAGAGCAAAGTAACAAACCACACACACATGTAATACCAACTCAGATGGTTAAATAACAAAACGTGCTCTTTTTCAGCCATTTATTTCGCTGCCATTTCATCTTATGCCAACGTGTTATCAAAATATTAGGCAGGAGAACCCAGTTCATATGGTAACAATGAACAGCTCAAATGACAGCGAAAGCAGAGAGGTCCATGCTTCTCAGTGCACTGACTCTGGAAAAAAATCAACCTTCTCTTTAATCAGGGCCATCCAAGGAGCCCTGGCAGGGCTCATGGGCCTGGGCTGGGCTGTGCACCAGAGGCTAAGCACCTGGAATCAGGGTCCTGGATTGGAGTGCACAGGTGCAAAGTGCTTTCTACTAGCAGAACTTCGCCTGCTGGAGCTTACAGCAAAACTGTGGTACCTCCTGTTAGTTAAATACAAATGAAGAGGGTTCAACAGCACACCAGGAGTGCTAATGGAGAAGGATTCCTATGAGCAAAACAAAACAGCAGGGTTGAATTATGAGTGAGACACAAGTGGGGGTTGTTGTCAAATGAAGTGCAGATGCAGCCTGTGGCAGCCTGCTTCTTCTCTTGTTACGAGGGTGTCCCCAACAACGCAGACTACACAGCAATGAGAACCAAATTCCAACAAACATGTCGTGTGCAGGGGAATGTGGTCTCCAGCTTCTCTGACCTGTGTGCCGCATTGTTTTTTGTACATGTGGGAGTGAAAAGCCAGATGGTTAGTTAACCTGTCTGGAAGTCTCCTCTCTAAAGTCCAACATGCAAACACCCTAAAAACTGGAAGAGCCAGTAGTCACAGGAAGAGGGGGGAGAAACAATTTGGTTCCATTCAGTGGGGGCGGCTGGCTGTACTGGCAACTAAATCCACCAGAACCTTCTCATGCCTTTTCCTAACAGCAGCAAACATGATCTTATCACCTCCTGCCTGAGGCTCCTCCAAAGTTTTCCTTTGTCAATTAGGCAGAGACCCACAAGTCTTCAGGCGGCTGTAGGGTCTGCCTGCCCTGAGGTTCTCCTCCCTGTACTTCAACATGTGCGTGTATGTGTGTGAGTGTGTATATTTATATATATATATATGGATATGGATATATGGATATGTATATATATGTGTATATGTATATTCATGTGTATAGGTAGTTATATACACAGCATACACATATATAACATAACTATATAGTTGTATATGTGTATATATAACTATATATTATTGTATTAGTCCATTTTCACACTGCTGATAAAGATATACCTGAGGCTGGGAAGAAAAAGAGGTTTAATTGGACTTATAGTACCACATGGCTGGGGAGGCCTCAGAATTATGGTGGGAGGTGAAAGGAACTTCTTACATGGTGACTGCAACAGAAAAATGAGGATGAAGCAAAAGCAGAAACCCCCGATAAACACAACAGATCTCATGAGACTTGTTCACTCTCATGAGAATAGCACAGGAAAGACTGGTCCCCATGACTCAATTACCTCCCCCTGGGTCCTTCCACAACACGTGGGAATTCTGGGAGACACAATTCAAGTTGAGATTTGGGTGGGGACACAGCCAAGCCATACCAATTATATATAGTTATATATAATGTTCTGTCTGATCCATTTCTACCTACAGCTGATTCATTCCATCAATTAACTGTAGGAAAACAGATTCATCTGAACAGCTTTGAGTAGCATAGATTCATGTAAACCCTATATATTTCTATATAGTTATATAACTGTTATATATATGTGTGTGTGCACGCTGTATATATATGTGTGTGTGTTTTTATATGTATGTATGAAGATATTTATTATAAGGTGTTGGCTTATGTGATTATAGAGGCTGGAACGTCCCAGGATCTGTATCTGGAAGGTGGAGATCCAGGAAAGCTGATGGTGCAGTGAGAAGGGCCAAGAAGTAATGGTGTAGATTTCAGATCTGGTTCTGAAGGCCCAGGAGCACTGAGGGCAGGAGAAGATTGTGTTCAACCTCCAGCAGACAGGCAGATTGTGTTCAGCCTCCCCCCGATTGTTCTATCCGGGCTGTCCGTGGCCCACCCACATGGGGAGAACAATTCTTTACTCAGTGCATCAATTCCAGTGCTCATCTCCTCTGACTGCACCTTCACAGACACACCCAGAAATCATGTGTGACCAAATATCTGGGCACCCCATGGCCCCGTCAGATTGACGTATAGCATGAAGCATTGTAGGTTGCTTCTCAGGAGCTCCTTCTGGGCCCCCTGGCTCTGGTGCCCTTGGTCTGGGTCTGTCCTGAGCCCACTCTCACTGTTGTGTCCCTGTCCCATGACAGCCCTCACCTCGAGGTGTGACAGATGCCCACTGCTCCACCAACACCTGCTCCTCCCTTGTCACAAGGAGTGTTCACTGCTGCGTCCTCAGCTCACAGCACAGTGCCTGGCACACAGTAGGTGCTCACTGTATACCCATTGAGTAAATGACTTTCCTTTAATGATCACAATAATTCTATATGGTGAGTGCTATTCGTCTCTTCCATTTAGAAGAAAATTGTTTGCAGCTGTTCGTCCTAACCTGCCCAAGATACATGGTAGTTTCCAAAACTGGCCTGACCTTCAGCATCACATTAAGATTCCATCAATGTGCCTATTCCTGGGCTCCGCCCTAGCCCTAATGAATCAGAGCCTCCAGGGTGGAGGCTGGCATTTGTACTTTTAACAACACCGTTAAACAATTCTTTTCGTAAGGAAGTTTGGGAAGTTTCGCTTAGCACTCAAGTCTGCAGAGGCAAGATGCTTATCAAATTAATTTCCCTGGTCTTTGTTCAAGCTAAAATGAATCAGCCATCTCTTCAGTGAGTATTAACCTCTGACTGAAAGACTCTCTCTCTCTGTTTTCGCCTTCTGCTCACTTCACCCATTAAAAAAAATGCATCAGAGATAGACTGTTTATCGCTCATCACCCACTCGGAGCTACAGGCCGAGATTCAAGGAGACCAGAGAGAAAAAAAATAAGTCTGTGATCGTCAGTGTTCCCTTTTCGAGAGACACAAAATAATAACTGATAAAATTAGTTTGGAGTCCTTCAGATTGCAAGGACTCGATTTATATAATATTAAATTAGCCATTATAATCAACTTTGGTGGTGTCTGCCCTCGCTATGGGAGGTCAAAGGCACTCAGAATGAAATTAGAAGATCTCCTAGCATCTGGAATTGGGTTCCTGGGGAGGTAATGTGGACGAGCATTTATCTTACAAAAATCATGTGGTCTCCAGAATCCTCCTACTCCCTGGACCCAAAATGACTCAAGCAGACGACAAAATCTGGTCACCAAGCTTCACCCCCCAAACTTCCTGGGGACTTAGAGCAGAAACAGTTATCTTGTGAAACTTGGAAGCACACTGAACACTCTGACATTGTTCAAATTGGCCAGCTTTTCCTCTCTTCTTAAGCCCAGAGACTTCAGATGACCTGGCTAGTTTGCAAGTAAAAATGCAAAAGAATATTTCCTCTCTCATTTTGCTTGGGGTTGGCTTTAGAATCAGCTGTCATGTGGAAGGTACTTGGCAGCTCAGCGTGATCTGCTCACAGGCTGGGAGCATCCACGGATCTCTCCCTCCCTGGCCCTTCTGACCTACAATGGCCATGGGAGAAGGTGGATTTATTACCTCGGGGTATGAACAGCAGAGACGGATGCTGGGTTTCCCCGAGACACCTAATATCGCTCTCTGTGATGGGCAGCTGATCCCCTCTAAACAGGATCCTAAATTATAAATCACAGTAGCAGAAAATTTCAGTGGTAGAAAAATTTTCCCCCAAGAAAAATTACTGGACTTAAGCTGCACGTCCATAGGCACCAAAAAATAAATAAGCACAAGAAAAACTGAGATGCAGTGAAAAAGTAGAGGTTGAGAGAACTGGGGGATATTTTGTAATTTGTCATGGTTTGGCAACATTCGAATCTTTTATATTTTTAAATATCACATGTATTCATCTTCCATATTCATCTCTCTGTCTATATATATCATATATATGTGATATATATGATATATATGTGTGCGTATATATGTTCGCTCCTGTATCTATATCTATATATTCCTTGTTTGCTTGTGTGAGCCGTGTATGGTTTGGAGTGTGTGTAATGAGATGGATGGAGATATATATATATATATAGAGAGAGAGAGAGAGAGAGAGAGAACATATATACACCCACATATATCACATGTATCTCACACACACACACACACACACACATACATATATATATATATAGTAGGCAGAGGATACACACATACGTTTATTCCTTAGCTCTGGCCATCTAACAAAGGCACCTCAGGTGCAATGCATGCACCTAGAGCCCATATCTTGGTCTTTAAAATCATTCATACCAAAAGGAACCAGGACTCCAGAAAGAAATGGCTGATTCCAGGGTTGGGACACAGTGGAGATAAGATGAATTTGGAGCATACTTAATACAAAAAAGTAAGAAAGTGCCCCCCCAAAATGATGGGGACATGTCACAAGTATACAGCAGTCATTTTAAAAGGCCAAATCTGGGAAAATTTGAGATGTGCTATAAGTATAGAACACACAACACATTTCAAAGACTTAGTACAAAATAAAGGTAAAGTATCTCTAATTTTTCTCTTCATTTCATGTTGAAATGATAATATTTTGGATATATTCAGTGAAATAAATTAGCAACATTAAAAATATATATGTATATTTGCGTTGTAATATATGCATGTGGCAACTAATTAAATCTAAGGTTATGATGAAATTCAAAAGTCGTCATTCCACCCTCTTCAAGTTCACATCTGTGCTTCTGCAGCCTCTTTTAGACTTTGGAGCTTTTGATTCTTCTGGCGGGTGTTTTCCTCCAGGACACTATAATATGCTTATAATGCTATTTCTATATTTACTGACTTTATAAAACATTTGTTTTCTCTTCTATGAAGGATGAGATTTTTTTTCCATTCACAAATCTCTTCCTCCTCCTTCAGCTTCCAAGGATAGTTAGTGGTATGATTCTTCTACTGGTATTTTTTGTAATTTTAATAAGATGCTAAGGCTTCCATTCACTTGCTCCATCAGCTCTTGTCAGGAATGTGCCCCTATGGGAGGGCACAATAGCAGAGCTCCCACCTTCTTCTCTTCTTTTCTTCCCCACTGGGACTAGCTCCCACTTTCTACAAGCCACAGTTTTATAGTTTCAAGGTTATTAACATTTATATCCCATTCTATAAATATAAGTGCAGCTTTAGTGCTTTGTGCAGATTCTTAGAACAGAAACACATCAAACAGGATTGACTTGAGTATAAAGTGGTATCCGCCTTACAAGTTTATGAGGATTAAGCGAGACAATGGATGCAAACTGCTGAGCACAAGTTCTCTTCAGTACATTCTATCTGCTTGATCAATAGAAGCTATTAGCAAGCATTAGCAAGCTAGAAACTTTCCTGAATAAGCTGATGCTGAAGCCAACATAAAATTTAAACCTGTCTTTCTTCATCACCAGGAGTAAGTGGTGATTCTCATCACTCCAATGTTTAAGATTTATCTTCACCGCTGCACCTTGTTTGCTTGTGTGAAACGTGTATTATTTGGAGTGCGTGTAATGAGATGGGGAAAACGGTATTCTCTCAACAGCTGGTCCTAGAATGCCTCTGCAGTGGTTGTGAAACTTAGCACATCAAATCAACTGTGAAAGAAATATAAACTTTCTTTATTTTTATACAATTCAACATCTATTTTAAGCTCCTGTGTCCAGAATGGCAGAAAAACTTAGTCAATTTAGGATTTTGCCATGTTTTCTTTTATGAGATTGTGTCTTAGGATATTTACATAGTGGCGAGGTGTGTGTGTGCACGTGTACTCCTGTGTGTGTGTGTGTCCTGGAAGCCTCTGCCCATGACAGTATTCACTGAGAATCTACGTCTCTTCATGCCCATGATTATCATGTCACTGGGGAGTTTATGCTCCTTTTGATTATCTTTAGATTCAGCAACTCTCTTTGGGTTTCTCTACTTTTGAGTTTTTCTGGTTTGCTTGGAAATTGATTCCTTTCAGAAATCTACAAGGGACTGTCCCAGAACCCACCTACTTTGCTACCTTCGACAGGTGCGGGGGCCATCCTGCTGATGTACGGCCCTGCTGCAGAAAATTCTGGGAAGTTATCTCAGAACTATTTGCCAAGACATTGGTCACTGGAGTCTTACCAGCTTCCTGGACTCTATTTAGATACTAGGCTAAGTTCCTATTTGTCCCCACATTCTGCAAACAAGTACACATTGTTTTGATTCTCCCCATCATAAACTGGAGTAGAAGCAAAGGGAAGGCAGAACGCAAAACTCTCTCCTTACATGGACAGACGTCAAAGCTCTTTGCTCATTCTCAAACTGTACTCCAACTCCTCCACTTAGGGAATCTTCATGTCTTAGAATAAGGAATCTTGTTGGAATCCCCATAATCTTTCTAGCAACCAGCTTCCACGTTGCTCCTTAATGCTTTAAGACAAATACAACAAAGGCACGATAACTGAGCAGAGATGCCAGAGCAGCCAGCACAGATCCAGGCTGTTCGCCATGCTTGAACACACCAGCCTCCATGGCCTCTACCCATGGCCCTTGGGCAAGGCTTTTGAGCTTTTCCATCCTTTTCTCTGTAACATCAATATTCTGAGGCAAGATAGTGCCATATTGTAAGGCCACTGAAATGTGAGAGAGGCTAAGGAGTAACACAAAATATAGAACAAATAAACTAGTTTAGCTTACCACCCGTCCTCCTAGGGAGAGGCCAGCACTTGTTAGAATATTTTGACAAGCTTGTTTTTGGAGAAGACTGAGCTTCCCTGGCCTGGGTATTGTCTTACATGACAGCTTGAGAAGAAGAAGAAGTCTACCTGGAATAAGGAAAACAACCACTCACTGTGTGCCAAACGTTTCTAAGTAGTTTACATGTATACATTCATTTAATCTTTACAACAATGCTTAGGTCCTAACACTTGCCATAGGTCCTGATATTTCTCAATTATTACAGGTAAATAAACTAAAGCAGGAGGGGTTTGAATAACTTCCCAGGGCCACATAGAAAGGAAATAATAGAGATTTACATTCTGCTGGTCTGACTTCTTTGCCTAACTGCTGTATCAGTCAGTATCCCCTATTGACATATCTTAAGAGTTTATATTTTCATCATGCTTCTTGTCCATTGCAGGTCAATAGGAGCCTTTGTTTAGCTTCGTTCTCCTCCTTCTATCTAAGCTGATGGAGCAGACACCACCTTGAACATTAGCAGTCATTGCAGAAGAGGGGAAGAGCTCCAAAGGGTCTGCAACTGACAATGAAATGACCTATCTCAGAAGCAATCATCATCACTCCTCATCACAACCCATTGGCCAGAAGTAGTCTCATGGCCTTTACTCTACCACAAGGGAGCAGGATATGCCTGGGAGAGAGAACTGGAAATGCCACCCCCATGTGCCCTTGCATGGTCACCATGCTGGGAAAGAAGTCCCAAGGGCACATGAGGGTGGCGGCAGAAAAGAGGAAGAAGAAAACTGATATAGGCCGGACATGGTGGCTTACGCCTGTAATCCCAGCACTTTGGGGGGCCCAGGCGGGCAGATCATCTGAGGTCAGGAGTTCGAGACCAGCCTGACCAACATGGCAAAACCCTGTCTCTACTAAAAATACAAAATTAGTCAGGCGTGGTGGTGTGCGCCTGTAATCCCAGCTACTTGGGAGGCTGAGGCAGAAGAATCACTTGAACCTGGGAGGCAGAAGTGGCAGTGAGCCGAGATCACACCACTGCACTCCAGCCTGGGTGACAGAGTGAAACTCTGTCTCAAAAAAAAAAAAAAAAAAGAAAGAAAAGAAAAGAAAAGAAAAAAGAAGAAAGAAAACTGATATAAGGTGATATAAGGCAGTGTGCATGGTTACAGGAACTTGCTCCAAGGTACACTAAATTTTCAATAAAGTCTATCAAAAAAGAACAAGATGAGTGAGATTAACTCTACTGTGGAAACCAGGAAAGATGAGTTTGGCATCCTGAACAATGTGACCCTCAGGTATGTCAGCCCACATCGACGCGGAGCTGGCTGGCCTGGAGGCTTCTGCTTCTTTGCTGGAACAGCCTTTGTTTTGTGGGAGATCTACTTCTTGCAAAGCATAAGTGGACACATGTTCCTGGGAGGCCAGGGGGGTGCTTATTGCCTCTTCACAACCATCTGTTCCAGAAGCCCCCTGAGCAGGCCACAGAAGACCACACATATCAGCAAAGCCAACACAGCTGGAAACCAACAGATTGTCTGGAAGGGATTTCTCCAAGGGAAAACTCAAATTGCACAGATCTCTGTCCAAAGGCAATGCTTATGGATTCTGCCCTGTTCCAGTCATTCCCTTACATAGATACTCTGTGTGGTCAGTTCTCATTCATCAAAGGATGCCTGTGCTGATTCTTAACGATGTGCAAATGTCAGAGGAGAAAATGCACATGTTTCAGCAGAGGGTCCAGAGTGATGCCAATCGCTGTTTCTGTAGATTCCTCCAGAGAATGCTCTCCTCTTAGTTTGGAGTGAATGGTGTTCGTGTCCACATAGTGCAATACTCTCCTTAGACAACCTCATTTCTCTGTGGCCAGGTATGCTAAAAGGAAATGCTACTTGAGAAAGTGCCATTCATCAGAAACTGGCCTCCAGGCTCAGGTTTAGGTTAATGTAAAGAATATTGAAGGATCTCAGAGACAGTTGAAGCAAACAAAAGAAACCCAACTTGTACCAATCAGTATCTCAGAAGGAAACAGATGACACAAACAGATTGAAGTGAGTTCAAGTAAGGGACTATGTGCAAAGATGTGGCTAGGCTTGAGGGGATCAGTGAGATGGGGTAAAGCATCCAGGGTTTACCTCCCCTGGCCTGGAGGGGCAAGGGGGAGAGCAGGCACCAGTGCCTGAGGGAGGCACAGCCCTGGAAAAGGTGACTGGCAGACACTGTGGCCTTCCTTAGTGGCACACAGACTCTGCAGAAACATGCATCTGACAGCAGGAGTGAATGCTCCCACCTCTCTCCATCCATCCTCTGATCTGCTACTGGTGAGAGCTGAGATCCACTTCTTATTAGATCCACACACTAGAAGGAGGACAAGGGATTCTGGGAGATGAATAAACAGCCCCCAGGGAACAGAGCCAAGTGGAGAGCGGTGGAGAGAGGATACCCTAAGGGGAAAACACAGAATCTCCTCCTCACACTCCAAGGACTAATTCATTCCATCTAGAAAGTGCGACTCCATCCAAGGTGAGTTACAAGTTCTTCTTGGTTCCGTTTTAAGCTCTAGGAACTTCTCAACTTTTATTAGCCACTAAGTCTGTAATTGTATAAATGGAAATGAGAGTAAACCAGCAAGATGAGTAAAAAGAGAGGAGTGGAGTTAGCTATAGAAAAATGGCTAGAGAAATGCTAACACACGTCAGAAGACACTCAGCTTGTGGACTTGAGTTCTATGCCGCAGGCAGGTATGAATACGGCGCTCCGATGGCTCTGTGGGTTTCTTTCTTATTTCAGTAATTCAGAGCAGGGCTTACACTGTTTACTACAGTGAATATTTCACAGTCTAATTGTTCATAATAGAAGGAAAAGGGTCCTATGTCCAGAAGCTTTGGTGATAGAATGGTTCACGAAAGGGCCTGACCCATCAGAACAGGAAAGATGGTGAGAAAAAAGAGAGATTTTATTATCTTTAGGCTCAAAGCACACAGCCCAGCATGGTGGCTTTCCAGATAAACCCTCAGATGGCTGAGAGGCACTAGACAAGGCAGACCCAGCATGAGTCCAGTGCTGACGCCAGGGGATGAAAACTCAATTTTCAGAAGCCAGAAAGGCAAGTAAATATTGGAAGGTTTAAACTGGGGGACTGTGTTAGATTGGATTATGTGTATCCTATCTAGAGGCATTTCAAGCCACATAGTCTTAAATCCTGTAACAGCCCCATGAAGAATATTAGGCCAAATTTAGGTAACACTAGTGACTTTTGTCTTAGTCCTGTCTGGGGGCCAGTGCCACCAAAGCACAGAGAAGCAGCGTCTCTGTCATCCTCAATGGGATTCACAGCCCCCAAACCCTTAGAGGCAGACATCCAAAGCCTCTGCAAGATTCCTGGCTGTGCCAGACATGGACGCTGCCTTTAATCTCAATGAAACCACTGCTCAGAGGCACCAGCATGTGAGGTAATAGGAGAAAAATGCACAGTAAATTGCAAGGGTCCCTATGTATTAATACATCTCACATTGAAAACCCAGGGGAGGGAGAAACCCTAACGTTTGTGGGGTTGGCTACAAGCTTTATGGCGGAAGTGGAAAGGGCGAGCAACATGGCTAAGGGGGACCCTATCTCCTGTGCTCCGAGTCTTCATTTCCAACCCCCTCATAGGCATTCATGGTCAACTCCAACATGAGGGACCTGGTGGAGCTTAACTTCCTTCACCAACCTCATTATCTTCCTGATCTCATTACTGGGTCACCACCTTGATCATTGGTCCCCATCTTCCCAGGCTCCTAAACAGAAGACAGTGGGGCTGATATGGTTTGGATGTGTGTACCCTCCAAATCTCATGTTGAAATGTGGTCCCCAGTGTTGGAGGTGGGGCCTGGTGGGAGGTCCTTTGGTCATAATACTGGATCCCTCATGAATAGCTTGGTGCTGTCCTTGTGATCATGGTGAGTTCTTGCTCTGAGTTCACATGAGGTCTGGTGGTCTAACAGAGCCTGACACCTCCCCTGCTCTTGTTCCTGCTCTGGCCATGTGATGTGCTGCTCCCCCTTTGCCTTCTGCCATGATTGAAAGCTTCCTGAGGCCTCATCAGAAGCTGAGCAGATGCCAGCACCATGCTTCCTGTACAGCCTGCAGAATCATGAGCCAATTAACCCTCTTTTATTTGTAAATTACCCAATCTCAGGTATTTCTTTATAGCAACACAAATGGCCTAACCCAGGGGCACCTTGGTGGATCCCTCTGCACACCTGATTGGCCATTACAGCCTGGCATTCAGCTGCTTCTTCTTCTTCTTCTTCTCCTTTTTTTGAGATGGAGTCTCGCCCTGTGACCCAGGCTGGAGTACAGTAGCATGATCTCAGCTCACTGTAACCTCTGCCTCCCTGGTTCAAGCCTCCCAAGTAGCTGGGATTACAGGCATTCACCATTACACCTGGCTAATTTTTGTATTTTTAGTAGAGATGGGGTTTCACCATGTTGGCCAGGCTGGTCTCCAACTTCTGGCCTCAAGTGATCCACCCACCTCTGCCTCCAAAAGTGCTGGGATTATAGGTGTGAGCCATTGTGTCCAGCCTGGTATTCAGCTTCTAAAATGTCTCCTCAATCATTCTTTTTCGCTTGCCTCCCCGATTGTGGAAAGGTCTAATCAGCTATATGCCTTCACTCTCTCTTACCCTTATTGGTTCATTAGAGGACCACTTGAGTTATGTCTCAAAATGTGTATCTCAAAATTACCAAGAGAATAAGTTCAAATGTTCTCACCATTAAGAATAAATATATGAGGTGATGGATATATTAATTAGCTTGGTTTAATTATTCCACAATATGTACTTATATCAAAATATCACATTGTGTCCCATAATATATACAATTATTATTTGTCAATTAAAAAATAATCTGATCGTATGGCTTCTTCCTGTTCAAGAGCCATGAAAGGTCTCCTGTTATTCACACAGAGAAGCCCTGATTTCTCAGCATGTACCACCACATCCACTGAAATCTGCCCTCATCTTCCTCTCCATCTCTCCTCCTTTCCCTGCTTCATCTGTCCTGGTCCTCATGGAGATAACTGAGGTTTCCTTAACTCTCTGTGCAGTTTCACATGCTATTCTTTATGCTGTGATTGCAACACCCGTGCGCTTGGCTCAAACTGCCTGGGCTTGAAGCTGAGCTGCTCCTCCTGCCAGGGAGGTGATCTCTGGGGAGTTATGGGACCCCTCCCAGACTCAGGCTTCATCTGTCAAATGGGGATGACGAGGCATCCATCCCACCCACAGGGCTGCGGTGGAGATGAGTGAGCTAAAGCATGAAGGGTGCAGTATGCGGCACGTTGTAAGCATTCAACATATTGTAGTTGTTACTATGATTTGAATGTGCCTCATATCTGCAGGTTCAGAAACTCCTCCAAATACTGGCTTCTCTATAAAGCCCACCCTGATGTCTGATTCCTGAATCCCAGCTAGCTCCTTCTCCTGACTCAGCAACCTGTACCATCACTGAAGTTCTTCTGCCAGTTGCCCTGGTAATACAGTGCATCAGACCTGTCCGTCTCCCGAGGTAGACTCCAGTTAGCTATGCGAAGGCAGGTGCGCTCTCTTTTAGTTTGTGTTCCCAGTGCTTGGAAAAGGACCTGGAAATTGTGGGCCCTCATAAACGATGGTGTTTAACAGATGAAGGTTGCTTTGAGTTTAATGTAGTTGAAGGGTTTTTAACTGAGGATACACGCTGAGCTCAGCTAGGCTTTTAGAACTTCAGAGATGGGCAGAAACTTGAGCAGATTTCCTTACTTTATAGGTAAAGACCTAAGTCTCTGAAAGTCACAGAGGTGGGGCAGAGGGAGAGATGCAAGCAGTTGGGCATCATGATTCAGACAACGTGGAGGCAGGAGTTTCGGAGTCAGACACACCTGGATCTGGGGCTGACCTCTGGCACTAGCTTTGGACCCTGGGCAATACTTGACCTCCAAGCCTCACTTTCTCAGTTTGTAAAATGGGAATAATAATAGAACTTAAAGTGATTGTTTTGCTATTTCGTGGCGCTACTGTAAGCAAAGTGCTTAACATCCTGCTTGGCAGATAGCAAGCGTTCAACAAGTGTTGGCTGTATCAGTCGGGAGGAAGCATTCCATTTTGGAGGGGAAGAAAAGAGTTGGAACCAGAGAGTGAATCACAAAATCCAGTTTCAGTTAACAGGAAATGGAGTCTGAACTCCAGCTGGTGGAAGGTAAGTCCCAAACCATTTGCAGCAGAATCTTGTGAATTGCTGTGCTATATATATATATATATATATGTTGTTGTTGTTTGTTTGCCTGTTCGTTTGTTTTTCCCAAGGCTCTACTCTGAAACTTTGGAATCAGAACTTCACAACTTGTCGGGGAAGTACAGTAATTGGCAAATTTGATGAGTGCGCCTGACCATTTTGTTGGATACTATAAGAGCAATTGCTCAAGGCATTGCACAAGCTGGGGGGATATATTTGCAGGAGTGCATTGGGAACCAAGCCCCACTTTCCTGGGTCTCAGACAGAGGAACTGAAGGATGCATGTAATCCAGTGCCAAATTCCAGATGCTGAAATGAAATCAGAATTGCAGGAATCCAAGGGAAGAGGAATAAGGATGACCCATGTCCCAGAGCACCTGGTCCTGTGCATCTTGTCCTGAGTGCTCGGCTAGGAGTGAAGCTCCCAGAGAACTCACTCTTCACCTACAGCACCTGCCCACGGCACCTTCCTACGTAGCAGAACTAAACTCTGGCACGCAGAGAATCCACCTCCAAAAATTGGTGCAAAATCTATTCATGAGCATTATCAACATTTGTTTTATTTTAAGAAATTGTTCTCAACTCTCATGACTGAATGTTTACTTCCAGGTAGTGTGTTTGCTAGTCTGAAAGTGGTTCTGCTCTGAATTACTGGGACTTAGAGACTCACTGAGACTAAGGCCTCATGCCTTTGTAGCTTTCCAAGGTAAAACTTATTCGAAGCAACTCTTGTGGATCTAAAGTTAACATAGTTTGCACATTATAGTAACATTAATAGTTGGGGGTTATATCTGTGTGAAAAAGAGCATTAGCTGGAGAAAAAAAAACAGATGTAATGATATTTGTGTATAGAGCTAACTGCAACATGGCTTAATAGAAAGCTTGAATGATGACTTCTTGATTATCTGAAAAATAGATATTTGATGGTTGTTCAAAAATTGTCACTGAGCACTGAATGTGTTGCCATATTTATAGATAATTCTTGGTAAAAATTAAGTCATTTCTTCCAATTCTTTTTTTTTTTTTTTTTTTTTTTGGAAACAGGGTCTTGCTCTGTTGCCCAGGCTGGAGTGCAGTGGTGCAATCTCAGCTCACAGCAGCCTCCACCTCCCGGGTTCAAGTGATTTTCCTGCCTCAGCCTCCTGAGTAGCTGGGTTACAGGCACATGGCACCACGCCCCACTAATTTTTCTATTTTTAGTAGGGACGAGGTTTCACCATGTTGGTCAGGCTGGTCTCGAACCCCTGACCTCATGTGATCCACCTGCCTCAGCCTCCCAAAGTGCTGGGATTACAGGCATGAGCTATCACACCCGGCCTCATTTTTTCCAATTATTAATGTTTAAATTATATATTAATATAGCTGAAATTTTATGTAATCAATAAAACCACTCATTTTTATTTTAAAACCCCACAACGATATATAAAGGGACGAAACAGTCATCGAGGGGGCACGAGTGCTCCCACGCCTCTCTGTGTAATTGAGGGCAAGGTAGGAAGTCAGCTGGATTTGCCAAAAGGCACATGGAGAACTCCATGGTTTTAGAGGGGGCCGTGTGCAGACAGAGAGTAAATTACAAACTTTTTCTCCGAAACAGGAACAATCACAGATTAGGACTCTCCCTGGTGCTAACATCTCACCCAGAACATGCTGCTGCCTTCTCTCTGCCTGTGGGAGGGGTATTTCAGGATGCTAACGTGTCTAGTAGCAGCCGTGCCTTAATGAAAATTCCAGAGCTGAGCGCGGTGGCTCATGCCTGTAATCCCAGCACTTTGAGAGGCTGAGACGGGTGGATCACATGAGGTCAGGAGTTTGAGACCAGCCTGACGGACAAAGTGAAACCCTGTCTCTACTAAAAATACAAAAATGAGCCAGGCATGGTGGCAGGCGCCTGTAGTAGTCCCAGCTACTTGGGAGGCTGAGATGGGAGAATTGCTTGAACCCGGGAGGCGGAGGTTGCAGTGAGCCGAGATCATGCCACTGCTCTCCAGCCTGGGTGACGGAGTGGGACTCCATCTCGGAAAAAAAAAAAAAAATCCAGCACATCCCTTCCTGGCTACATCTCCCCTCCAACTGTGTCCAGCAAAGTTCTCGCCTCCTTTCTCAGAGTAGAGAACCTGCTTTGACCATGTAAAGATGGGTTTCTTGTTTGGGAGAGAAGACACCTGTTTGTTTTCCCTTAGGTGGTGGTGCCAGCATCCCAAATTTGGGAAACCCCAGAGTCTTATAAGTCACAGGAAGGTAACGTGGAATTAATATGTAGTTATGGAAAATGATATTGTGATGGGTTGACGGATTTCTCTCTCATTTCTTTCTTTCCTTTTAACATCATGGCCCTTTCTTCATCACCACTTTGTCTTTCAGGGAGAGATGAGACAGGAGAAAGAAGAAAAAACAGCAGCGGTGTGCTGGTGCCAACTCCCGCAGCCTTAGGAGAGCAGAGGGTTAATTTTTCAGGAAGTCTGCAAGCCGGTTGTGAAATCTGTTGGGTAGCTTGAAATCAGTGGTGGCAGGAGTATTTACACCGTGGGAACAGGCAAAATCAGAACACACCACTGGAAATGAATATTCTTCGCCCAACTTTTGGATTTCCAAATCCTAGCCCTCAGAGAAAAATGGAAAGGACTCTTGCCTAGAAAATCAAGTAGGACATTTCCTGGACTATGGCAAGAGGAAAAACAGAGGGAAAGAGAGCATACTCTAAGAATATCAGGGCTGTCAGCCTCATTTTGTGTTCTTCCCTCTACCTCACCTTTTGAACCCATGTAAGTAAACATTTACAAGACTGCAGAATAACAGCAAACACATAACGGTAAACATACTGATGCACCGTACCCAAAGAAATGACTTCATAAGCAAAATGGAGAGAAAAAAGCTATTATAACAGGCCGGGTGAGGTGGCTCAGGCCTATAATCCCAGCAAGGCTGAGACAGGCGGATCACTTGAGGTCAGGAGTTTGAGACCAGCCTGGTCAACATGACGAAACCCCATCTCTATTAAAAATACAAAAATTAGCTGGGTGTGACGGTGTGCACCTGTAATCCTAGCTACTTGGAAGGCTGAGGCATGAGAATCACTTGAACTGGGGAGGCAGAGGTTGCAGTGAGCCAAGATCAGGCCACTGCACTCCAGCCTGTGTGAGAGAGTGAGACTCCTTCTCAAAAGAAAAAAAAAGTTCTAACAATTCATAAGTACAATCTTTCTTTTTATTTTCTTCTTTCCACTTGGTATGTCAAAATATTTCAGTTCATCTCCATTTTAACACTTCTCTGGTACATTCTGTTAATCTCTATTTTATTAAATGGAGATTACATTATAACAGTTACCTGATGCATAGAATGTAGCAACCATGTCAATAAACACAAAGTATATAATAAATATTTTATTTCTTCAAATATAG
This sequence comes from Homo sapiens, assembly GCF_000001405.40. Taxonomy (NCBI): domain Eukaryota; kingdom Metazoa; phylum Chordata; class Mammalia; order Primates; family Hominidae; genus Homo; species Homo sapiens. Next base: position 128,147,620 of record NC_000012.12, on the reverse strand, counting down.
AATTATGTATTTTTTCATATAAAGGAAGAAATTCTCCGTTTTTAAAAATAATTATATTTGCTACTACTATGTTTACATTTTATCAAACCCAATTTTCTCTTATTTCTCTATAGTATCGTAAGTATATACTACTAACAAAAGTATTGTTTCTTCTTTTTTTTTTTGACAGAGTCTCGCTCTGTCACCCTGGAGTGCAGTGTGCGATCTTGGCTCACTGCAAGCTCCACCTCCCGGGTTCACGCCATTCTCCTGCCTCAGCCTCCCAAGTAGCTGGGACTACAGGCACCCGCCACCAGGCCCGGCTAATTTTTTTTTGTATTTTTAGTAGAGACGGGGTTTCACTGTGTTAGCCAGGATGGTCTCGATCTCCTGACCTCATGATCCACCTGCCTCGGCCTCCCACAGTGCTGGGATTACAGGTGTGAGCCACTAGGCCCAGCCACAAAAGTATGGTTTCTTACAGCTCATAGGGTATGGGGATAGCAGAAAGAATTCCTGCAGACTCGGTAACAGCAGAGAGGAAACCCACAGTCACTGGGTGAGGAGTGGCCTTTCAGAAAAGAGCAAGAACAACGTAGATCATTGCTGCCTAATAGAACCTGCCATGATCATGGGGATGTTCTCTGTCATTACCGTTCGATGTGGCAGCCACGAGCCACGGCTGGATATTTATAAGCACTCAAAATGTGACTGTGCAACTGAGGAGCTCAAGTTTTAATTTTACTTAGTTTTAAATTAAATAGCCACAAGTGGCTAGTGGCTGAAGTATTGGAAAGCACAGAATCAGAGCAAATGAGATGGCCTCAGTACCTAGGATTAACACCTTAAGAGATATCTCAGTGGAAGCCGCATGGCCAGATGACAACATGGACCCTATGGCTGAGATACTACACATGCTTCCTGAGATTTTGAAACATCTCTGGGAAAAAGCAGGAAAACACAAAACAATAATAACAGCCATAGTGACAGTGACCAATATCCGTCAATGGTAAATAATGTATTGTGCAATTTTACAAACGTTTTACATATATCGGTTCATTTCATCCTACTAACCCTATGATGTGGGGTCTGTTATTACCCCTTCATCACAGATGGGAATGCTGAGTCTTAATGAGATTAAGTAACTTGCCAAGGGCCGCCCAAATGGTCTAAGAAGTAGTTAAAATATTTGTATTTTACAGTCTTAGGAGAGCAGAGGTTAAAATTTCAGGAAATCTGCAAGCGAGTTGTTAAATCTGTTGGGTAGCTTGGTGGTAGGAGTATTTACACCACGGAAATGGGCAAAGGCTGTATCAACTACTAAGAAGTAGTCCATTTGGGTGGCCCTAGGCAGGTTACTTAATCTCTCCAAGATTCAGTGTTTCCATCTGTGATAGAAAATATTGAAAATATCAACTTTTCCAAATGTTTTAATATGGGCTATTTTAGTCCATTTGGGTGCCCTGAAATTGGAATTATATAACAAGAAGAGTTTTATATCTTGGCCACCTGAATTTGTGACCTGTGGTTTGTTCAAACCATATGGTTTCTCTGTAGAAATACTCATGGTCACCAAAGGCAGCCCTGGGTTCCATCACCACCATCATGCAGACATGGGTACTCTTCATTTTGCAGATGGGCCCCTGATTCGAGGGAATTTACACCTAAAGTGAGATGAAATCAACTCAAAAGGAGAGGAGATGCTATGCTAGATGAGAATTTAGAATTCTGGTACCAGCCCCTTGGGTGATGGGCCCTGTGCTGGAACACAGAGGAAACCCTAGTGTTCTTAATTGACCTCTTCTTCAGAAGTTTCTGAGAGAAGAAAATTTGCATGCCCTAGAACACCCTGGTGTCCAAGATAAAATGGGGGCGCTATGTGACTGCAGATGTCTCCACCTTTCAAGATTCCGTTCCCATCCTGTCCTCCAGCTCTCAGTTATAACCAAGCCATTTTATTTGAACATTTGGGAATGTTGATATTTTAGGTATATTCCAGATATTTTCAGGCATATATTTTAAAGCATACACATTAACATACTTTGTTATCCTGGTAAGAGTAGGAGAGAAACCAACCTCCAGAAAAGATTTTGCAAATATTTTCTTTGTTTCCATTTCGAATTTAAAGCTAAATCTGGATATATGTTTCAAACTATATACACACAGGCACACACACACTACCGGCCTTTCATTCCCTCTTTCGGGGCAGTAGAGTTTGGGTTCCCAGCATGGATTCAGCCCGGAGTCCAGGCTCTTAATGCACTGCGTATCAGCTTTGCAATCTTGGACACGTGAACTTCTCTCAACCTCCCTTTTCTCCCCTGTCAAATGAAGATAGTAATAGAATTTGCCACTTAGGGTTAATATGAGGATTAAATTAGATCGTTTTTGGAAAGAATATATGGTAGTTATTATTATCTTAATGAAGCAAGGGAGCATATATTCTGTGTTGAAATTTTAATTTTTTCAGCTCCATTGAGGCATAATTGACAAATAATATATATATTTCAAATGTACAATTTGATTTGATATGTGAATACGTGAAATGATCACCACATTAAAGATAATTATCGTATCCATCACCTCAAATGGTTATCTTTTGTGTGTGTGGTGAGGAGGTTTAAGGTCTGTTCTCTTAGCAAACGTCAAGTGCTGTGTACGATACAGTATTAACTATAGTGACATTGTGAGCATTCAATCTTCAGAACTGACTCATTTTATGTAACTGAAGCTTTCCACCCTGTGACCAGCCTCTCCCCATTTCTCCCATCCTCCAGTCTTGGCAACCACCATGCTACTCTGCTTCTATGAGTTTGACTATTTCAGATTTTACCTATGAGCAAGATCATGTGCCATTTGTCTTTCTATGACGGTCCTTTTTCACTCAACATACCGTCCTCTGGGGAATTTTAAATTTCTATGCTGATTTCAGTACTGCCTCTGATGATGTCCCTGACAACATTCTATGATCCTCTTCTGTGGTCACGCCCTCGCCTCCCCACTCAGGTCCTCTGTCCTTGTAGGGCAGGAGCAGGGGCTGGGAGGACGTTGGCCCTGCCTGGGTAGCCCTGGGTTCGGATCCCGGCTCCCATTTCTCATGTGTGTCCCTCTGCACCTGCATCTCACAGACTAGGGGTAAAGCCTGGTAGGAACTAACAGATGAGCTTGCAGTAGATGAGGGGGAATGATGACCTTTTTAAGAAATCATTTCATGAAGCAGAAGCTGTGGATTCATGGTGCAGTCCAGGGATAGCTTCCTTTTGGACCACAAAAGGACAAGTTACTCCCTGATCCATCTGTGCCAACATGAATAACAAAGCGAGCAAGGAAGGGGTAGACCTGCACGAAGCAGCTGGAAATGAAGACCTCCAGGTTTTTTTTCTCCTCCCTTCTAGAAAGAGTGAAACATCTTCACAAAAGTGGTCTGAGGGCTGTTGATGTCATGTATGCTCCTTTCTTTCCTGAGATGCGAAAATCACTGTAAGGTGGGCTGCAGACTCTATTTAAGGAGTTTCCTGAGGATTTTCAGTAATAATCCCCCACCCAGGTGCAATTTCTCATATCACTTGAATACAGGGAGTGAATGGAATGAATCTATCTTTTTTCAAGGTGAAGGGATGTGCATTTGGGCCTTTGGGGCATTCCCCGAGGCTCGATTCTGAAGCTGGGATGAAAGTCTAAATCTATCGACTGCAGTAGACTTGACTTTGTGGTTATTGACATGCTGTCCATTTGGTAGGAATGACACCATTCAACTACACAATCAGAAAGTGATCTCCTGATCACAGGGCGCTTTCTCCACAGTATCTTCTCCCAACTCCCCCTCACAGTCAAGGGAAAGATAATGAGAATATTGACTTTTTGTGCTTTAAACTATGACTGCTGCCCTGAGACTGTAGGCTAACTAAAAAGTATTTAAGTTATATTATTATTTTAATTAAGTCAGTTCAACAGTGTGTGTTAGGTCAGTCAATAATACAAAAATCATGCTGTAAAATGTATTTCTCATATACTTTCTTTATTCCATAACATTTGTTAGTGTGGACACTATATATACAATTTACTCAGTTTGTATATACAAAACAAGTTTCCTGGATATTACAATCAATAAAAGAGCTTTTCAAGAGTAATATTGACTCCGATTTTAACCTTGTAGGCTAAATATAGAACCCAACCCCTTTGTGAGATGCCACACTACCATGGTTCCAGGGGAAATTTTCAAACAGATTCCAAAATCCAATTTGAAGCATTCCATAGAGTCCTTAATGAAGAAACTACTATACTCTGAAATTCTTTAAAAAATGCTAAAAAATTTGTTTTAAATTTAAATTTACTTATAATTTAGGGGTGGGTAAGGCATGACATTACAAAATCAAGCATAATAAGACAATCAAGCATTGGAATTATGTGCAATATTTTATAATTGTTGTGAATGCCATGAGGCTTTCTCTTGTACTGGGAGAGGAGACAGAAGTGCAAAAACGAGAGCGTGTATTCCACAGAGAAGTGACCTGATCCATCAACAGCCAAATCTCATCGGCTCAAGTGCTCTGTGTGGATAAAAATAGGGTCATGTGAGCTTCAGATGGGGAAGTCAAATCCACGCTCCTTTATTTTTCATCCCTGGGGTATTATCAGGCTATATGAAAGATTAGTGGGTGAGGCTCCCAGTTATGTTTCTTCTTCATTCCTTTTTGGTAGTTTCTGTCTCATCAAATTAGTCATCGGAGGTTCTACTCTTTAATCTTCTGTCATGGTAATTGCATCTCAAATGCACTGTAAAGGTTTCTATTAACATACCAAGAATTATTTGTTGATGGAGCAGATTAGTAAAGATCATAATCTTCACTGAGTTCAGAAGATCAAGGTTCAAGATCAGCTTAGACATTTTCTAACTGTGTAACCCTGGACGTTTTAATTAAACTCTGTCTCATTTTTATTATCTGTACCCAGAAAATTAGTTTCAGGCCGGATACAGTGCCTCACACCTGTAATCTCTGCACTTCAGGAGGCCAAAGCACAAGGATCACTTGAGGTCAGGAGTTAAAAGACCAGCCTGGCCAACAAGGTGAAACCCCATTTCTATGGAGAATTGCTTGAACCCAAGAGGCAGAGTTTGCAGTGACCCAAGATCACACCACTGCACTCCAGCCTGGGTGACAGACAACAGAATGAGACTCTATCAAAAAAAGGAAGAAAGGTAGAAAGAAAAAGAAAGAAAGAAAGAGAAAGAGAGAGAAAGAAAGAGAAAGAAAGAAGGAAAGAGAGAGACAGAAAGAAAGAAAGAAGAAAGAAAGAAAAAGAAAGAAAGAAAGAAAGAAAGAAAGAAAGAAAGAAAGAAAGAAAGAAAGAAAGAAAGAAAGAAAGAAAGAGAGACAGAAGGAGGAGAAAGAAAATGAGTTTCAGGATTAAATGGCATCATCCATGCAAAGGGTTTGATTCAGTGGCTGAGTTGCTGAATCAGATACTGCATATTATTTAGTGCACAGGCTAAACTGCTATGCCAAAGAGAACACAAGTCAATCTTAGGACCAAGTAAGCCCAGGTCCAAGGAAGTTGTCCTGACAGTTTTCTACAAGGTGCCTGATACGTGTTGCCCAAACACTGTGAGCTATTCCCAGTAAGGTTTCAAGATACAAGCTTGACACCAATTTTGAATAGTAGCTGCTAAAAAAAATACCTTCAGCTCTCTTGCTTGTTAGTTGGGCAGATTTCTAACCTCTCTTAGAAAAACTATCTTTATTCATCATCATCATCATCATCATCATCATCATATTTTTTATTTTATATTTACTGAGATTCCCAGGCAAACCCAGGATGTGATTTGCATGCATTGTCTCATTTTAATCTCAAGACTGCCTTATGTATGAGTAGGTTCTGTGATTATCAGGGGGCCTCATAAAAAACCTACTTTGCCTAGACTTGGCTGGCCAGTGCAGGGCAGAGCTGTGGGCAGTACCTAGGCAGTCCACCCCCAAAACCTGCACTCAGGGCCCTTACTGTAAAAAAAAAAAAAACAAGCAAACAAAAATAACAACAACCACAAAACGACACTGCATTTGCACACTTGCACCCCACACTCACTGAGAGCATTTGCATTCCTCAAAGCCAAGCTAATGCATGTGATTCTCTTGCTGGGAATAAATACCTGACTACCAGTGACTTTGGTCTTGAAATCTTCTCTCTTCTCCAACCATTTACATGAGATATGGAAAAGTGGGTCCTGAAAGCTCCTCTGAACAAGGCCTGAACCAAGAACTTGCCCATCTGGCAAACTGAAGTTCGATTATATCTTCTCAAAACCATCATCAAAGAGGGGATCAGTACAGCAAAGAACGATTCTAGCTGCCACCATCAAAAGAACAGAAGAGATGGCACCCACCAGCTTTTGATATTTTGGGGAAACAGGCAACTTCAGGTAAACTTGTTGGCAAACCTGAGTTTAGAAGAATTCCCTGGAGTTCTAATTTATCCTCTTCTGTAGACAGTGAACATATGTGAATTGTGATGATCTTGATTTGGAATTTCAGTTCCATTTTTTAGGTACCACATTAAAGAAATTGTATACTTAATTATTTTCCTTCAACTTTAGGAAGGTAAGCAGATTATGATACGTGGGGTTGCTAGCTGCCACTGACAGCATGTTGATTAATGGTAGCTTACATGAGAAAGACAACAAATGACCTCATATTACAAAAACTCCAGAGATGGATTCAGGGTTGTTTGGGCCACACAGTGACAATAGGGCCTTGGATCAGCAACTTGCAATCCTCTCGGACTCTTCCTCATGGGAACAAGGCGGCTGCATTTGCTCTATGAGTCATACTCTCGTATGAAAGCATTCAGGAAGAGAGCTATGTTTTATCCTTGCCACTTTTTATTGGTGAGTAAAATACAAACAAAAACAACTAAAAACTCCCAGCAGACTTACTCTCATTTATCTTTGGCCAGGACTGCATCACATGGTCACCCCTAGCTTCAAGGGATGATGGGAAAGTGAGTATCAGCCAAAGGGGGATGGTGTTTCCATGAGCAGTTTAGAGCAACTCCGATTTCTTTCCCCAGGCCTGGTATGTCTGAATCAAAGCAGGGTTTTGTCAGCAGGGGCACAGGAAGAATGTCTATTAGTAAGAACGATAACCAGCAATTTCTGCCACAGAAAACATTCCAGATAAGAAAACACAGCAAAAAGAAAAAGAGTCTGAGTGTGCTTACTGTGAAATGTTCCGTCATTTCTCTTTATTATAAATACACTTCTTACAAATATTCAATCCTGCAAAAAGTTTAAAAAAAGAATACAAAGAGTACCACATGCCCATCACTCAGATTCAATAGTTGTAGGTATTTTGCCATGTTTACTTCATTTGGTGATGTGTACGATGGTCACTGAACCATTTCGAAGTGAATTATAGACATCACGACACTTCACCTTTAAATACTTTAATACGCATCTGAAACATGAGGTCATTCACCTAAGACACAAACAATGATTATACTTAACAAAAGTCAAAATCTTCAAGGTCATTTAAAACTCAGTCTATGTTCAAATGTTCTCATCAGTTTCAAAATTTACTTTTATATTATAGCTGCTATTAATCGAAGCAAGATCCATGTGAAGGTCATTTGCAATCACCTTTAATGTGGTCTTGCTTCTTCTTTTTTTGAGACGAAGTTTTGCTCTTGTTGCCCAGGCTGGAGTACAATGGCACGATCTCCGCTCACTGCAACCTCTGCCTCCCAGGTTCAAGTGAGTCTCCTGCCTCAGCCTCCCGAGTAGCTGGGATTACAAGGAACCTGCCAGCACGCCCAGCTAATTTTTTGTAGTTTTTATTAGAGACTGGGTTTCACCATGTTGGCCAGGCTAGTCTTGAACTCCTGACCTCAAGTGATCCACCAGCCTCAGCCTCCCAAAGTGCTGGGATTACAGGCGTGAGCCACCGTGCCCAGCCCTTGCTCTTTCACTACCTGTTTTCTTCACCTGTTCTAGTTCAAACTCAAGGTCCCTTCATGGTACAGTCAAATTAGTCTTTCAGTTTTTATTCTAACTCTTCTTCTACTTACTCAGAAACCTCTACACTTTCCCACTGTTGAAATAAAATATAAAATAAAATAAGGCACAGGCATCTCTCCCTAGCTTTTAAGAACTCAGCTTACCCTTGCAGGTGTGGCTTGTGGTTCATTATTCAAACACCTGCGCCAGGCTGTCTGGACGCTCACCATGTGTTGATCTTACCCCGTGCTTTCCCGTCACCATGTGGTTCCCTCTGTATTGACAGTTTATTCCTATTGTCAAAGGCGTTTAAACCAGAGCAACTCCATCTTGAGTAGGAGCTGGGTAATATGAGGCTGAGACCTACTGGGCTGCATTCCCAGATGGCTAAGGCATTCTAAGTCACAGGATGAGATAGGAGGTTGGCACAAGATAAAGGTCATAAAGACCTTGCTAATAAACAGGTTGCAGTAAAGAAGCTGTCCAAAAGCCATCAAAACCAAGATAGCTATGAGAGTGACCTCTGGTCGTCCTCACTGCTACACTCCCATTAGCGCCATGACAGCTTGCAAATGCCATGGCAACATCAGGAAGTTACCTTACACGGTCTAAAAAGGGGAGGCTTGAATAACCCACCTTTGGTTTGTCATATTGTTAAAAAATAACCATAAAAATAGGCAACCAGAGGGAGTAGCCATTCTTTCATTCCTTTACTTTCCTAATAAATTTGCTTTCACTTTACTCTATGGACTCACCCTGAAATTTTTCTTGTGCAAGATCCAAGAACCCTTTCTTGGAGTCTGGATCCGGACACCTTTCCTATAACACTCTCTGCCATCTCAAACACAATCAAATCCATCTTAGTCCTAGCTCAAACACTGGTCCTCCCAGCAGAGCTTGTCCCACATGAAGCACTGCTCAGTGATATGTAGTCCAAACACTGGAGGTGATATCAGTGAATTCCTGGGTGCAGGAAATTGATTCAGGAAAGTGTTCCCCGAAGAATCAGGATGAAAGGGCAGGAAGGATGACAGAGGGAAGGAGAGAAAGCCAATATAATGGTGCATTTTCAACATTCTTGCTCTACACAGCAGTGGCTCAATTTCACTGGGACCTCTGAGAAGCATGGACAGGCCTATCTGTGAGGTAGGAAGCTGGGGGGTTAACCAATGGCTCTCATCCGCTATGAATGGAGGTTGCCCCAGGGTTATTAACTCTGGCAATGTGGAAAAAGTGAATCAATATTTAGTTTATTCTTTTACCTTTTATTTGACAAATACTTTAAAATATTGTCTGTGTGTCAGAGGCCACATTAGAGGATTGTGGTATGGAAATCAGCCAGCTAGACTCAGCTCCTTGTCCCCCAGGGAATCAAGGAAGGCAAGCAAATATTAACTAATGCATTTCACAATTTCTCATGCAGTTACAACTGCAGTGAGGGCTAGCAGGCAGAAGAACCAGGTAATATGACTACAAACAACTGGGGAAACTGATCTACAAAAATCTACATGTCTTTGTATAATGTAGCGGAAGAAAGGTGTGTTCAGCAGGGATGCATTCAACTGAAAGTAGCAGCTCTAGAAGTGAAGCCCATGCAGATGAGAACAGCACCTGCTGCTTACCGGAGCTCCTATGCCGAGGAAGTCAGCCACCATTGCTTGCATTTGGCAGAAACTCGAAGCCAGGCCAAACAGTGGGAAAGCTTAGGGTGGACAAAAGGGAAGGCCCTGGGTGTGCAAGGATGGGATTGGAGGTGGTCGTCATGGGGAAGCTGGAGGAGAGCTAACTAGAAGTGGGGCATCTCTTGTCATGGGTTTGGAGAGCTTATTTTGTTTTCTCTGGTTGGTCCTGAGTTGTAAACAGGGACAATTAGAAAGGGAAACTGGATACAATGATATAAAGTTTTAACCAATCACTGACATTTGAGCATGAAATTATTTGTTAGATAAACATAATGGATCTTTGACTCTTGAGGAAATTAACACATTTGGAGGGTTTTTCTTTAAGTTCTTCAAGTCCCTTCTGTCAAGATTATAACTAAATAATAAACATTTTAGTCACTTACCGTGAAAAAAAAAATAGAACATCTTTGTGACCTTGGGGTGGGAAAAATGTTTTCAGGTATGACACTAAAATCATGATTAATAAAAGACATTCATAAATTTTGCTTCTAAAAAAGGTGGGGAGCTGGGAGTCACCGTTCAGGTTCTGACCATTCCGGGCTGATTGCTGCAGAAGTTGTGGTTTGGCTTCCTGTGCAAAGCTAGAGGGTCAGAGTTCTATCCTTTTCTAGGCTAAACCACATATTTTGTATATTCGTATATTCAGTTCCTCAAAGCAGTCCCCACTGATAATGGCTCGAATTTGTAAGCATGGAGGGGAGTGGTGCGAGAGCTGTTCAGTAGCTCTACCATATCACAAAAGTGGTTTCCAAGGTTGTGATTTTCTTGGCTCTCATCTCTTGGGTATAAGTGGCTGTGTTCGAGACCAGCCTGGCCAACATTCTCCTTGTGAGAATCCAATGCCTGATGATCTGTCACTGTCTCCCATCACCCCAGATTGGACCATCTAGTTACAGGAAACTAAGCTCAAGGCTCCCACTGATTACACATTATGGTAAGTTGTATAATTATTTCACTATATATTACAATGTAGTAATAATAGAAATGAAGTACACAATGACATGTAATGCGCTCCCAATCATCCTGAAACCATCTCCATGGCCCCTGCCCCACCAAACGTGGAAAGATTGTCTTCCATGAAAGTGGTCCCTGGTGCCAAAAAGGTTGGGGACTGCTGCTCTACTACATAGATTTTCTCCCACCTCTGCCACCCCCGAGACAGTAAGACAAACCCCTCCTCTTGTTCCTCCTCCTCCTCATCCTACTCAATGTGAAGCCAATGAGGATGGAGACTTTCACCACGATCCACTTGCACTTAATGAATAGTAAATGTATCTTCTCTTCCTTGTGATTTTCTTAATAACATTTTCTTTTCTCTAGCTTACTTTATTACTAGAATACAGTATATAATGGCTGAGCGGGGTGGCTCACACTTGTAATCCCAGCACTTTGGGAGGCCGAGGCAGATGGATCACCTGAGGTCAGGAGGTCGAGACCAGCCTGGCCAACATGATGAAACCCCGTCTCTACTAAAAATACAAAAATTAGCCGGGCATGGTGGTTCGCGCCTGTAATCTCAGCCACTCGGGAGGCTGAGGCAGGAGAACTGCTTGAACTCGGGAGGCGGAGGTTGCCGTGAGCCGAGATTGTGCCACCGCACTCTAACCTGGGCAACGGGAGCAAAACTCCAGCTCAAAAACAAAACAAAACAATATGTAATACGTAACATACACAATATGAATTAATTGGCTGTTTGTGGTATTGGTAAGGCTTTCAGTCAACAGTAGGCTATAGGAGTCAAGTTTTTGGGGATTCAGAAGTTCTAGGAGGATTTTTGTCTGCATGATGGGCCAGCACCCATAACTTCTGCATTGTTCTAAGGTCAACCATAGAATCTCTTTAAGGTGCAAGTTCAAGGGATAGTGTAACAGAATGGAAAGTTATGTGTTACTCTGTAATACATTTAAAAGCAAGGTGTGTAGTAGAGAAAACCCTCTAGAGAGTCACTCACAAGGGCCTTCATACATACATTGCAATTTCCATCAACAATCTCCCTTTACTTTTACAAGTGAGGTGATTTTCCTGTTTTGATCAAAATAAATAGAAATTTGGTCTCTGATGAAGGCATTGCACACCGAGATAAGATGTTTGCAGGCAAGGAGCTAAGCACGCATGTCTTATTATTGCTCATTCTGACATATTGTCGTCTTGAGATCATCTCGTGAGAGGAAACCAGGCTACTGAGAGATGGGACTTCGGAATAGGAAACTAAGAGGAACAAAACTGATTTTCTGCAGAGAGGGGAAAATACTAAAACCCAGCAGAGGCAACCACCTGAAGAATTTGTAGAATTTCCACTTGCATTGAGCTGGCCAGACTGGATTTTCAGAGCACACGAAGTTGCTGCAAAGTGGTTCTTCTTTCTGATTTCCCTGGACCAGCGGTCCCCACCCTTTTTGGCACCCGGGACCGGTTTTGTGGAAGATGATTTTTCACAGATGAAGCAGGGCGGTGGGGGATGGTTTCAGAAAAAAACTGTTCCACCTCAGATCGTCAGGCATTGCTTAGATTCTCATAAGAAGTACATAACCTAGATCCCTCACATATGGAGTTCACAATAGGGTGTGTGCTCCAGTGAGAATCTACTGGCACTGCTGATCTGATAGGAGGCAGAGCTGAGGCAGGAATGCAAGGGGAGCAGTGGTAAATACAGATGAAGCTTCCCTCACCCCCTGGCCACTCACCTCCTTTTCTGCAGCCCGGCTCCTAACAGGCCTCAGGCTGATACTTGTCCACGGACTGGGGGTTGGGGATCCCTGCCCTAGACCCTTTCTGAATTTGAAGACATGAGAAATAATACCAGGCGAAGACACGCTGCCTTGCTTTCTCTCCGGCTGATATTCCAGTCACATTCCTGGGCCATAGAAATAAAGCTATATTCAGTTGAGCTTTTTTTCTTTCCCACACAGGAAGGTGGTTAAAAATAAGAAAAAAACTTTCTCCAAATAGCAAATGCTCTCTGGTAACCCATCTTTCTACATGAGCCAAAGTGTTTTATAATTTCTCATTATGCAACAGTGAATTAAAAAACAAATAATTAGGACAAATCTGAATGATAAGCTTCTCCTCCAGAGGGGACATTAAATATAGTGAAAACACAAGCAATCAGATAAAACCCAGGGAAATATTGAATAATTACAAAAAGATTCTGAAGCAGAAGGTTATTACTAAATAGGTAGATGTTTGCAGATAATTCCAGGCAAAGTTAGAGTGTTGGCCACTTGGATTTGCTTCCAAGAAGCTGGTTGTGTATTTTTAAAACTTAACATTTAATTGCTTTTCTTTAAAAAAAAAAAGATCAACATGTTCTTAGAGTAATGTCAGAAAAAAAATTGAATACATTATAGCTAAAAATTAAAATGTTCATTTTGGCTTTATGCAGAGTAAAGGAATACCTGTTAAAAAATTTACATTCCAGAATGCGTATTCTAAAACTGTTTTCCAGAAGGCCTCACTATCATATCAGGACTTCATTAATCTCAGGTTTGTGAAATAGGCAATATTTCAAAATTGTAAAACATAAAATAGGCTCAGACATCCAACATTTGCATATAAATAGAAAAGAACTCAGACCCAGACTACTAGGGAAAAATGATTTTCTACATTTTTCAAACAATTTTCACTAAATTAGCCTTTAAAAATGTCCTTGTCATGCAGATTGATTTTTTTCTTCCCATTTAAACAATGAAAATGAATTTTTGTCCCAAAGAATTGCTGCATGAGACAGTGGACCTCAGTGAAAACCTTCCTTACTAAATGCTAGACAAGTAAAGAGAGGCCAAGAAGGTGATTATTTTCTCTGCACTTTATTTCCGTGTTTGCACCTGTATTCATTCATCCACTCCTCTCCTCTCCATCAGAGTCTGATCGTCCAACCAGGGACTTAAGAGCCCGCTGTCCCCTTGCTTCCTCCAGGAAAACCTGCCTGGGTACTCTTTGGAAAGCTCTCTGCTGCTCAGTGTCCACTCAAGGGTTATTTTCCGTATTATCACACACACTCTTAGGAGGGCTCCCTCTCTCTTCACGCTCTGTGTAGTAGTTGTAAAGCTTGGTCAATTTCTCTCTCTGTATTGGTTTTCTATCTCTGCTGTAAGCTTAGTGACTTAAAACAACATGAATTTATCGTCTCACGGTTCAGTAGGTCAGAAGTCCCAGGGGACTCTCCTGGTTCCCCTGTGTCGCTGGCCTGCACTCCTATCTGGGGGCTCCAGGAGAGAATCTGCTTCTAGCTTGTTTGCATTATTGGTAGAATTCAGTTCTTTGTGGCTGTAGGGCCGGGATCCCCATTTCACCATTGGCTGTCAGCCAGGAGCCCCTCTCTGTTTATTAAAGCCACCTCCATTTCTTGTCCATTCACCTTCATACCAGGAATAACATATCAAGTCCCTCCCTTCTTTGAAGCTTTCTGACTTCTGCTGCATCTGTTCTGTGTCCAGCTGGAGAAAGTTGTCTGCTTTCAAGGGTTCATGTGATTAGATTGATCCCACCTGGATAGTCTCCCCATCCCAAGGTATGAACCAGTAGTTACATCTGCAGGGTCTGTGCTTGACGTTGAACACATTTACTATTCCTGGATTCTGGAGATTAAGGAATAAACATCTTTTGAGCAAGGCAGGGCATTCTGCCTATTACACTCCCTCAAATAATCTAATATACAAGCAAGATGCATTCACGTGCAACAAATGTCAATTTCTTTATATTTCTAAAGGTAAGCCAGTCTAGTTCAGCTTCCATTATAGTGGTTGGCAGGAAATCCAGTCTAGGGAGTTTGGAGGACTGTCTTTCCTCACTCTTGTGACAGGCTCTCCCACCCTGGGGGCTCAGTGTCCAGCAGAACAGACGAACCCTCGGGTCCATGGTCTATCATGGCTGCTACTCTTGGGCACTCTGTCCTAGGTCCACAGGGTCCAATCAGAGATAACCGCCTGTCTTCCTTTCAAGCCAAGATAGAGACAGGGACCTCTGCGGAGGAACCTGAAGCCCACCTACCTAAGCAGGTGGCCAACTGCACCCATTTAATGTCCTCAGGTGCTGGAAACAAATGGGGAGAAGCCATACTCCTCCTTCCTCCTTCAAATTGGGCCACTGGCCAACTGGACACCAGACCTTTTTCTCTCTGTGAAATCCGATCTTTACTTCAAGAGTTCTTTGGAATTCAAAGGCTCCTTATCTGTTTCCTGGGGAAATAGCACAAAACGCGAGAACATTGTTAGAGGTTGTTCACACAAAAGAGCAGCATTATATTTTGCTCATGATAAAACGTATGAAAGAGCAGGAAGAACTGGGGGTGGTGGCATGAGACAGGAAGCTCACAAGAAAGCCCCTGCCCCAGGAACCACAGGTCTGCCTCTCCCACGAGGCAGATAGATGACAGCAGGTGGGAACAGGAACCCCTAGAGCAGATGCTTGGACTTGAGTCCTGGCTTCCCACTCCTAAGCCGTGTGATCTTGGACAGGCCACACAACCTCTCTGAGCCTGTTTCCCCATATTCAGAATGGGTTTAATTATAACGTCTTAATTATAGTGAAGTTAACCTTGGTAAGGGGCTCTGAGCAGTGCTTGAATGGCAAGAACTGTGTCTGTGCTTCTTTCAAACTAGATTTGATATGGTTATTATCAAAAGAGAATTTTGTTTAATATTAGAGGCCCCTAGCTCTTAAAATCAGCTTTATTATTGGAGATTTTATTTATTTATTTACTTTTTAGAAAAATAACTTTGCTGCTTTGAGGGTAAAACTCTCCCTCCCAACTTCTGCACGTTGAGCAATGGTTCTGGCTCTGTGTAGCAGGAGAGCCACAGGGAGAGGACTTGACCATTCAGCAAGTCGCTGTGGCTTGTCTGAAGCCAGGGTTTTGGTTTTGTTTTCCGCTTTGGGGACATGAAGGACATCAGGGTCTTTATTGGAGGCTGTCTTAGGTAAAACTGTGCTAGAGACTGTTTCCACTCTGTGCATTTGTCACATAAATTAATGTTCCAAAAATGCTCCCTCGCAGAAGGTCTATGTAGGTGTAGGAACATACCTGGATGGATGGGACAGGCTGGACATGGGTGATGAAATTATTGACTCTCCAACTATCATAAATTCAGTTGTTAAGCCTGTGGAATTTGGCAGTCTGGACTTACTGGAAGTGCTGTCCAGGGACTCACTGATGCATATGGGGGTGCTGGCAGGTGTCTTCCACTCTGTCCTTTTTAAACATTTGATGGTTTGGCTCTGTCCAAATGCATGGCTGCCCTGTAACCGGAGAGCTGTCTATTGTGCTGAGAAGAAAAATTTCCAAACAGGAACATAGCACACATCTTTGAAGATGCAAGATTATCTGTCTGTAACTGGTTCAAACACACCTAGTGTTCGATTACAAGAAATTGTCATTATAGTAAGTCAATACTAATTACTCTACATTTTTATGTCATGGTGAGCATAGGAACAGAACACAAGGAAAACATCCTAGTTCATTTTCTCTTAACTCTGATAATGCCAATGTCTAACTTTGCTTATTTCAAATGTATAATCCAAGGGAAATAAATCAAGACTCTAATACAATGATTAAAGGCATTATTGGAAGACCTCCAAAGGCACCCAAATAAAATTATTTAATCTAAATCTACTGTATTCTTACACATGTCCACATCCCAGCCCCAAATCCACACATTTTCTCATACGTGTGTTTGAAGTTGCGTTGGAAGGGGATAAACTAAATTAGTTTCTGTTGAGCCAAATGCTTTCTGGCATGAATTATGCATCATCTGTGTAAGCTACAGAACTTAAAAGTACAAATAAGTAAATGTCACTTCTGAGTTTTCCTCAAAGAGCCTTCTGATTTGAAGCATACTATGGACATAAATACTGCAACTATTCTTTTAAATGTCAAAGAATGCAAAATTTACTCTTTATACATAAAAATCTCTCTCTCTCTTTCTCTCTCTTTCTCCTCTCTCTCTCTTTACCTCTCTCTGTCTTCTGGATCTCGATATAGTATTCATGAAGATTAGTATCAGTAATGAGCTTAGAAAATTCAGTAATTTTTGTTCCATGATGTTACAATGTGAGCACTTGGTTTGGCTGTGTGACTTATGAACTAAATTACAAACTACCAGAATTATAAGAAAAAGGTATATCTATAACGATTACCAATACCTACCAAAATAAGTAAATTAAATCTAGCTTTATACACAGCAGGGGCTAAATGTAAATTCTAAGACCTTGGTTTTGCTAGGAATACTGGAATGAAAAAGCCCCCAATATTTTAGAGATATTTATATCATAGGCTTAATGGTCAAAATGTCATGCTATATTTTCTCATTATTCCTCCACCCCCAAAGATTTTGATTGATTTGAGCTCCATTCCATTGGGAGGATAATCTCTGAGCAAATGATTTTGGCAGGCAAGATAACTGGTGTGTTTCACCCGATAACTGTCTTTGAAAAACAGACTGCTAAGTTGCAGTGGTGTGTTCCCCAGGAATAAGATGATCACGTCTCAATCCAACAAATGCCAAAAATCGGGTTATGTACATAGGTTGGTTTTAGCCATGAAAGTCTTTGTAAGACATCATTTTCACCCAGGCATTTGTAAGGGCAGGTCTAAGATCATTTCCTGAGTGTGCGTCTCAAAAGTTACCATCGTCCTTTGCTTTTGCATCCCAGGTGTAACTATGTGTGTGAGGCAGGCCAGAGGCTCAGAGCCAGAGTAGTGCTGAGCTGTGGTCAGGGGCAGAAAGAAAACTAAGAGCTGGTGTTTTCCTTAAATGCTCTGCCTCTGTGCCTTGCACTGTTGATCTTCCACTTTGGCTGTGGGAGAAGTGGCGGAGGGAGAGCCTGTGTGTATATACATGATTTGTGGGAAAGTGCAGGATTAGTGGATGTTGTCTTATCTTCCCTTTTTTTTTTTTTTTTTTTTTTTGAGACAAGGTCTTGTGATCATAGTTCACTGCAGCCCCAAACGCTGGGCTCAAGGGATCTTCCTGTAGCCTCCCGAGTAGTTAGGACTACAGGTGCATCCCACCATGCCCAAATAATATTTTGATAGAGACGGGGGTCTCGCTATGTTACCCAGGCTGGTCTTGCTCTCTTGGGCTTCAGTGATCCTCCCGCTTTGGCCTCCCAAAGTGCTGGGATCACAGGCATGTGCCATGCCACCTGGCCGGTCTATGCTTTCTTAATCTTGTGCTTTTAAGCCATGATTATCCAAAGCAATGGAACTAGAGTAAGAATCCATCTCAATCAACTTCTCTTTTATGGAATGTCCTTCTTCTTCCCACAAATCCAAGTACTCAGCATCTCATTTCCAGCCCCAGCTTCTACAGGAAGCGCACCCTGGTTCCCGGCTTACCTCCTTTCCCTGGAACCCTCAAGCACTGTGAGTCGGGCCTGCATCATTTAACCATCAGCTGTGCTTGTTTGCATGCTCAGTGTGAATCTTGTTTTCCCAGTGAGGTTAGGACTGCCTTGAGTGATGGGAGCATTTCTTATATCCCTCGACCTGACTTCCCTCACCATCCAAGAGGGTACACACGCATTGGAAAAATGTTGAGCCACTCGCTGGTTGGAACCGGAGACACTAATGTCAGATTCATGTGCAGCTGGCCCTTGTTAGCTGGGGAGAATCTGATGACTCAAGGGTCTACCCGAAGACACAGCAGGCTCAGGAATCCCAGCCACGCCGCGAACCGGAACATTCACCTAGGGGTAGCATCCAGGTGTGGCCAAAGCCTGAGATCCTTCTGACTGCAATCCTCCATGGCCCTGTGGGTTCTTCAGTAAAAAAAAGTGTTCAACTAAGCCAAAGTCTGAGTGTGTGTGTGTGGGGGGGGCGGGGGGGCGGGCGGGGGACAGAAGGGTGTACAGGGTTAGTTGTAATCATTTTATAGGACAATTAAAAGCCAGAAATAAGTAATGCAAATTGTGAAATGTATGGTACGACGTTTTAGTGTCTGAAATGATTAAAAAGTTACAAATTATTAAAAGGATAGAAAATAAAAGCAATCAAAATAATGCTCATTCACAGACATTGGAAGGACTGAAGGGGTTTTCCAGGAGCTCGTGGGGCTGGCTTTATGCAAAATGACCTTGTTTGAGCGTTGTTTTAGGATTCAGAACATTGGGTAGGGGTGAGTGAGCCTGCTGCATCTGGGATCATGAAATGTTACCGACCTTGCTCTTCCTCTGTAACTCCCCAGGACTCTTCTTTTCTTGTGTTTGTTTTGTTTTTTTCCTTTTCCCATACTTTCTTTTCTTTTTTTCTCCTCTTTTCTTTTTTTTCTCTTCTTTTCTCATTTTTTTCTTTGTTTTTACCAACAAAGACACCATGCTCATTTCTGCCTGTTATTTATTTATCCTTCTCCCACACCCCTGCCTGAGGTCGGTCTCCAAATTTCTTTTTTGGAAGTAGTATTACATTTTTTTTGTAGTTTAAATTGCACTCTATAAGGGTCACCCTTTTTAATGCGCAGGCCTGAGTTTTCACTGGGTGATCACTACCACAATCAAGAAACAGAAAATGGATGGGCACGGTGGCTCATGCCTGTAATCCCAGCACTTTGGGGCCAAGGTTGGAAGATTGCCCGAGGCCAGGAGTTTGAGACCAGCCTGGCCAACACAGCGAGACCCTATCTCTACAAAAAAAACAAAAAAAATTAGCTGGGTTTGGCGGTGCACATCCATAGTCCAAGCTATTTGGGTGAGGTGGGAGGATTGCTTGAGCTTGGGAGGTCAAGGCTGCGGTGAGCTGTGATCACACCACCTCACTCCAGCCTGGGTAACAGGTCAAGACCCTGTCTTTGAAAAAAAAAAGAAAGAAAAGAAATAGAAAGTCTTACCACTCTCCCCAAATTCTCTTGTATCATTTTGAACTCAACCTCTAACCCCACTGCCAGGCCCTGGCAACCTCTGGTCCACTTTGTCTCTGGAGATGTAACTTTTCTGGAATGTCGTACACATGAAATCATAAAGCATGGAGCTTTTTGAATCTAACATCTTTCTTATACCAGAAAGCATTCTGATTTATGTTTTCACAGGAGTGTTACATTTTATTGAAGAGTAGTAATCCCATGTCCACACATACCACAGATGAAGAGCACAAGGCTGATTTCCAGTCCTCTGTGATCACGAATAAAGCCATTACGAAGATTTGCCTACTGGCTTTTTGCGTGATCTCTTATTTTCATTTCTTTTGGGTAAATGTCTAGAATGGAATCTTTGGATCATCGGGTTATAGGGTGTTGAATCATGTAGGAAACTGTCAAATTATTTTTCAAAGTGGCTGTGTTATTCTGCATACAAACCAGCAATGTGTGAGGGTTCCAGTAGCTCTGGGTCCCTCCCAGAGCTAGATACAGAATGTTCTTTCTTTTTTTCTTTTTTTTGAGACAGAGTCTTGCTCCTTCACCCAGGTCCTTCCCTGGCTAGGAAGGAAGCTTGGGTGTCCTGAAGGTCCAGCTACACTTCCTCTGCTGAAATGGGGCTTACCCCGAGTCCCCAAGTCCAGGGCAGCTCTTTTCTAATATGTACATTTATTGATATAATTTTCCTTTCAAATATGGCTCTAGCTGCCTTTTGTTGTTGTTGTTGTTGTTGTTTTTGAGACAAAGTCTCACTCTGTTGCCCAGGCTGGAGTGCAGAAGCCTGATCTCAGCTCACTGCAACCTCTGCCTCCTAGGTTTGAGTGATTCTCCTGCCTCAGCCTCCTGAGTAGCTGGGATTACAGGCAAATGCCACCATACCTGGTTAATTTTTGTATTTTTAGTAGAGACGGGGTTTCACCATGTTGGTCAGGCTGGTCTTGAACTCCTGACCTCAAGTGATCTGTCTGCCTCGGCCTCCCAAAGTGCTGGGGTTATAGGCATGAGTCACCACACCAGGCCTGGTACTGCTATTAAAGGACAACAATAACATTCTAATGGAGGTGCAGGAGTGTCTCTTTGTGATTGTGACTTGCTTTTCCCTAATGACTAATAATGATCAGCATTTTTATATGCACATTTGCATCTTTTTTTATTAGAGTATCCATATATTTTGCCCTTTTTTATTTGGATTTTTGTTTTTTATTATTGAGGTTTCAGAGGTCTTGATGTACTCTGAATACAAATCCTTTACAAGCATGCGCTGGCAAATATCTCCTTCCAGTCTGTGCCTTGTCTTTTCATTCTCTTAACAATGTCACTCCTAGAGCGCAAAACTGAATTCTGATGAAAGTTAATTTCTTAATTTTTTTTATTTTATGAATCATGCTTTTGGTGTCTTATCTATGAAATATTTACCGAACCCAAGCTCACGAAGACTGTAGGTTCAGAGTTCATATTGGAGTGACTAAACACAAAGATTCTAAAATGTGAAGTATAAACTATTATAAAACACAAAACAACAGAAACAAGACTCTTATGTTGAACCCACATTGCCTGTATTTCCGTCTCCCCATGGCTCACTCATGAGCGATGGTCTTGGTACCAGGGGCCACAGAGCAAGCAATTCCAATGACAGTGAAGTTACAGGTTCCTCACTGTCTATGTGTACTCTCACGTAGCAGGAAGCCCTGTGTGTCCTCCCTCTCCTAAAACAATCATGCCCACGACACCCTGGCCCTTTTCTTTCCTTTTGACTTGCATCATTTTAGTGAACTAATATTTCATTTCTCTTGGGAACCAATGAACAAATTTCATTAGTTCATTGGGAGCTAGTGAACTAACACCTCATTTCTCTAGGGAACTAATATTGAGCATCTGCCTGAAGCTGAAGTTCCTCTTTGGAATCCAAGCCATCAGGAAACCTACAATTTGCAGAACTGTTTATAAAGAGTATTTACTTATATTTTCTACTTTAAAGGGAAAAGAAAAAAAATGTAAGTGAACCTTGTTGTGGACTGAATGGTGTTCCCCCCAAATTCATATGTTGAGGCCCTAACCCACAGTGTGACAGTTTTGGGAGTTTGGACCCTTAAGGAGGTCATTAAGGTTGATTAATGTCATAAGGATGGGGCCCTAATCCAATAAGGATTGGTTTCTTTATAAGAAGAGGAAGACAGTTTGAGAGGCCGAGGCAGGCTGATCACTTGAGGTCAGGAGTTGGAGACCAGCCTGGCCAACATGGTGAAACTCCGTCTGTACTAAAAATACAAAAATTAGCTGGGTGTGGTGGTGGGCACCTGTAGTCCCAGCTACTCAGGAGGCTGAGGTGGGAGAATCACTTGAACCCAGGAGGCAGAGTTTGCAGTGAGCTGAGATGGAACCACTGTGCTCCAGCCTGGTGACAGAATGAGATACTGTCTCAAAAAAAAAGAGGAAGAGACACCAGAGATCTCGCCCCATACATGCACAAAGCAAAGGCCATGCGAGGACACAAGGAGAAGGTGACCATTGACAAATCAGGAAGAGAACCTTTATTAGAAACCAACCCTGACCGCACCTTGATCTCGGACTTTCAACCTCCACAACTGTGAGAAAATAAATGTCAGTTGTTTCAGCTGCCCAGCTATAACAAATATCTAATTATCTTTAAGATTTTTAAAGGATAGGAGGGCTTTCTCCTTCTTGGCAAAGTCTGACCCTGTGTGAAGACAATGGAAGTTCTCTTATCCTGGTGACCCCTATTAACAAATGTCTAACCACTTAAACTAGAAATAATTGACACATGGTTCATATACATTCAGCTTTAGAAATACAATCACAGGTCTGACGAAAACGTCCACACACTTCACACCTGGATCCACATAGTGGATGAATAACTCTTTACAATCTTTTAATTATTTTTAGAATTTCATTATTAGATAGCACTTTATTTTCCTATTACGGGAGTTATTTTGTTAAATATAAACATTCTAACAATGTTCCACTTTTTGTAAGTTTGTTTTGGCACGTCTTGTCTTCCTTTTTGCCATTCCTGGATCTTGGTGAAAGGCCCTTGGCTTGGTGCATTAGGCCATGAGCATGTTTAAAAATAAACAGCATTGCTTTTGCTTGTCATTTGTTCTAATATTTAGAAACATCCATCAGTAATGTGAAAAAAAATACTAAATAAAAATCATCTTTTAAAATAAAGGCATTTTTGGTATTGGTGCTCCCAGGGGAGCCAATTAACTGGAAATGATGAGGAACATTTCCAGCTCTCCACTCCTGTCTTATTGCTTCTCCTCTGACACACCTCTGGCCTGGGCAGGTGGAGGAAGGTGTCATTCATGGTCTCTGATTTCCCAGTAGACAACGGACAGCACTGTCAACCCTGGTCACATAACACGGAGGAGCTTTACAGCAGTATTTTTTTTCTTGATATATAATATTTGCACCTATTTATAGGTACTTGTGATATTTTGATATGTGCATAAAATACATCATGTTCGAGTCAAGGGATTGAGGTTATCCATCACCTCGGTACAGCGGTGTTTAGTTCACTCTGCTTTAACCTTATTCTAACTATTTGTCCTGAGAATGCACTAGGTGTGTCTTATTTGTTCTAATATACACATATATTTTTCATTCCATGACAATTCACATATTTCTTGGGTTCTCCATACCCCAAGCACTGGGTAAGTCGACAGACCCAGATCCTGCCCTCAGGAAACCTGCAGTTGAGGGACTGGATAGCGTGGAATGCTCTGTGTAGGTTTGGATGTATCTCTTGGTGTGCCTCTGACCCCTGTCTAGTGTGAGCTTTCCCAGGGCAGGGAGTGTGTCCATCTTTCCATACTTGGTGTTCAGCCCAACATTAGGTAGACTGATGGTACCCAGCAGAAGAAATGAAAGAATGAACCCACCTCTGTTCTTTACGAGATGTGTGACTTGGATAATTTCATGCAAACTCTTTGCACTGTTCTTCCTCATTTGAAAATCAAGGATAATAGTGGTGATCTCTTAGGGTTCTGGTGAGGATTGGTGAGCATAAATGATAGGACTCGGACCTTGTAGGTATTAATAACTCTTGTGTTGTGTGGCCCATAACTCCTGCTATGAGAAATGTTCCACAACCCTACATGCAATAAGGTTATCAGCAGCCTACATGCTTTGTGACACTTCTAAGATTTACTTTATCTCTGAGAGAGGACCCAGAGAGTTTGCAAGATAACGATGGATTAAATAAGGTAGGTGTTTATTTTCCTTTCTGTAAAAGTGGTCTAGGTTGGGGAAATCCACAGCAGATAAGGCAGCTCCATGCTGTTACAAGGACTTGTGCTCCTGGCTGCTTCTTAGCCACCATTATTCAATAATGAACATGAATTCCTACTCAAGGTCACTTCAGGGCCCACGGTGGCTATGGAAACTTTAGCCATCCCATCTGTTTTTTAGGCTGGCATAAAAACTGAATGGGAAAGACAAAAAGATTCCTTCTAACTGAATTAGCTCCTTTCTCCAGAGACTTACCAAGCATTCTTTATGACATTTTCATTGTATCTCACAGAGCTAAAGTCAGTCATGTGGCCAGCCATACAGATATACAAAGGAAGATAGAAAAAAATGTGTGTGTGTTTTTAAAAAAGGTATCAGTTGCCTTTTACCCAGTGAAAATGTGAGGTTCTATTGCTTTAAAACATAGAATAGATATTGGCAGGTGCATCAGTGAGAATATCTCTAATTGCAGAATCTAAAGTCTGGCTGAAGGTAGGTCCGGGACCAGGGTTTCAAATCCAGTGACTCCAGGGCCCGGCAGAGGGAGAGAAGCAGAGTGCGAGAGCAGACAGCAGTGCAGTGCCGTGTGGAGAGCTGAGCTGTGTTTCAGGCTGAAAGAAGCAGGTCTCACTTGCACGACTGCATTCCCAAATCAAATCAAATCAAAAACAATATGCGCAGTGGTGGCTGAATCTGGTCTGACTCGCGCATTTATAGTTAATGTAAATACTCATGTGTTATACTGTCTTTTTCAAATATTGTGTCCATAGTTTTTCATTGTGGTGGTCATTGAGGTTTTATTTTAAACTCATGGATATAAAATGTGAAGACCCCCAATTGTAGATTACCGTAACAGTTCTCAGCTGGATGACCTCTCTCGGGCTCGAAGGGTCGTTGGGTAATTTGAGTGAGGAGCATGGCTAGATTGGTAGCTGGGAAGAGCCATGTGTCAATGTCCAGGCTGATGGAGTCAACGCCACTCGGCCCCAGCCCATCGCTGCTGCAGAAAGACGAGTCCAGTGCAGACAGGTATTCGAATGTTTCAAGAGAGACAAGAAATCTTGATTCTAATCATACCAATGATACTTACGGCTGTTGGTTGAATTGTGTCCAAGGAAAGATAGGTTAAAAATTTAATTCCAAGTACCTGTGAATGTGATTTCTTGGATTACTGATCCTGGAAGGCCAAAGTGTTATAACTCATGCAGAACAAAGGATTAACCTATAAGATGAAATTCACCCATAGAGAAACTGCTTTTGATTAATTACAGTTTAAACGCTCTATTTTTTTTTCTTACCTAACTTGATGCTAAGGGTAAAAATCAAAGTACTGCATCAACTGGGCAGATCACATCCCAGAATCTCAGGATTTTATTTTTGGAAGAGACGTCCCCACTCCCAGTTCCTACCTCTCCCCATAACTCATTTAGATTCACGTCATCAAAAATAAGATTTTTCTATTCCACTGATCTCATCTCGGCAACTTGCTTAGCAAACAATGCTTTCCTTCTCTGAGGGCTTCTCGGAATTGTATTTGCCAACATCAGCTCTAGGTAGCGCCTAGAAATGGATGTATTTACTTGCAAATGTGCTTGTAACTGCTTTAAAATGATTACTATGGCCTCAGTCTCAAATCCTTCCTTTTACATTCCTTTGCCATATTCATATTTTCCGGGAAAGATCTCTTTAGAGGACTTGCACTTTTATTGGGCCGGAAAAAAAACTTAGCATGACCTACATTTCATCTGTCACCTTTTGTATATTTTTGTCATGAATGCAAAATATTAGAGTCATTCAAGATCATGCTGAGTAGTAAAATGGAAAGAGGTAAATGGCAGGATAGTTGCTTTTTTATGTTCTGACTAAATAGACTCAAAGGAATCCAGGGGCATTTCATAATACAAAATAGAAACTACAAGCAAAAGATACAAGAATATGTATTATGTTATTAAACAGCAAAGTAGGTGAGTAAGAAGGAGAATATTGATGGAGTTAACCCAGTCAGCACCTATACCACCGTAGCCGCTAACGAGACCAGACATCAAAGGAGATGAGTCTTGGAGTAACACGTCCTCAGCTGGAGACACTCAGCATGGCCTTCCTCTTTAGGGGAAGTAGCTGGAGTCTGGACTGGGAGAGAGAGAGTAGAAGCACCCCCCAGGCTGGGCTCCTTCATGTTCTTTGGGGGCTCAAAGGTAATGTGTGTCACAGAGCTTTGCTTTGACGCCTCTCAGCCTCAGAGCATAGAGGACGGTTCTGGCCACTGGCCAGCCTTCTCCCAAGGTCAAGGACATGAAACTGGCATGATGTGCACTGACAATTAAATGTTTGCAAAACCCTTGGTTTTTCTTTGGAGGAAACTGGAACCCATAGAGGTGAAAAAAAAAAAAACACCTTACCCAAGATCACAGAGCTCATGAGGGATCTTGGATTTTAATTTTAGGAGAGGTCAAAAAAACAATGAGTTTGCTGTAGGGGTTGATTTTTCCACCTGTGAGGAGCCTGTTGGGAGGACAAGGGCAGGGATGAGGAGGTCAGTTTGAACTTCATTTGCTTTTTACCAGCGGTGTGACCTTGGGCAAAGGATGAGCTTTCTCTCTGCCTGAAGTCCCTCACCAGTGACATGGGGTCCAGTGGAAGCTCCATTCTGTGGGTACGTGGAGAAACTTAAATGAGATGCTGTGCATGGGGTCAGGCTCGTGGCTGGCCCCACATAGAGGAGTTCCCACTCTTCATTGTACATGAACATAATGGCACCCAGCCCTATAGCCCTCCCAGCAGCAGGGAACACGTCCCCATACATGCTTTTGTGGTTGAGCTTTTTTACATTTTTACCCATGGGTTACGGTTTTAAATCAGGCCTTGAGTTAGCAAAGGACATAAATTGGCCCTTTTTTCTTTTCTATGAAGGAATCCAAGACCCTGACCTTCTCTAAGAAATTCTCCTCTATCTCAATGTTTCTTACCATCTACAAGTATTGTTGTAGTTGAGGCTGGAATGTTACTGCTTGACAGTCAGACTCAAGGATCTTGAAAATAAGGGGAAAGGTTTGCAGACGGCAAGGACCCTGAACTCCTTGGAATGAACATGACTGAGTCACTGAGGAGCTCCCGTGCTCCAGGCTCTGCCATCTCATGTAATTATCACCTCATAGAATCCAGAAGGGAGTTGCTACTATTTATGCCTTCGCAGAGGGTGGATGTGAGAAGGAGAAGCCGCTGGAGGTGGAGAAGATGTGTAGGACTGCAGGTAGGGCTGGGAAAAGGCACAGCCAGGACACAGCCCAGACCGTCTGCCTGAAGGCCCCAGAGAAGCTCCTAACTGCCGTGTCATCCTGCCTTTCAACAAGGGAGAAAAACACAGGTTCACCTGTGCACAGATACACGCATCACAAAGCAAAGCATACACATACATCCATCACACATGTACACATGACCCACACAACACACGCAGCCACACACAGACACACACCCCCACTTATAAATGTATGTGTACACACAGATGCACACATGCACCACACACATGCATGCACATGCGTTCATCACACATGTACACACGATTCACACAATGTACACACAACTCACACAATTACACACCCACGTACAGACACATGTCTCACCCATGAATATATGTGTACACACAGATTCACACATGTACAGACACATGCACTATACATACACTCACATACACATGCATTCATCACACATGTACACATGACTCACATGACATACACACCCACATGAAGACACACACCTCTCACCCATAAACATATGTGTACACACAGATGTACATATGCACAGATATGTGCACCACACACTCACATACACATGCATTCATCACACATGTACACACGACTCACACAATGTACACACGACTCACACAATGTACACACCCACATACAGAGACACACGTCTCACCCATAAATATATGCATACACACAGATTCACACATGCACAGATACATGCACTATACATACACTCACATACATATGTATTCATCACACATGTACACACGACTCACATGACATACACACCCACATGAAGACACACACCTCTCACCCATAAATATATGTGTACACACAGATGTACATATGCACAGATATGTGCACCACACACTCACATACGCATGCATTCATCACACATGTACACACGACTCACACAATGTACACACCCACATACAGAGACACACATCTTACCCATAAATATATGCATACACACAGATTCACACATGTACAGATGCATGCACCACACATGCACAAACATACACATGCATTCATCACACATGTACACACGACTCACACAATGTACACACGACTCACACAATGTACACACACACACACACCTCTTACCCATAAAGTACGAGTAGACACAGATGCATGCATGCACATACACATGCATTCATCACACATATACACACAACTCACACAACATACACACCCACAGACAGACACACACATCACACCCATAAATGTATGCACACACACAAATGTATGCATGCACACGTGCACACACATGTATAGATACAAGCACAACACACTCATAAAGATACACACATACATTGCACCCATATTCATAACTCACATGATATACATGCCCACATACAGACACATTGCACTCACCCATAAACCCTCACATACACAGATACACACATTCTGGTACATGCAGCACACACACTCGCAAACACAGAGTCATCACACACATGCACACGACTCACACAATGTACACACCTGTGTATAGATACTACGTACCACTCACACATAAACACAAACATACTTGCAGGTACACACACGGATACACACTACAAACACATCTCCACATACACATATGCCACACAGACTCACACATACATATGCAGTACACATACATACTTCTGTTCATGCACACACACTTTTACATGCTCATGTGCTCACTCCACCACACATAAACCACACATTTACACATACTAACACATGCACACACTCACACACATAAACAGAAGCTCGCACACACAGGAATCACACGCGTACATGCACACACGGGTATTGCCAGCCTGCACGCTCCCAAGGAGGTTCATACTCCTGTCTAGATATGTGAAGAGACTGCACCCTATTTTGCACCCTTGCTCGTGGTCAGGTTTTGGGGATGGCTCCCCTATTTAGACTCTTCCTCTCACGAAGCTGAAAGGAAACGTTCACTCAGGGCTTTCTCTCATCACTGTAGGCTCTGAACTCCCTCGCCCTTCAGGTCAAATAACGTGTACCCTGCTGGTTCCGGGAAGCGCTGCTATCACAGAAAAACACACCCGCTGCTCCAGCCCTGTGGGAATACGGCACCGCATCTGCCTGTGGTCTCTGTCCAAATTTCCAAAGACAATGAAAAGTAATGGTGACGATGATGTCGATGATGACGAAAACAATAATAAGTGAGAAGAATCGCTCACTAGGTCCCAGGCACATTGCCAAGTGGCTTACATATTGTCTTCTCCTATGATAAGTATTTTTAGTCCTTCTTTCATAGATGAGTAAATTAAGGTACAGAGATGACAAATAATTGGCCCAAATCCAATAGCCAAGAAGTCACAAAATCAAGATTCACAACAGTTCCCTTTGGGTCTGATCCTAGAGTTGTACCCTTCCCCATTCCATGGCATTAGGGAGGCGGAAGGGAACTCCCTTTCTGCTTCCTGGAATCCAGGCTGGCTTGGTGACTTGCCGACCACAGAACGCTGTGGAAGGGACATTCTGGGGCTTCCCATCTCCAACATAAGAAGGTAAGAAGGCTGCAGCTTCCACCGGGCCTCTTGGGCTGTGTACTCTTGACACTCTTGCTCTGAGAACTAAGCAGGCATATTTCATATCAAAATAGTAAAGAACTTCCTTTCCAAAGGCAGGACTTGCTTCTGTGAGGTACTGAGCCACCCGTCCCTGGAGGAAAGCAAGAACAGAGCAGATCAGAGCCCAGGCAGACATCTTGGATGATGGGTGAGTGCGATCGGCTATGTGGCCCGAGTCTCATATTCGCAAGAGACTTCACATGCAACTTTTGAAGTTCAGAACCAGGACGCAGACAGTGAAATGATTGAAGGAAGACATTTATCAAAATTTCCTCCCACAGGGCTCATGGCCAGACTTCATCACGTGCAGGGGTCATGTAATCTTACCACATTAAGTTACTACACTCACGTCACTGTGCACTCTGTGGGAGTGTGTCCCCATGTCAACTTGTAAATATATAAGTGTATTCTACATTACTTCAAAGCCCGTTTTGTAATTCCTTCATTAAAAAAAAGAAGTTTTCGGCCGGGCGCAGTGGCTCACGCCTGTAATCCCAGCACTTTGGGAGGCCGAGGTGGGCGGATCACGAGGTCAGGGGATCGAGACCATCGTGGCTAATGTGGTGAAACCCCGTCTCTATTAAAAATACAAAAAAAAGTAGCCAGGCATGGTGGCGGGCTCCTGTAGTCCCAGTTACTCGAGAAGCTGAGGCAGGAGAATGGCGTGAACCCGGGAGGCAGAGCTTGCAGTGAGCCGAGTTCTCACTACTGCACTCCAGCCTGGGTGACAGAGCAAGACTCCATCTCAAAAATAAATAAATAAATTAATTAATTAATTTTAAAAAAGACATTTTCTTAGAGCCTTAAAAAGTTATTGGGGGCTGAGTGCAGTGCCTCACGCCTGCAATCCCAGCACTTTGGGAGGCTGAGGCAGGTGGATCATCTGAGGTCAGGAGTTTGAGACCAGACTGGCCAACATGGTAAAACCCTGTCTCTACTAAAAAAAAATACAAAACATTAGCCAGGTGTGGTGGTGGGCACCTGTAATCCCAGCTACTCGGGAGGCTGAGGCAGGAGATAATTTGAAGCCAGGATGCGAAGTTTGCAGAGCTGAAATCATGTCATTGCACTCCAGCCTGGGCAACAAGAATAAAACTCTGTCTCAAATAATAATAATAATAAATAAAAATAAGTAAATAAAAGTTATTGGGCCCTCCCTTTGTGCATCCTCTGAGAGGTCATGGGCTGGATGACCAGGCGGTGTGGTTGTGCTGGAGGGGACTTCAGCGTGGAATGAGGGGTGACCTGCTGGTGATCTTTCTGCTCTCAGCCGCTGTGGTCTTCGGAGATGAGACGAGGCAGATGCAGTGAGATTGTGCAGATAATGTCTCCATCAGGGGATGAGTTGCTATAGCACCCAGAGTGATTTCAGGAACAAAAAGGGTCATGCCCTAGCCTGTCTTCAATGGCTCATAGCAACCCCTATTGCCTCATCACCCTATTCTCCAATATTCCTCTAATATCTTCCATTGTGGAGACATCCAACATAAAGTAGAGTAGAATTGATTCAAAAACACTGCTTGAACTGCCTAAATTAGAATCATTCTTAGCTTCTCAACATACAAATATAAGATAAAGGAAAAGAATGTTGTTCCCCTCCCTGTGTCCATGTGTTCTCATTGTTCAACTCCCACTTCTGAGTGAGAACATGTGGTGTTTGGTTTTCTGCTCCCGCGGTAGTTTGCTGAGAATGATGGCTTCCAGCTTCTTCCATGTCCCTGCAAAGGACATGAACTCATTCTTTTTTACGGGTGCATAGTATTCCGTGGTGTATATATGTCACATTTTCTTTATTCAGTCTACCATTGATGGGCATTTGGGTTGGTTCACACCAGGCCTTGTCAGGAGGGAGGGGTGGGGAGGAAGGGGCGAGAGAGCATTAGGACAAATACCTAACGTACGCGGGGCTTAAAACTTAGATGACGGGTTGCTAGGTGCAGCAAACCACCATGACACATGTATACCTATGTAACAAACCTGCACGTTCTGCACATGTATCCCAGAAATTAAAGTTTTTGAAAAAGAAAAAGAAACTGCATTAAAAAATTAAATGAAGTTATGAATATATGTTTTTTGTTTAATCAGCAACCCCTCTACTATTCTGGTAGAAGCTGCTCAATTTGCTTCGAGGATCCAGACTCCCTCCCTCCCAGTCTGTGTGTTGGGGCCTAAAGGATGTTCACTCACCCACCTTTCCTGGCTCCAGAGCTGTTTACACTTCCCAGGATGGTTTTTTTTTTTCCTGTTTGTTTTGTCTTCTGCTTATAGGTGAGATCTTCCTGGGGTTCTTGCTGTACCTGCTGACAAGGGGCAGCTCTCTCTAAATGCCACGGAGCTGGAAGGCTGCAGCCTGGAACTTGCTGCAGCCCACCCAGGCAAGCAAGAGATGACATAGTTTCAGCACCTGGATCTATGGCACCCAGAAGCCAGATCCAACCCCCCAGCCCTTATCTTTGACCTTGAGCCAGTCTGAACTGGTAACTGGAAGTCACTTATCTACCAGATTCAACTATCAGGATGTTACTAATAAAAAATGACTCCAAAAATGAAAATGTGTTTCACAATATTTTCATGCAAAGACTTCGGGATCTATTTATACTCGACACCAACCATCTTGGTTATCTGATTTTTTAGTTCTCAGCAGCTGCTAAGCTGTAAATTAGGAGAGGATGCTAATGGTAGCCACACGGAGAGTAAGGAGAGTGATGGTCTAAGGGAGGAAAAATATCTGAATAGACATTTTTCAAAAAAGACTCAAATGGCCAAAAGTTGGAACTTGGATAAGTCAGTAAGGTTTCCAAGCATGGAGCTTGCATGAGTCAGCAAGGTTTCCGAAGCATGGAGCTTGACTTGGGAATGGGTTGGGAGCATTTGTAGGAAGATAATTTCTTTTCCTTTTTTTAAATATGAAGAAATGGGCTGGGTGTGGTGGCTCACGCCTGTAATCCCAGCACTTTGGGAGGCCGAGGCAGGTGGATCACTTGAGCTTAGGAGTTTGAGACCAACCTGGGCGACATGGTGAAACCCCATCGCTACCCAAAATTACAAAAATCAGCCGGATGTAGTGGCTCACACCTGTAGTCCCAGGTACTCAGGGGGCTGAGGCAGAAGGATCCCTTGAGCCCGGGAGGTGGAGGTTGCAATGAGCTGAGATCGTGCCACTGCACTCCAGCCTGGGCGACAGAGTGAAACCCTGTCTCAAGAAAACAAAGAAAAAGAAAAAATATTCAACATCTCTATGCCTCAAAGAAATACAATTCAAAACTCCAATGAGACATCATGTCACCTCAGTTAAAATGGCTTGTATTTGAAGGACAGGCAATAGCAGATGCTGGTGAGGATGGGAGGAAAGGGGAACCCTGGTCCACAGGTGCAACCTATGTTAGTGCAGCCACTGTGAAGAGCAATACGGAGGTTCCTCAAAAAACACTAAAAGCAGAACTACAGTATGACCCAGTAATTTGACTACCAAGTGGGGTATCCAAAAGAAAGAAGATCAATAAATCAAAAAGATCCCTGCACTCTCATCTTGATTGCAGCACTATTCACAGTAGCCAAAATGTGGAATCAACCTGAGTGCCCATCAATGAATGAATGGATACAGAAACTGTGATATAGACGCAGGATGGAATATTAGCTGTAAAAAAAGACTGATCGAGTCATGGGCAGCAACATGGATAGAACTGGAGGTCATTATGTTCAGTGAAATAAACCAGGCACAGAAAGACAAATATTGCAAGCTCTCATTCATATGTGGGGGATAAAAACAGGCATCTCATGAAGACAGGAAGTTGGTGGTTACAAGAGTCCAGGAAAGATAAGGACGAAGGTAGATAAAGAGGAGTTGATTAATGGGTACGAATATATGGTTTGCTAGAAGAAAGAAGACCTAGTGTTAGATAAATCAGCAGGGTGACTATAATTTACCATCATCTATTTTATTTTTCAAAATAGTTAGAAGAGGCCGGGCGTGATGGGTCACGCCTGTAATCCCAGCAATTTGGGAGGCCGAGGCAGGCAGACCACCTGAGGTCAGGAGTTTGAGACCAGCCTGGCCAACATGGTGAGACCCCGTCTCTATTAAAAATAGAAAAATTAGCCTGGCATGGTGGTGCACCCCTGTAATCCCAGCTACTCGGGAGGCTGAGGAAGGAGAATGGTTTGAACCCAGGAGGCGGAGGTGGCAGTCAGCCGAGATGTTGCCACTGCACTCTGGCCTGGGCAACAGACTGAGACTCCCTCTCAAAAAAAAAAAAAAAAAAAAAGGAAAAGAAATTCTCTTCCTACAAACCCTCCCAACCCATTCCCAAGTCAAGCTCCATGCTTCGGAAACCTTGCTGACTCATGCAAGCTCCATGCTTGGAAACCTTACTGACTCATGAGAGCTCCATGCTTGGAAACCTTACTGACTCCTGCAAGCTCCATGCTTGGAAACCTTACTGACTCCTGCAAGCTCCGTGCTTGGAAACCTTACTGACTCATGCAAGCTCCATGCTTCGGAAACCTTACTGACTCATGAGAGCTCCATGCTTGGAAACCTTACTGACTCCTGCAAGCTCCGTGCTTGGAAACCTTGCTGACTCATGCAAGCTCCATGCTTGGAAACCTTGCTGACTCATGCAAGCTCCA
This sequence comes from Homo sapiens, assembly GCF_000001405.40. Classification (NCBI taxonomy): domain Eukaryota; kingdom Metazoa; phylum Chordata; class Mammalia; order Primates; family Hominidae; genus Homo; species Homo sapiens. The sequence goes on along the minus strand of NC_000012.12, from coordinate 128,113,432 downwards.
TGCTTGGAAACCTTGCAGACTCATGCAATCTCCATGCTTGGAAATCTTACTGACTCCTGCAAGCTCCATGCTTGGAAACCTTACTGACTCATGCAAGCTCCATGCTTGGAAACCTTGCTGACTCATATAAGCTCCGTGCTTGGAAACCTTACTGACTCCTGCAAGCTCCGTGCTTGGAAACCTTGCTGACTCATGCAAGCTCCATGCTTCAGAAACTTTACTGAGTTACGCAGGCTCCATGATTCGGAAACCTTACTGACTTATGCAAGTTGTTGCTTTTCACTTGAGTATTTTTTGTAATGGGCACAAGAGGCACAAATATTTGGGAGTCATCCCCCTAAATTTCTGAAATTCCAGGAAATTTTGTGCCTTATATGAAGAAAGGAATTCTGCCTTTACAAAAAGTCGTCTTAATTCTACCAATTACGTAAACCTTTTACTCCCAACATTAAGGAAAAAAAAAAAGCAATGACTTATACACAGAGTTGCACCCACAGTTTCCTTCTCCATTTATATTTCTCAGCTGCGTGTGCTTTGGACACAGTGTAATAGCTTGGGGATTAATTATGCCCTCCACATCCTTTGCAGGGTACATCTTGCCATCCAGAGGCAATGCTGGAGCGGGCAGTTGTCTGCGGGGAGGCCCTGGCTCACTCTGGGCCAAATAACAGGACTGATTGCAGCCTGCGATGAAACATCCTGTTTCTCCCAACCAGAAACAGGTAGAGGTGAGTGATGTCTCTGAGGGGCGAGTACAAGTCACACCATTTGAATTTTCCTCTCCTCTGTACCAACTGACAGCTGGCTTCTTTGTCCTCAGTGTTTGCTAACAGGTTAATTAGCAGGACACGTACCCCACCAACCTTACAGGCAGCTGAAGGCATCTCCCTTAGCAAACCGAGGAGCAGGGCAGTGTGAGCCTGAGAGCTCTTGAAGTTTGCGCAGAGCTGGCACAGAGCAGAGGGAACTGACAGGCAAAGTCATTTGAAACATATTTTCTTTCTGCAAGGAGAGAAGAGCCCCAGTGAGAGAGTGAAGCAGATGAAAAGATAACATGAAAACCAACCAAGCAACGAACAGACAAACAAAATAACCCATTTCAAGTTCTCGGAGCCTGGTCTCATTTCCAGCCGGAAATTACTGCTGCAGACTGCAGGGTGCTCCCTGCACTCCCTGTGTATATGATCTAGTGGTTGCTAATGTCTTTAGAGAGAGAAAGACGTACACTGTTATGAGGTGAGTCCCCAGGAGTCAGGAATTTACCTGTGCCCTGGGGCAGGCACTGCCCTGGGGAGAGGAAGGAACTTCCTCATTAATTCATTCCACAGGGATGGATGCTGCCCTCAGCCTCTGCAGGGAGCTGTTCTGCGTGCTGGAGGTGGAGACGCCAGTGCCTCTGAGGGCCTCCTTTTTCTGACAGAGCTTGCAGAGAAGGCAGACATGAAATGGATGGTCACAGATGGGGTGGAGGTTACAGAAGGGGATGCATAGACAGCCAGGGAGTGCTTAGGGCTTGAATGAGGGGAATTGCAGAGGTGAGAAAAAGGGAACAGATTCCAAAGATATGAAGAAAGCGGATTTGTGAATGACTCCTGAATGTGACCATCCATCCTTGTGAGCAAGAAGACATGCGTTCTCAAGCCCATACATTGTGAACACCCTCACTAAAGCAGATTCTTCTTGGAAAATCACAACTGATACTGAGTCATCAATGATAGGAACAGGCAGCCTTACCAGGTTCAAAAGAAATTGATCATCAAGGACGCATCACTAGATAGAATCCAGCTACAGGGTCCGGAAGCCTGGGATCCAGGCCCAACACGGCCACCCTTTGTGTGACCTCCAATCAATCCTGTCTAGATCAGTGGCTCTCAGTCCTCTGCGGTTAGAACGGAGAGCTTGAGAGAGTGCCGATGTCAGATCCCCACCGCTGGAATTCTGCTTTGTCACCCCGGCAGTTCTCAAGAGCAGCTCTGGCGCTAAACCTGAAGCCACAGACTGCTGCAGTAATAGTTGTTAGCATCCCCTGGGCATAAGGAAAGAGATGCACCTCATGGAGATTGGGGTCAGACTGAGGGAAGAACTTTCAGAATTTAAATACAGAAGCTTCTATAATGCCTCATTCTAGGATATTGCTAAAAAGACTTCTTTAGTTGTGAGTAACATTAACCAGCTTGAGTCAGCTTATGGAAAAAGAAGGTTTTTATTAAAGAGCTGTGTTTGGGGGAGACCCAGGGCAAGTACACAGCCAGCTCCAGAAAGGACCCGGAGCCAGAGGAAGGGGCTGACTTGCCTCTGTGTCTCCCCTCTGCTCACTCTCTCTGTGCACTGACCTACCTGGTCTCTCTGGGCACAAGGGAGAGGGTGGCTGTCCCAAGAATGCCTGGTTGATAATTACGCATTCTTCAGTTACCATCCAAGCAGACACTATCCCTGGTTCCCAGCTAAACCTGGGACAATGAAGGTGACTCACCCACCTATGGCCATCGATCAGAGGAGATAGCCAGACAATTTCTTTAAAAGGATAAGTAAGTCGAATATATAGCACGCCAGATAGCAACACATCCAATTGAAAAATAATACATGGGAGGACTATAGGGCCACTGGTGGTGAATGTGGCATTGGACTTTATGCACAGGGGTCAGTGAAAATAGTGAAAAAAATGATATAAATATGTGTGTATATGGTAGAAACATGATATATATGTGTGCTATATTAGTTTATATATTTAGTCTACCTATACTACATAGTCTATACATACACACTATGTGTATATACTATATATGTATATATAATACTATATATACTCTATATAATACTCTGTATACTATGTATATATAACACTATATATACTATGTGTATATGTAATACTAGATATACTATGTATATATTTAATATAAGTAAAATAAATATATACACTAATATACCATACGTATATATAACATATTTATATCATATATGTATATTTATACCATACTTTTCACTATTTTTGCCGACCATGTGCATAAAGTCCAATGCCACTTATATTTAGTATACTTTTACTAAATATATATATGTCACTTATATTTAGTATACTTGTACTAAATTTATATATGCATGGCATATACATATACTAAATATATATGTGCTATATATATTATGCATATATACACACATGCATACACTTTGTACATATATTTATTATACATATTTCCCATGAACTACTGGGGATATACTTATACTAAAACTATTTATTGTTAATCCAAAATTCACATTTAATCGGGTCTTGTATTTTTACTCTCTAATGCTGACAACCCTTCTAACTTTAGAACTTTAATGACCTTGGTTGAGGAAGGCCTCACTGCTCCTTTTGAGTAAAGAGACCTGAAGGAGGCAGGTGCAGGAGTCCTGTGTGCCGCTGGCGAGGAGGATTTGTGAACAATGCCAGGCCCTGGGCAGAAGGGTCTTCGCGTGCTAGAGGAACAGGAGCGGCCATCCTGCTGTGACTGAGGAGTGAGGGAGAGGGCTGGGGAAAGGCGGAACAGTGGGCCCCGACGGGGTGAACCTGGGAGGCCGATGCCATGACCCTGGCCTTGACTCTGATGAGCTGGTCCCCCAGGGGAGGGGTCAGCAGAGGAGTGACACCATCTGGGTGGGCAGAGCTTAGGAGGCTCTGTCTGGCTGTTGGTTGAGAGATTCCACAGTCGGCTGGAGTAAGGACATCTGCAGGGAGCACTTGAAGGGCCTGTACTGTCCTCTAAGAGACAGGCGATGGTGGCCAGGACCTGATGTCAACAGAGGCAACAGCGAGACGTGATCAGAGCCTGGACAGGACATAATGGCATCATTTGCAAGGTGTAGTGCAAAATGAAAATGTGGGGCCTCTTGTTTAAAAACTATGAAGAAGTTCATGACCGTGATAGCAGAGCATTGAACCCCTTCCAAGCAAGGGACGCTTTGTGACCGCATGGTCATAAAGGAACCAGGAGGCTGGTCCTGATGGCATCCACAGCATTTGTTCACGAACTGTAGCATGGGAGAGAAAAGGAGACTCCAGCCTGATGAAATAAAGCTGCAGAGCTAGCACGGACCGATGCGGGAGGGGGCTGTGCGAGACACATTCTCAAAGGGGCAGTATTTCCACCAGGGAAAACGGCGGAACATCTTCTGGTCTTTCTAGAACCCAGTTAATTAAACATTAGTCATGCTAATCCCACAGTAATTTACAGTGCTCTTCAGCTCCACTATCCTCACCAACATTTGAAGTGGTGACAAGTTGCTTGCGGGTTGCACATCTGCATGCCGGTGAAAGAGGGTGCAAGGGTAATGTCAGATGTACTTAGTGACTTGCTGAGCATAATGTGATTTAAAAAATAATACTTTAAAATATCCTAATAAGTAAAACACTACATATTGATAGAAGCAATTAAAATTTTATAGATGCAAATAATGCCTGAACTAGAAGGGAACATTTTTCAACGTAAAATTTGTGATTTATATTAGGCGTTTATGTAAAATATATATACAACTTCCTTTCCATAGGAAAGTAATTTTTAAGGTGAAGTAATTATTTTATAGGAAGCTACTGATTTTTATATTTTTTGGTATTATCCACATATTTTGTTTTATTGTTTTTAATACTATACTTTTGTAGATTCTCTTGGGTTTTCTTAAAAGTAATTATATTGTCTGCAAAATAAATAATTTTGCTTTCTCTTCTTAGCCAATATTTATATATTTTGTTTTCCAAAAACTATAATGAGGGATTTTCTCCACAATAGTGACAAACATCATAAAACATGCAGAAATAAATAAGAATGAGATAAACATGTGTATGAATTATATGACGAAAACAATAGAACTCTGTTGAAGACTCATGTTATAGAAAGACTGCCCAATGACATGTACCTTCTCTGGGTATGATTCAACATCAGGGAGAACTCCTTTCCCCCACATTAATCTAAAAATGTGAGACGAACTCTGCTAGCATTCTAGTAGGATATTTATTGGATTTTCACAAAAAATTTTCAAAAGTTAACTTGATATAAGATAAAAGTGAGAAAATTCACTGTTCTCATCTGTAAGATGGAGATATGACAGTGCACACTATATAAGGCCACTGAGGAAGAAATGAATCAAGCACCAACATGCACTGGAACAACAGCACACACTCAAACATGCAAACAGTTGATGTATTTTCACTGTGGTACAGGAACTTCTGTTCTTCTGAAAATGACCATGTCTTTCCATGAGTGGGATTGTTAATTTGCGTAGTTTTAAATTTTGGTTAAATTTAAATTTAAAAAAAGTTGTACTTACATGGATAATAAGATTTTTGATGCTGAAAAAATACAAGTGAGAAAGTCCCAGAAAATGTTAAAGAACCACAAAAAAAAAAAAAAAAAAAAAAAAAAAAATTCAAGGGGTCAGCCTGGTTAGCCACTTAAATAAAAATTAAAGTTAGAGTAATTTAACCAACATTGTACTCATGCAGATATGGACAGGTCCATCAAGAAGAATATAGCCATGAAACCACTCCAAGTATATATGCAAATTTGGAACATTATGGAAATTAAATCACTTTGAAGGAAATTTAGGTTGTTATCTAATTATCAACTATATATTTAGAGAACAAGAAGCTGGCTTCTTACTTTATCCATGTCACCTAGCACAAATCAGATTGATTAAATTTTTAAATGTTCTTCATGAAACTGTTAGTATAGAAGAAAATTAGAGTGAGCAATACTTTTAAAAATAAGGCAAGATAGAACGGGCGCGGAGCCTCGTGCCTGTAATCCCAGCACTTTAGGAGGCCGAGGTGGGCAGATCACAAGGTCAGGAGATCGAGACCATCCTGGCTAATACGGTGAAACCCCGTCTCTACTAAAAATACAAAAAAAAAAAAAAGTTAGCCAGGCATGGTGGCGGGAGCCTGTAGTCCCAGCTACTCAGGAGGCTGAGGCAGGAGAATGGCGTGAACCTGGGAGGCGGAGCTTGCAGTGAGCCGAGATGGTGCCACTGAACTCCAGCCTGGGCGACAGAGTGAGACTCTGTCTCAAAAAAAAAAAAAAAAAAAAAAAAAAGACGGCAAGTTAATTGTAGGTAAAACAATGGGAAAATAATGCAACTCGAAGTTCAATGACAAGGGCACCCCAGGTTCAGCATCTGAGAGGTCAGAGCTGGGTAAAGAAGGGCAGGGTGTAGGTCCAGTGATGGAGAAGGTGGTACAAGAATGATCAGCTTCCTGGGCAAGCTCTGCTCTGTGGGTTTGGACTGAAGACCTGCTCCTGTCTCGATATTGCCATTTGCTGGTTGAGTATCCTTAGGCAACAATATTAAACTTTTTTGAGCTCACTTTCCTCCCCTGAATAGTGGAGGCATTTACTCCTGTTTGTTCACCATACAGGCCTATTCAGTCTTGCTTGAGTTCATGGATGTGAAAACTCCATGCAAACTGTAAAAGTTTGTAGGTTGCAAGAATAAGGGCCACTGTCCCCTTTAAGCAATGACCTTTACCTAGATTCAAGTCAGTTATAGACTTAGAGATGAATGAATTGCAGCAGGAAATGATTTTACATTTCTAATTCCTTCAATGTGTTTTAATGAGTTGATTTAACTCTAACTAAAAATTCATTTAAATTCATTTGCTCCAAGTAAATACAAAAATGAATATTAGATACACTGGGGAAAGAAAAAACTTATTTAATTATATCTGCTCCATTCCCTGGGATCAATCTTTGATTCCCCCGGGTAGGTTGATTCTTCATCCTTCAACCACTGTCTCTTCTGCCCTGGGGAAGTCACATTGAAATCAGCCAAACCTAGCATGTATAAAACAACTTTCGTGCTTGGCCCTGAGATGAGGTAGGGGTGAGCGAGGAAAGTTAGGAAGCATCTTATCAAAAATAAGCTTGTGGTAACAGGCACAAAAGTTACTCCAAAAGATTCAATAAAGTATGCCTCTTTCTACCCTTTCTTGCAATGTGTTTCCCAACTCTAATTCAACCAGCTAGGACATACTGCCCCAAAAGGTGTCACTTATAGCAATCATTCAAATAAAAAGCAATTAAATCAATGTCGAGCTCAGCTTTTGTGTTTCAAAGTAGAACATGGAAAAGACAGAGCCAATGCTCTTGAGAGAGAAAAGCCTTTTTAGTTATAAGAACTTGAGCTTCCTGGAACTTTCGATTTTAGGTTCCGATCTAAACAATAAGTAAAAAAGAATGAGTTTTTCCAAACTCACTTGGAATTGACAAGATTCCATTTGCCTGGGGGAGAGGCAGTGCATAGTCTTAGAAGAAAGGAAGAGAATAAGGTACCCCTTGTCCATGCACCAAGCTTGGGGTGATAGATCCCCAGAGGGTACTTGTGATCTGAGATTACAAGGAACATGGGCCCCTCTTCCTGCCTGGTTGTCTATGCCTGCAGAAAGTACCCTATGTCATCCTGGCATTAAAGAGTAGAGATGGGAACATGGAAGCCTTAAGCCCAGGGGTCTGGGATATGATCCTTTTTATCCTCCCCCCATAAAGAGGGGAGCCAATATCGTCCTCTGTGACTGGGCGTGGCAGAGGCATGCTGCTGAGAACCGCTTGACAAGGATGAATCTTGGAATAGAGACCAGGGTCTGGGTTACATCCTGTGGTTGGGGCAGGACTGGGGACTAGAAATAAACATCTCAAGTGAGGACAGGAGGTCTGATGGTCATACAGGGCCTTGCATCCCCGTGGGCGCATCCCCGTGGGCACCAGAGCTGTGCAGGGAGGGGCTGAGAGCTGGAAGAGAGCCCCCCAGGGCAGTGCTGCTTCAACTCCCTGAAAGTTAGAATCAATTATGCGGAGGCTGGAGGAGGGAGAAATTGATGAATTGAGGAATTTAGCCGAATTATTTGAGATTACCCAGACTTGATGAGTTATATTTTCTGTCACTAGACTGAATTGGGCTGGAAATACAAATTAAGTAGCTATACAGATATATTTTAAAATTATACATATCACACACACATATATAAATATATAACACAAGTAGGTAGATTTAAATATACATTTGATAGAAAATCATTATATATAATGCATATATAATATATATACATTATTATATTACATATTATATATAATATAATCACATTATTATATTATTATATATTATTATATATTATATAATAATATATTATATATTATTATATATTATTATATAATATATTATATATTATTATATAATATATAATATATTATATTATTATATAATATATAATATATTATATTATATAATATATAATATATTATATATATTATATAATATATAATATATTATATAATATAATATATTATATATTATATAATATATATAATATATAATAAGAGTGATATATATTTTATATATATATCACTAACATATATATATCACTCTTAAATCTGTGGATTAAAACCATCTTTACAAAACAAAAAGACACCACTGGGAGGCTCTTTATGGGACATATATCATATCCATCATGGTTCTGCCAGGAAAATGGAACCAGTAGGATCTGGATCTCTGTCTATCTACATCTCGATCTATTTTATTTATTGCAAGGGATTGGCTTATGCAATTGTGGGGGATTAGTAGGCAAGTTTAGGAAGGTCAGGCTGGAAACTCTCAGGCAGGAGCTGGCGCTGCAGTCCACAGGCAGAATTTTCTGTTTTCAGTTCTGCTCTTATGGTCTTTTAACTGAATGTCTCAGGCCGACCAAATTATCTAGGATAGTCTTTGCTTACAGTCAACTGGGCGTTTGGATGACTGGGGACTCTAGCCTGGCCAAGCTGACACGTAAAACTGACCGTACATTGACTAAAGTGACTTTTCCCAGCCAGGGTTTATTCTGTCTTTCCTCAACCCTATGAGCGAGACAGTGGGGTTGAGGTGAGATTGGACTGGAGTGAGGTTTGGGGAGAATGTGCCCCATATGCAGGTGGAGATAGAGGAAGGGTCAACCACCACCATGAGGCCCCCCATGCTGGGTGATGGGAGGAGTGTGGGAACCCAGATGGGAGAAGGTTGGTGGATGAAGATGATTCATGTGAGGCTGGAGGTCCTCAGGTTGCAGCTTCCAGGGCTGTTGTGTAGTAACCAAGTGCACTGCAGTCAGATGGTCTGGGTCCAATCTCTGCTCCAAAATGACGGGCGTGATTTTGTTCAAGTCACAAAAAGTTATTTAGCCTCAGCCTCATCATCTAAAATGGAAGATGCAAAGATTACTCTGATGAGGACCTGGCACCTCTTATCCCCTCAGCAAATACTCTGGGCAATAGACCTTTGGACCTGCAGGGTAAAGACAGCTGAACAAAGTTGACTCTGCCATGAACCAAGAGGGGTTTTATTTTGGGAGAGGGAACTTGGATATTTTGTAGGTGGGAGTGAAACGCAAAACAGCAAAAGAAGAATGAAAATGCAGCCAAGGGAGGGAAAAATACTCAGTAAAGCAAAGTTCAGCCGAGAAGAAATATTCACTTGAAGAGAATGTGTCTGCAATAATCATTTTCCAGTTGTTAATTAAAAGAGAGAAACAAATGTGCTAACAGATTCACTCTAGGAGTTTATTCTAAGGAAATACTTAGAGATGCAGAGAAAGATTCACAGATGATGACTTTTGTTGGAGATGAATTAGAATAGAAAAATATTGGAAACAAGCCAAGAATATCCAACCATAGGAAATAGCTAAGTAAACTAGGAAATGATCATATGGTGTAATATTATGTAACTATCAGAACCATGTTTGTGAATGAAATTATAACAGGAAAATATTTGTGATATGCTATTAAAAACCGCAATGTCAAATTACATCGTGTTTACCCACTCACGTACATCTTCAGAGAAACAAGCAGAAGTAAATAGGAACATGATGTTAACAGCGGCTATCATTGGATGACGTGATGAGAGGAGATTTTAAGGTAGAAAAATTAAGATTTTTTTATTGTTTAACTTTAAAGGGAGGTATATACATGTTCATCATACAAACTACTGGAAAATGTATAAAATCTTAGTAGTAAATTAAAAGTATATGTACATACGTTTATGTATTTAAAAGCATGTGTATATGTACATATGGCTACCAGGAAATTTGCCATGGGCCAAGTGCTGGAGTAAGTAGTTTAAGAATTACTGGGTATAAGTGCTTTTCACAAATCACCACTTCTGGTCCTCACTACAAAACCATAGAGTAGTACCGTTATTACTGTTATTTTATGGATAAAGCTCAGGGCAGTCACACATTTTGACAAAGGTCCTCGGGAGTGAACGCTGGCTTTTAGCTCCAGATGCCGACTGCATAGCTTGAGCTTGCAACCCCTATACTGGCTGTGTAGAGGATTAAAATTAATTAATTAAAATTTTATTTCACTTTATTTTTCTGAGACACGGTCTCACTCTGTTGCCCAGGCTGAGTGCGGTGGTGCAGTCACAGCTCACTGCAGCCTGGACCTCCTGGGCTCAAGCCATCCTCCCATCTCAGCCTCCTGAGTACCTGGGACTGCAGGCATGCACTATCATGCCCGGCTAATCTTTGTATTTTTTGTAGTGGGCTGGGGGGCGGGGGTGCCTCACTATGATGCCTAGGCTGGTCTCAAACTCCTGGGCTCAAGCGATCCTCCTGCCTCGGCTTCCCAAAGTGCTGAGATTACAGATGTGATCCACTGCATCCAGCTAATTAATTAAAATTTTAAACACAATTGGTCACCGACTTTATTATACATTGTATTTATTGATATATTTTTACATTCTATCATAATTAGTATTTTCCTGCACTACATAAGATGACTGAAAGCATGGGCTTTACCGGCTGCACTCTTACGTGTTGCCATTGCGCTTCGCAGATGCTCTGTCTCTTTGCCTGTTTGTCATTCTTACCCCCAGGTCCCTTTTGGCTCCTGGCTTTCCAATAGATAGACAACATTTCATCATGACTTCCTCCGTCCCTGCGATGCCTAGTCCTTTGGGAGACAACATCTCTGATTTTCATTGTTCTCTTTCTTTCTTCTAGCTATACACTTAAAGTTTATTTTTAACCCAGGGCACATGATGAACATCAAGAATGAAAGATTTAAAAGATGAAACATGGACTTATTTCTTCTGCAAAGGACTGGCAGAACCAGAGGCATATTCAGGGTCTCTACCCCTTTCTCCATTTCTTAGATTTTACTGATGTTATTTAGGTTATCAACAAAGGATTGAACCTTCAGATTACTGTGACTCATATAACTTTAGGTTTTCCTGTTAATCTATAGACAGAAGAACGTACTTACATTTGACTTAATCTGTAGCGATGTCAGTTAAGGTCCCAGGATAAAAGAGGTAGCACGACAGATTGGCTGGCTTTCTAATTTAATAAAGAACCAATTTAACAATGTGTGGGGAATTTTGTGTGATTCCACTTCATTAGATGTCCAGAACAGGCAGATCTAATAAGGCAGTAGGTAGATCAGTGGTCGCTCAGGGTGATAGATTGGAGGGTGGCAGGGCACAGGTGTGTGATTTATTTTTGGGGTAACAAAAGTGTCTAAAAGTTGATTGTGGTGATAGTTGCACACATCTGTGAATACAGTCAAAACCACTGCATTGTATATTTAAGTGGGTGAATTGTATGGTCTATGAGTGCCAGCTCATTAAATCTATTAGGAGATGCATGCGTGATGGTGTAGTTCTGAAGTGAGTGAGTGAAGGGTGAAGGGGTGAGAGTAGGGAGTTGCTGCTAGAGAGACAGCTGGGTGGAGGGACAGCTTGAGAAGAGTGGCGAATTGGGGGTGGGTCCCAGCTAGCCTGTAGTGACCATGCAGAGATGGAGCCAGGAATCCATACTCTTCCCCTAGGGTTCTCCACTGGTCCACCCCAACTGAGTGCCAGAAAGCACCCCATGCCTTGGTGGTGGCTACACTGGGTTCCTTCTCCAGGTAGAGACCAGGTGGAGAAGAAGGAGAGCAATCTGCAGGGATTAAAGGGATGTATCCAGCAGAGTAACTGATTTTAAAGAAGGCATCCAGGCTTTTTAGACCTCAACTTTCCCCGTGTTGACATTTTCTAAACTTTTCATTAATATCACAGTTAACTAGAATATGTGCTTGAGCTCGTGTTCTCAAGGAGGTCCCTGGGGTAGGCAGTCAGCAGGATGGTCCCCAGTGTCCCTGTCCTCAGTGTCACCTCCCATGTAGATGACTGCCATACTGGGCCACGGCAGATCTGTGTGAGGAATATCATACGGCAGGAATGCTGGGCTGTCCCTGCTGAGATTTGGTCATGAAAGATGTCTATCTTGGTTTTTCTCTCTCTCTCTCTCTCATCACTCTGGGGAAGCAGCTGCCATGATGCCCGGGCCACCCTACAGAGAGGCCAACATGGGGAGGGGCCGAGACTGCCAGCCACATGAGTAAACCAGCCCCATTCAAGCCTTCAGATGATGCAGCCTCCATAACAGCTTGACTGAACCTTACGAGATACCCTCTGCCAGCCCACCCAGCTCTGCTGCCCCTAGATTCTTAGCCATCAGAAATTGTGTGTTGTGGCCAGGTACGGTGGCTCATGCATGCAATTCCAGCACTTTGGAGGCCAAGGTGGGCACATCATTTGAGGTCAGGAGTTCAAGACCAGCCTGGCCAATGTGGTGAAACCTCATCTATACTAAAGATACAAAAATTAGCCAGGCTTGGTGGTACATGCCTGTAGACCCAGCTCTTTTGGTGTCTGAGCTGAGATCACACCACTGCACTCCAGCCTGAGCTTCAGGATGAGACTCTGTCTCAAAAAAAAAAACAAAAAAAAACTGTGTGTTGTTTTGGGCTGCCAATTTTTGGGGTACTTTTTTATTGAGATGGGGTCTCATTGCTTCCCATGCTAATCATAGCTCATTGCAGTCTCCAACTCCTGGGCTCAGGCAATCCTCCTGTCTCCTCGGCTTCCCAAGTAGCTGGGATTACAGGCATGTACCACCACACTGAGATAATTTTTTTTGTAGAGATGGGGTCTCACTATGTGGCCCAGGCTATTTTCCAACTCCTGTGCTCCAGTGATCCTCCTGCTTTGGCCTACAAAAGTGTTGGAACTACAGGTGTGAGCCACTGTGCCCAGCTTGGAGTAATTTTTTTATACAGCAATAGATACGTAACACAATCACATCAATAAGTCTTTGTTAACATACTCTGATAACTAATCAAAACTTACCTGTCACTGTAGTCTTCTTTCCTTCAGGGGTATCCCTGAATTTGTATTACTATCAAAGTTTTAGCTGATTGTCTCCCAGATTGACTGTGAATTTTATGATGGCAGGAGACAGACAATGTTTAATTTTTGTTTTTAAATCAAACAGCTCTGTGCCTGGCTCAAAGCATGGTTTTGGATGAAATAAATGGAAAAAGGTACAGAAACAAAAAAGTTCCTGGGAAGTGTTGGGGCTCCAAGAGTTGCAGTGTAGACAGTGCCTCCTTTCAAAAATTGCTTAGAGCAGACAGGGCCCTGAGTTTAAAACAAGATTGAAAGGCATTTTACAATATTCCTGAACTCCCCTCTTTGTACCTAGAGGGAAAAGACTGCAGCTTATTCGGACAGTGTGATGGAATGGCTTAGACTATCTCGCATTCATATTCAGAGGCGAGGAGATAGTGCCATGTTCCGTGTGAGCAATTCTCCATCTTAAGAGTTTGCATAGTGAGCAACGAAAAAAAAAATTAGTTTCGTGGAATGATGTTCTCCAGAGCAAAGAGCCCATGCTGTTTTAACCTCAGAATCACAGCTTCAGTGCAAATGGGGTTTGGCATTTTACAAAAGGAGCTGCATCATGGTTGGGGTCATGAAGGGAGCCATCATGGGTAGCTTCAATCAACAGTATTATTTGTGAACGAAAGGTCGTGATGTCTTGGTTGTCAAAACAGGCTTTTCTCCCCCTACACATAAAATTCTCTTCACCCTGAGCCACATCACAATGGGATGTCACAGGGACTTTTACAGGTAGTAATGATGCCAGGTTGATATAATGGGGTGGAGACCAGGTGCTTAATTTAACCTTTATTCCATTCATTTATAGGTTCTTTTACAGCTGTCATCACACTTAAAAATTGTAAAAGGAAAAGACAGCTTTCTGAGTCTCCTTGTCATTACCTGAGAAAAGGTTCTGTGACATTTTGAGTTGTATTTTTCTTCCTGAACCATTTCCAGACTTTCTGGAATGCACAGAGGCCACCAATGACATGCGTGCCAATAAGGAGAAGGGAAAAAGGAGATTACTCTTTGGGTTTCTGGGATACGTTGAACAAATGCTAGAAGAAAAATGAGCCAAGGAAATAGCTGTGTTGTTTGGATTACAGCAGTGGGCAGCAGGGGTGCCGGGCAGTTGGCTGGGCTACCTTGCCCACACACACATGCTGGGGCTCCTGGAGGCCCCAACAGGGCAGCAGGGCCAGGACCTGGGCCCAGATTGGCAGATGGAGCAGCAGCAGAAAGATCAACAGTGGTGAAGGCAGCAGCTGCCCAGGAGAGAGAAAGGGCTCATGTGAGCAGCACGTGGACAAGCCGTGGGCGGCCGGCTGGCCTGTCAGCCCACAGAGTCCATTTCTGTGACATCTGTACAAAGATAGAAACTCGTCAGTAGTTATTACCAAATAAAAGCATTCGCATGGAAATTTTACCAAAGCATATAATGGAGTTAGAGGAGGCTTCTGAGTTAGAACCTCTTGTTTTGAAAACTGTTGCAACATTGCAAAGCAAATATCCACAGGTTAGATATAGACATTGAATTGAAAGATCATTGCATTCAGTGGGAAATAACTCTATTTTCATATGAAGCTTTGGATGAACCAGTCATTAACAAAGAAATAATTTAAAATAAAGTTTTCTTAACTGATAATGGAGCAGTAGAACATGTTTTGAATCATAAACAAATCATGAAGCCACTTTCCACTTTTTTAAAGACCCCTGTAAGGTACAGGAGATGTCTAAGGAAATGTTAAAATGCCATTGTGTTAATTCTCACTTAAAATTCAATCCAGACTGACACAAAATCGACGTATATAAATATTTAAATATTTTTAGAAAAATCATTCTGCAAGTATCATCAGCTCATGGTGGACTAAAACATATATTTCACAATAATTTTCCAGAAATGTATCTCAAATTTGTTGCAGCCTATAAAGTATTCTTAATTGCTCCAGTAACGGCTGCATCAGCAGAAAGATCCTTCTCAAAATTAAAAATTATCAAAAATCATTTGCATTTTCCAAAAGCAACCGACATCTCTTTCAATTACATAGACGGAAAATGAAATTGCCAAAAGTATAAATTTTGACGATCTAATAAGTGAATTTGCAAAAAGGCAACCAGAAGAATTTATGATCAATCAATATATCACCTTATCAATCACCTTATCAAGTATTTTTTGTACTGTATACTATCCTGACATCCTATTTTATTGACTAATGGATTTAATTGAAAACTAATAATTGTATGTGTCATGGAGTACAAAGTGAAGTTTGATCTATGTATGTATTGTAGAAAGATTCAATCAAACCCATGAACATATCTATCACATTATCAACTTATAATTTTTTGTGGTGAGAACATTGAAAATTTATTATTTTAACAATTTTGAAATATGTATGATTATTACCTGTGGTCATCATGCAATGTGATAGATCATTAAATCCATTCTTCCAGTCTAACCGAAACTCATACCCTTAGATCAGCATCTCTCCTTTCTTCATTCCTGCCCTGCCCCCAGCCTCCGGCAACCACCTTCCTTCTCTCTCTTTATGAGATCGACTTTTTCAGATTACACATGTAAGTGAAGCAGTATTTGTTTTTCTGTGCCTGTCTTAATGTCACTTAAAATAATGCTCTTTCCATCCATCCATGTTGTTACAAGTGACATAATTCCTTTTTTTAAAGGCTGTATCATATTGCATGTATATATCGTGTATACATATCATATTTTAAATTTATTCATCCATATGACACCTTTTTCTTTTTATTTTCCTGAAATGGAGTCTTGCTCTGTCACCCAGGCTGGAGTGCAGTGGCGCAATCTCAGTTCATTGCAACCTCTGCCTCCTGGCCTTAAGTGATTCTCCTGCCTCAGCCTCCCTAGTAGCTGGGATTATAGGCACCTGCCACCACGCCCGGCTAATTTTTGTATTTTAGAAGAGACACGGTTTCACTATGTTGGTCAGGCTAGTCTCGATCTCCTGACCTCAGGTGATTTGCCCTCCTTGGCCTCCCAAAGTACTGGGATTACAGTTGTGAGCCACAGTGCCCAGCCAACACCATATATATATATTTTTTTTTTTTTTACAGGTAATACATTTTTAAAGGAAAGAGCTTTATATTTGAATATCTTTGGCTTCACTTTCCTCCCACTTTCTGTACAAGGGACCCTCAGCACCACGATGTGCATCTTAGAAATGGAGACTCATCATAGCTGTTGGATGGTGATTGAACCTGGGCTTCCAAAATGCAACAGGAGGCTCTCCCAGCGTGAAGGCAGTGTCTCTGCTATACGTGAGCTGCAACTGTCAACCACACAAGACTTCAAAGCACTTAAAAACCACCCCCATGCTCTGCCTTGAGCCCTCAAGAGGCGTTAGAACATCCATCCTTCAACTGCAGAATCCCTGCACCTTGAATCAAACCTGTGCACCCTCTCCCCTCCTTCTGCCTCTTTATCCTTCGTCTTAGACATGTCAATGGGAGGACGAGGTGCTGTGCCTATCCTGGGCTAGAAATTTGTGGATAGAATCGTGAGCAACTACATTTTGTTTCTCTCCCATTAACTGAAATTCTACACAACATGCTAAGAGTTTTATGCCTGAAACGCAGGCCAGCTCTATCTTTCTCCCTGGTTTAGCATTAACCAGCACCTCACTATGACTGAGGATGTTTTAAGACAAACCTCCACAACAACGCATGCAAAGCACATCTTGAGTGATTAAATTTTCATATCTGTAAAAGAGAAATACTTCATAGTACCTATCTCGTGGGGTTTTTGTTCAATTAAAGCTCTATTGCAGGTGAGATGATGGATGATACCATGTTTAATATTTTCACTATTATATTACAATTATATGGCATTAGCCCGGCCATGCAAATACGTGTGTAAGCTCTGTGACTTCCCACTAGTGGCAAGTGAGTTCTTAAGAATGTTGCTTTCCTTTTGTGTCTTTGGTGGTGCAAATGGTTTCAATGAAGATTGTCTAATCTAAAGCCTGCTGATTTTCATATCTATGAAATAAAAGTGAGAGCAAATTTTCTGTCTGAAATATACTTGTATATAAACCATCAACTCCTATGTTTTTGTTGTGTTCTATTTTTGCAATTCTCTTTCATGTTGGGGAAAAAGTGCCTATTTTGTATTCTACATATTGGCATCCACTTTGTGGCATTTATATATTTTGATACATGGAGCATTTTATTTTTAAAATTATGGATGAATGAATTAAGCCTTTCTCATGTCATGTCAAATTGCTTTAGTTCTGGAAGAAAACAGGCAGAAGATGTTTGTGCCCTAACCCTTTGTGTCTTTGGAAGTTTACAACACTTCCCTAGTTACACCGGAAGCCTCTCTGATGGATTCTGTATTATTATTATTATTAATTTTTTAATTCTTAATTTTTTGGGGGTACATAGTAAGCATGTATATTTATGGAGTACACGAGATATTTTGATACTGGTATTTGCGTGGATTCTTTTTTTTTTTTTTTTTTTTTTGAGACAGAGTCTCACTCTGTTGCCAGGCTGGAGTGCAGTGGCGTGATCTTGGCTCACTGCAACCTCCAACTCCCGGGTTCAAGCAATTGTCCTGCCTCAGCCTCCCGAGTAGCTGGGACTAAAGGAGTGTGCCACTACGCCTAGCTAAATCTGCAATCTGCATGGATTCCTAAAGATGGAAGAGGAGACTGGATCCTTGTTCCCCAAACCCACTTGCTTTCCTTCCTGGTTATGTTTTATTTCCAGCCCCCAGGAAGTTCACTGTGGTCATGGGACTGGCTTCCAGCCAGTGGCAGGGGAGCAAACATGATGGCACTGCCTTCCTAGACCAACCTGTGTGAAGCTCCCATCCATAATCCTGCATGTTCCATCCTCCCCCACCTGCTCAGTGCCCAGCAGCACTGGAACCTCAGAAGCCATATGTTAGAATGAAGGAGCCAAAGATGGGAGAGCCTAAACATCCCCTGGAGAAAAGCCACTCACCAAGGGCATTGGCTTTGAAATTTCTGAGTGGGAAATAAACTTCCCACCATATCTATATATCTATATCTATATCTATATCTATATCTATATCTATATCTGGTTTTGATTGTTTTATTGTCTCATTTTACCTTAACTGTTATAAAGACCAAAAACAGAATTGGAACCAAGGCTTTGGTTTCTAAGTAATGGAGACTCTTTCAGTTCAGTTGCTGACTCTGATTCTTTTGGCCAGCACACCAATTGCTTCCTAACGTTTTCTCCTATCAGTTCCAAAAAGTGATCAGTGGGATAATTAAGGGATGCTGGGACCACCAGAAACCTTTCAATAATTATCCCTTGCTGATACTGCAAACAGACGCAGTGGTGGGGAGGCACTTGGCAGTGTTATGTCTCAAGGTGATCATCTCCATTGGGTTTTAGCCAGGGGATCCCAGCACTGGGTTGGAACAGAGTAGGCACTTACACAACATACTCCTAATCAAAAATTGATCTGGCATCTACGTTGTCAGAGAATTTCTTATCAAACTCTTGGAAAGTATTTTTTCAGCTGTTCGCTAAGGGGAAAGCCTTCTTTTGCTTGACTTTTCAGGGATTCTCTGGAACCAGCTCAACTGATTATTTTTTCTTTTACCTACAATGGCAAGACTTTAAATAGATATTTCCTTTAATAATGTATTACCTATTAAAAAATGATGTCATATGGCCAGGCATGGTGGCTTATGCCTGTAATCCCAGCACTTTGGGAGGCCAAGGCAGGCGGACCACTTGAGCTCAGGAATTCGGAGCCAGCCTGGCTAACATGGCAAAACTCTGTCTCTACAAAAAGTACAGAAAATTAGCTAGGCGTGGTGGCATGCACCTGTAGTACCAGCTACTTGAGAGGCTAAGGCAGGAAAACTGCTTGAGCCCAGGAAGGGGAGGTTGCAGGGAGCTAAGATTGGGCCATTGTACTCCAACCTGGCTGTTGGGAGTAAAATCCTGTCTTAAAAAAAAAAAAAGTTATCTTATGGATGAATAGATTCAAAATGTGACATGTATATACTTTTTTTTTAACCTAAAATATCAAAGAACATGCAAGTTAATAGAAAAAAATTGCAGGTTTGCATGATCATGATGTTATTAGAAAGGAAGGCTTAATATCTTCTGCGCAACTGTAGAGATACAAACCCTAGTTCTTATCTCTGCATAGAGAACTAAGGACACCCCCTGCCCCCACTCCCACCTCTCAAATGAGCACAAACTCTGCATGCCATCCAGACTCCTGTGCTATGATGTTGCTCTGGGCTTTTGCTTCATTTCTTTCCATTTCTGGTTTTCACAGAGGAGAGCAACTCAATTTATCATCTCTTGGGCCAAAGTATCCATTTGGGGCTATCTATTTATATACATGCCTAGCAGTCTCCTAGGCCTGGCTGATTCTGGAGAAAGCTGAATGATAACAGCCAAAGAGTCCCCAAAGAACTGCTCAGTCCCTCTGTGCACCCCCAACAGAAGCATGTCACCCCTTTTCCATCTGTACAAAAGCAGGCAGGCCCTGTGAGACTCTTTCCCATGAGGTTGGGTTTTGTGGGTGATAATATGGCCCACAACACAGGCTATATTATCAGAAGAACTTTGGGTTTTAGAGGAGATTTCTTAATATTTTTTTAACCTTGAGAACACCCCTCCTGGAGAAATGAACATTCAAAGCTAATTCCCCAGAGAGTTTCTGGCTTTCCAAGAACTTTGGGAAAAAGAGGAAACCTTATCACTGTTGATTCACCAGGCAGAGCCATCTTCTGCAGTTGACTGTCCCAAATGGTCAACCCTCTCCTGAATAGAAATGGCTTCAGGTTGTTTTCATGTATATGACTAAAATTATACTCTGGGCAATAACTTTAAGTTATTGTTATTAAGTTTTAAGTTATTGTTATTTTAAGTTATTGTTTAGTTATTGTTTTAGTTATTGTTTTATTGCCTATTTTCCTTCTCCTCATCCCAGCAGAAACACAGCTGTCTGTTCATTGCCTCAGGAGAGTATGGAACAGGGAGGAAAGCAGAGGTGCCTTCAGTTCTTACTAACATGGTTAAAGAGTCTAGGGCAAGCTTATCCAACACATGGCCCAACACAAATTCGTAAACTTTCTTAAAACATTATGACATTTTTTTGAGATTTGTTTTTTAGCTCATTGGCTATTGTCGGTGTTAGTGTATGTTATGTGTGGCCCAAAACAATTCTTCTTCTACCATTATTGCCCAGAGAAGCCAAAAGATTGGGCACCCCTGGTCTAGGGCTTAGGAGACTCTAACAATATGAGTAGCCAACACCTGCAAAGTTCTGGGCACAGCTCTAAGCCCTTTATGTTTACTAACTAATCAAATTTTCACAACATTAAAATAAGTACTATTACTATGTGGAAGTAGACAAAGACCAAATGAGAACAGACACAGGCCCTTTATCCAGATCTTTCTAAAACAAGGGAGTCAGCCACCATGGTTCATGCTGGGCAGAGATTCAAAGGCAGGGAGACGAGAGGGAAAGATTTATAGAGAAAAAAAAGCAAGACTTCCTGTGTGCCCAGATTGGAGGCTGTGTGGGATAACTAGAAGCAGCACATATTCCAGGATTATTCTGGGGCCCATATTTGGCTGCCTCTGGTTGATCTTGAGTAGAAAGTGAGGGCAAACATTACCAAGTCCTGACTCTTCTGCACTGATTGCAGAAACTGTAGCTTGCTTTCCTGGGCTGGTCTTTGCAGAGGAAGTGGGTCAGCATTCTAATGTCATATATGGTCCTGCCATTGTCCATTTTTATATTCAGTCTTCCACCCTATCATCCTCATACTGCAGATGAAATTGACACGGGGAGGGAGAAAGGAACTTGCTCAAGTTTGCACAGCTAGTAGCTGCCCAGCTAGGATCTGAGCACAGGAAACTCTGTATCGAAGCTGGAGCTCTGAGGGACGGCACTGCCCCTCTGCAGATAACTTGGCGGCTGCTGATGGATACCCACATTCACCTGATCAGACACTGGAATCATAATCTGTTGTTTGCTGTTTAATAATCACGATGTGCATAAATGCGGGTGCTGATAAGGGTTGCATGGCTTGTAATAAACAAGGAGATGATTCCAGGCATGCTGAGCGTTATTCGCTGTGAAGAGGATGACGTGGTGCATTAACTTTGCTTATCACTGGCTCAATCTGGTCTAATGGCAAAGCAATTTCGCTGTGGACATGGAGGCTTCCTGGCCAAGCCTGAGTCTCTTCATTCTAAGTGCATTTGAGCCCTGTCTGTCCCTTTGTTAAATAAACAACCTCCATCCTCACTAAGCCACGATTTACATACCTAAAAATTCAATAGTGCATGTACATAAGCATTAGAAATCCCACAAAAGTACCCTTCAGGCTTCTGTCAAGCTCAGCCACATTTTTATAATGATGCCTTCAGTAAAGGATTGTGTGTCTTATTTTTGCAGCATGTTTTTAAGTTTGTTGACATCAAAGTGGTTTTAAAGGCAATTCTTAATATTCTTTTCCTCTCCTTTTAAATGTATGTTTTCACTCACATCTTCCCACCGCATCGGTAAACATCGAAGCCTTCTGACAAGGCCACTTAATTATCAGCTGCACTGGCTGGAAATGCTCCTTTATCAGCACAGAGCCTGATTCTTTTGTGCGGCCAGTGAGGGTCTCTGAAAAGGCTGCCGCTCCTGCGTTAATCACTGTTTGGAGCCAACTCTTAGACCATGCAATTATTTCAGTGCTTCTGAAGGCTTGCTTGTTATTGTGGCTGGATTATCTTGGCATTGAATTGTTGCCCCATCAGCCCATCAATCCTCCAAAGAGATTGTGCTTGAGACTCAAGAAGCGATAAGCAAATAAGTGACTTTCTGTGAGTGTACACGAGCCGGCTCCATCCGGGCTCCTAAGAAGCAATAACATCGGAGTGCTCTGTGTGTTCATCCCTTCAATGGCAATGAGGCAACTTGGTATCTGCAACCACCAGGACAAGTGCAACGCATGGGAGGCCAGCCCCAGGGGAGGCCTTAGAAGTTAAGCTCTTGAGGCCATTCAGAGCTGATGGTTTTTCTAATTTGGGAATTGGAGAGCTAGGAGAGACGGAAGAGAGAGAGAGAGTGAAAACTGAGTGTGTTCCCTGATTCTGTGCTGGGGAAGAAAATTAGTAAGAAATAAAATCTGAAGGATTGAGAGAGAAACACGCTTGGCTTCTGTCTTGATGGCTCACGCCTGTAATTCGAGCACTTTGGGAGGCTGAGGTGGGAGGATTTCTTGAGAGCAGGGGTTCAAAACCAGCCTGGGCAACATAGTGAGATCCTGTCTCTACAAAAAAATTTAAAAAATTAGCTGGGCATGGTGGTGTGTGACTATGGTCAGGCGGCTGAGGTAGGAGGATTGCTTGAGCTGGGAGGCTGAAGCACAGTGAGCTATGATCACGCCACTGCACCCCATCCTGGGCGACAGAGGGAGATGCTGTCTCGAGAGAGAGAGAAAGAGAGAGAAAAAGAGAGAGAGACAGAGAGAAACAATAGGAACATTGTGAACTACAAAGGATGGGTAATTTTTTTTTCTCCCTTTCTTTTAATCAGTATTTCCTAGTGGTTTGGCACTAACATGAACTATTTGTCTTGTTAAAAGAAAGGATTGAGCCGGGCGTGGTGGCTCATGCCTGTAATCCCAGCACTTTGGGAGGCTGAGACGGGCGGATCACAAAGCCAGGAGATCGAGACCATCCTGACTAACATGGTGAAACCCCGTCTCCACTTAAAATACAAAAAATTAGCCAGGTGTGGTGGTGGGCGCCTGTAGTCTCAGCTACTCAGGAGGCTGAGGGAGGAGAATGGTGTGAACTCAGGAGACGGAGCTTGCAGTGAGCCAAGATAGTGCCACTGCACTCCAGCCTGGGCGAGAGTGCGAGACTTCGTCTCAAAAAAAAAAAAAAGAATTAAAATAAAATCCCCCTTGTGTCACCTTACATCCTTATCATCCTTACCAACCACTGTCCCCTTTTCCACTCTCTCGAGGCCCTGGGGATGGGCGCTTCATCTTCACGGCTGGTGCCTCATGGTCACAAGGGGGCAGAAGAGTCCCCTCCCCATAACTGAACCACATAGAGAAAGGACATGGGGGAGAACCCATAGGTTTCCCTGTTCCCTGGAGTCCTCTCCCAGAAGATTCCTGGCAACTGTCCAGTTTATACCCTTAGGTCCCTTGACCACCCCAGCAGCACAGGAAGCCAGGGCAGTGAGGTCCCAACAAAGGGAGGCAGTCCAAAATGTGGATGTTCATGGAAAGTGTCCACATGCGGCTGCTGAGCATGGAATCTGGAGAGAAGGAAGGGTTGACTGCAGTTGACACAACAAGTGTTGGCCACCACCTTCACCATCCCCTCATCTAGAGCCCCCCATACCCAGGTTCCCCACTCCAGTGTGGATTCAGCCCTCCCTCCACCATGCCCACATTCACACGGAACCTCCATCCCCTCAGCTTCTGGCACCCAAGGCAAAGGCCTGAGGAGCACAGCCATTCCACGTGACTCCAACATTTATATTATGCTGATTGTGTAGCTTCTTTTTTTCTTTTTTTCCACAGGTTCTTGGTCTGTTGCCCAGGCTAAAGTGCAGTGGTGCAATCACAGCTCACTGCAGCCTTGAACTCCTGGCTCAAACGATCCTCCCACTTCAGCCTCCTGAGTAGCTGGGACTACTTGTGAGCCACCACACTCAGCTAATTTTTGTATTTTGTTGTAGAGACTGGATTTCACCTTGTTCTCCAGGCTGGTCTTGAACTCCTGGCCTCAAACTATCCACCTGCCTTGACCTCCCAGAATGCTGGGATGAGAGGCCTGTGCCTGGCCAATTGTGTGGTTTTTGATGAGCCCGCAGAAGACTCTTCAGAGGACTTTTGGGTTTTAGACGAGATTCCTTAAATTGTTTTTTAATGTAAACCCCTCCCAGTTTAATGAACATTCAAAACTACTTCCCCAGGGAGTTTATGGCTTTCCAAGAGCTTTGGGAAAAGGAGGAAGAGTTGCCACTGTTTGACTGACCAGGAAGCCCTGTCTTCTGCAGTTGATTGTCCTGGCAGGCCATCCCCATCCTTCTGGGCTCAGGTTTATGCTCAGATGCCTGGCATCCCACCATTGGCAGCTGCCTGCCTTCAACATTGCCCTGGCTGGGTTTCCACTTTAGAAGCAAATGCAGCATCTGCAGGAATGGGAAAGAAAGTAACACAAGTGACTCTGATGTATCTCACAGTGACCTCAGGGACACTTCATTCCTGGTGGGGTCAATGGACAGAGAATCTTGGATGAAGAGGAAGCATCACTAGAGTCACAGTGGATGTTGGGCTTGGATTCTACAAACAACACAGAGGGAGAAACTGAGATGGTCAAAATAACTGAATAAAACTGAATCAACACAGCAGAGGAGTTATCCTTCTCAGGAAGATGCACAGCTGCTAATGTTGTAGGCACAGGTTTAGGGCACATGCTCTATGAAAAATACAAATCTTTAAATATTAGAATAACACAATACAGAGAGAGATGCTACCAGCAGGAGAGGCCCCAGAAACTGCAGCCAAATGTAGATGTCTCATCCCACTCCCCAGGGCAGAGGACTGAGCATTAATGAAATTAAGTATTTCTTGTTCTAAGTTCTCTCTCCAATTGAGCTGTAAATACTTAATTTATGTTTGGTTGAGTGTAACATTGCTCCATTGGATGGTGTATTAGTCTGTTCTTCCACTGCTATAAAGATACTATCCAAGATTGGGTAATTTATAAACAAAGGAGGTTTAATGGACTTACAGTTCTGCATGGCTGGGGAGGCCACAGGAAACTTACAATCATGGAAGAAGAGGAAGCAGGCACATCTTACATGGCAGCAGGAGAGAGAGAGAGAGAGAGTAAATACATGAAGGAGGAACTGTCAAACACGTATAAAACCATCAGATCTTGTGAGAACTCACTCACTATCACAAGAACACCATGGGGGAAACCGCTCCCATGATCATATCATCTCCCACCAGGTCTCTCCCACAAAACCTGGGGATTACAATTCAAGATGAGATTTGGGTGGGGACACAAAGCCTAACCACATCAGATGGACTGGGGAAGAATTTTAACTAAAACCAATAAGCAACCAAGAAACTGAGCAGGAGTTGTGAGTGGGAGGCGGAGGACCCTCACTCCAATTTACTAAAATCATAGAACAGCAGATCCAAAGAAGGCGTCAGGGTCATTTGCTCAGTGCCCCCGCCCCCACCTTGACCTGAGATTCTATCCCCAGCAGCCCTTTCCAGAGCATGAAGATTTTGCGAAGTGGAGAGAATTATACAAAATCACTTGATGATAAATACTGGAGGTGGCTGAAATAACTCGTGTTTTCTTTGTTTTTAAGGAGCTGCTTTAGGATGGAAGATGAGGCTTGCTTTTTCTTTCTCCTAGAAGTCAGCATTTTACATGATTCTGGGAGGGAAGAAAGGAGACAGGAACCAAGGAGCCTGAGTGGGGATTTGCCCACCACTGGTAAGGCCCTGCCTCCACTCTGAGCTGTTGCCAGGCCGTGAGTGAGCCTGGTGTGCTATGCAAGGTGTTTGGTTTCTCATCTGCACCCCTTCATCCCATCTCACCTGGACCCTTTTTCATCCCAGGAGCTGGCCATATGCTGTGTTATGACTCAGGGCAGGAATGTTGCACCAGAGAGAAAGGAGTTTCTTTGATTTTTAAAATTTGGGGAAGGAATAGTGAATCGTCAGAACACAAGAAAAAAATATTTATTAAGAGTCACAATTCCTGCCTCAAAAAAATGGAAAAGGATTTATTCTGTTGGAGGTGACAGTAAAATAGAATGGTGAAAAGAATTGGGAGAATATGATGAGCGGGACTGAGGGGAACTGGTTCTAAAGGACCCCAGGAAAAGGGTTCAAATGCCTTCCCTTCCCTTGTTTATTCCTAGGGCAGCCAGGCTCCCGTCAGGAAGGCTTTTCAGAGGGAGTGTTGGAAGGAGTCGTCGAGGAGTCTTCCTCACCCAGGAAGTCTTCCTCACCGGGTGAGCCCCAACCTGCTGGACCTGCTCAGAATTTGCCCAACAGGGGATCCTGGTTGACTGAGGTCTGCTAATTCCAACTGGCCTACGCTAAATTCTCCCAGAATGTCTTCATCATCAATGAATCGCTTTCCACTGACACGACGCCTGGAAGAACATAAACACTGTGAGGATAAATGCCAATGAAATAATAATAAAATAAACTTTCTTTGGTGGCCAGAGGGAAACAGAATGCCTACCCATTTCCCCACCCCCCGCCCCGCCGCTGCCCCTTGCAGGATTTCTTTTAGAAAACTAGTATTTGTAAATCATTTTCCTACCTATTGGAGATGAGTGCCAACCTTTTTAAAGGCCAAGTGAGCCTCTTTTTTTAATACTCTAGGAATGCGTCTTGGAGGGGTTGCAGTCATCTTTTTGGGATCTGAACATTCATTCACAGCTGTCAGCTTATGTCCTTGTATCTGACGGCACTGACCTAGGTGCATGGCTGCCAGAAGTAACTTCCTGCTTGTCACAAAAATGCAATCTCCTGCCTGCCCCTGATTCTCCCCAGCCCTGGCTTTGGATAAAGACAATTAATATGAACGTGATGAATTGCGTCTCTCTGGCTATGTAAAAAAGGGATATTTATTTCCACTTTTGACTCTAAAACTTTGAGTTTGTTTGTTAACATGGCAAAACAATTCTTTCTGATCAAATCATCTACACACAGGTGCACTCAGGTATCTTACAAAAATGGATTCATGAACACTTAATGCTTTTAATCAGCTTTGTTTCCCAATGAAGTATCTCCTAGACACATTTTCTATTTACTTCTTGATTCATTTACATATTTATTTATAAAATATTATTGAACAAGATTATTAAAGATGATGGTGAAATAACAGTAAATAAAGAAACCAATGACAATTCCAGTTGATCCAGGCAGTCGTTTAAAAATGTATTCACCCAGACTCTTGTCATCTTGTTTGCAGATTGTCGTTGGAAATGCATTTTGCCCAACTTTTTTATTCTTAAGGGAAAAACTATAAAAAGAAAGCTGCTCATGATTTGGATTCTTTCAGATATAAGTTTTACTTTGACATAGATTCATGTTAACTCAAGAAATAAATTCACAAATAAAATACAGGATCAGACGAGCCTTCCTTGTCATGCTTTGAAGGAAATGTTTCCCATAAAGTTATGTACCTGATCTGTGATTAGAGAAATTGGTGTTCCAATTTAGGTACCTGTTATTTTTTAAACGTAGTTGCTTTAGGGTTAATATAGAAGGTTAGGCCAGGCGTGGTGTCTCACGCCTGTAATCCCGGCACTTTGGGAGGCCGAGGAGGGTGGATCATGAGGTCAGGAGATCGAGACCATCCTGGCTAACACGGTGAAACCCCGTCTCTACTAAAAATACAAAAAACTAGCTGGGCGTGGTCGCGGGCACCTGTAGTCCCAGCTACTGGGGAGGCTGAGGCAGGAGAATGGTGTGAACCCGGGAGGCGGAGCTTGCAGTGAGCCGAGATCACGCCACTGCACTCCAGCCTGGGCAAGAGTGCAAAACTCTGTCTCAAAAAAAAAAAAAAATATATATATATATATTTATATATGTATTTATATATATTTATATATATATGTATTTATATATATTTATATATGTATTTATATATATTCATATATATATTTATATATGTATTTATATATATTCATATATATATTTATATATGTATTTATATATTCATATATATATTTATATATGTATTTATATATATTTACATATATATTTATATATGTATTTATATGTATTTATATATATATTTTTATATATTTATATATTTAAATATATTTATATATTTATATATTTATATATTTATATATATTTATATATATTTATATATTTATATATATTTATATATTTATATATTTATATATATTTATATATATTTATATATTTATATATATTTATATATATTTATATATATTTATATATTTATATATATTTATATATATTTATATATATTTATATATATTTATATATATTTATACATATTTATATATATGTATATGTTTATATATATTTATATATATTTATATATGTATATATTTATATATATTTATATATATTTATATATGTATATATTTATATATATTTATATATTTATATATTTATATATATTTATATATATTTATATATATAATTATTTATATATATTTATATAATATATAACTATATATTATATAATATATAGTATATTATATAATATATCGTTATATATTATATAAAATATTATATATATTATACTACATATAATATTATATATTATATATTATATAACAATATATATCATATATTATATATTATATAACAATATATATCATATATTATATATTATATGACAATATATATCATATATTATATATTATATGACAATATATATCATATATATTATATAACAATATATATCATATATTATATAACAATATATATTATATATTATATAACAACATATTATATATTATATATTATATAACAATATATTATATAAAATATATTATGTAATAATATATTATATAATATATATTATATATTATGTATTATATATTATATATAATATATATAATATGTATTTATATTATTTATAATATGTAATATATATAATATGTATTTATATTATATATAATACGTAATATATATAATATGTATTTATATTATATATAATATGTAATATATATTATACATTATATACTATATTATATAGTATATAATATATTATATACTATATAATATAGTATATAATATACAATATATATATTATATAGTATATAATATATCATATTATATAGTATATAATATATTATACACTATATAATATATAATATATTATATAGTATATAATATATTATACAACATATTATATACTATATAATATATTATACAATATATTATATACTATATAATATATTATACAATATATTATATATTATATGATATATATTATATTATACATTATAATATATAATATAATATATATCATATAATATATATTATATATTATATAACGTTATATATTATATAATATATATTATATATTATATAACGTTATATAATATATATTATATATTATATAACATATTATATAATACATATTATATATTATATACATATTATATAATATATATTATATATTATATACATATTATATAATATATATTATATATTATATACATATTATATAATATATATTATATATTATATACATTTTATATAATATATAATATATATTATATATTAAATGTATATAATATATTATATAATATATATTATGTATTATATAGTAAATGTATTTAATATATTATATGTTATATTATATACTATGGAATATAATATATATATGGTTAAAAAATACCATTTTCTCAGTACCTTAAGGTTTTTGAAAGCTGAGGTAAAAGGGCACTGAAGGGTTTAACTTAGCATTGCAAATAGATAATGGGAACAGAAGGGTGGGGTCTGATTATTTAACCGAACTTGTAAATTCTGAGCAACTTTTTACCTCAACGGAGGTCGGTTTTTCTGTTGTTTTTTCTTTAGTTTTGTTGTTTCTGATTTTTCAATCTAAGGAAAGAATTTACTCAGCTGAGAGTAGGCATTTAGAAATGCAATAGAATTTTTTTTTTTTTGATACTGAGTCTCACTGTGTTGTCCAGGCTGTAGTGCAGTGGCGTGATCTCGGGTTATTGCAACCTCCCCCTCCCAGATTCAAGTGATTCCCCTGCCTCAGCCTCCTGAGTAGCTGGAATTACAGGCTTGTGCCATCATGCCTGGCTAATTTTTACATTTTTAGTAGAGATGGGGCTTCACCATCTTGGCCAGGCTGGTCTGGAACTCCTGACCTCAGGTGATCAGCCTGCCTCAGATTACAGGCATGAGGCACCGTGCCTGGCCTGCAATCAAATGCTTTATGGGTGCAATGAAGCAGGTGATGGGTGAGAGAACACGTATCTTGGTCTGTAAAGTTTCAAGGAAAAGATAATAACAACAGGTAGGATTGCCCTAAAAGGATTGTGTAGCCCTGGTGTTCTTTCATATTCCTTTTTGTGGTTTGACTTATCCAGGAACCTATGCATATTTGTGAACCTAGCATTGATTACAGACAAGGTCACTTATAAATGGCTTCACATTTAGACTCTGGACGATCTCCAAGTGATCTTGTATATACAGAGTATTGAGGGAAATTCTCCATAAAACATAAAGGTACTATCTTATGACCAGAGCACGTCTACATATGGTAATATTTTAGATAGATCTATAATAATGCATAATAGCACTGTATTATCGTGTAACCACCCAAGGGATCCACCTTGCCCGCTGCTGCCTAGACAGAGCTGATTCGTCAAGACAGGGAATTGCAATAGAGAAAGAGTAATTCATGCAGAGCCAGCTGTGCGGAGACCTAAGTTGTATTATTACTCAGATCAGTCTCCCCAGGTATTCAGGGAGTAGAGTTTTTAAGGATAATTTGGTGGGTGGGGGGAAGCCAGTGAGCCAGGAGTGCTGATTGGTCAGAGATGAAATCATAGGGAGTCGAAGCTGTCTTCTTGCACTGAGTCAGTTTCTGGGTGGGGGCCACAAGTTCATATGGGCCAGTTTATCCATCTGGGTGGTGCCAGTTGATCCATCAAGTGCAGAGTCTGCAAAACATCTCAAGCCCTGATCTTAGGGGCAGCTTAGGGAGGGTCAGAATCTTGTAGCCTCCAGCTGCGTGACTCCTAAGTCATAATTTCTAATATTGTGGCTAATGTTAGTCCTATAAAGGCAATTTAGTCCTCAGGCAAGAAAGAGGTCTGCTTTGGGAAAGGACTGTTACCATCCTTGTTTAAACTATAAACTAAGTTTCTCCCAAAGTTAGTTCAGCCTACGCCCGGGAATGAACAAGGACAGCTTGGAGGTTAGAAGCAAGATGGGGTCGGTTAAGTTAGATCTCTTTCGCTGCCTCAGTCATAATTTTGCAAAGGCAGTTTCAATAGTATTATTGTGTGTGTGTGTGTGTGTGTGTGTGTGTGAAAAAATCTGACTGAGCTCATCTTCATCCCTAGTGGCCATGGCATATTTGAACGTATGTGTAATTTAAATTCACACTAAGCAAATCTGCAGCACTTACCTAAACATCACTATGGAGTATCAATGTCTCACAGTGTCTCTATAAGCATTACCATCTCCCGCGTTGCTTATGTCACTGCCTGTTTCAGTTGAACGGGAGACTTCCCTAACCTTGTTCTTTAATTCTCAGGAGGTCAGGGCTTGTCACGGTCCAGGAAAGAAACAATCCTCCTATTGCACTATCTTGACTTTATTTACCAATGTCTCCAACCTCTTGCAGGTAGCAAGCTGCACCTGTTTTACACCAGGACCTGCAATTTGGCAGCCTTGCATTTGTTCTTTCTGGCAGAAGTTGCTGGTCAAATGGAATCACCTCTGCTGGTCTGTTGACAAGATACAGCCGATGACCATGCTTTGTTTGAGGCACATGTGGCAAGTGCTTTTAATGGGAGTTTTGTGTTAATGAAAAATCTAAATATTGGGATTATCAGGACTATATCGCAGGCTGTCAACACTAAGCTACAGTTACTTCATAAACAGGCTACTTCACTTATTTATGTTACCAGGCTGGGATGCTGTGGACATTAGAGGTTGTCATTCTTGCTAACAACAGTATGCTAAGTTGTTACAAAATTACACGACACCAGCATTAGTGATAAACCTGCTAAGAGTCTAGAGTCCTTTGGCATGCCAAAGAAATATGGTTGAGGGGCCTGGCACGGTGGCTCACGCCTGTAATCCCAGCACTTTGGGAGGCTGAGGTGGGGGGATCACGAGGTCAAGAGTAGAGAACATCCTGGTCAACGTGGTGAAACCCTGTCTTTACTAAAAATACGAAAATTAGCCCGGCATGGTGGCGTGCACCTGTAGTCCCAGCTACTCAGGAGGCTGAGGAAGGAGAATCGCTTGAACCCAGGAGGCGGAGGTTGTAGGGAGCTCAGACCGCACCACTGCACTCCAGCCTGGGCAATAGAATACGACTGTATCTCAAAAAAAAATATGGTTGAGGATATTTGGTGTAGTTCAATATGTTCTTTTTAAAAAAGCTTTTTATTAATACCTTAAAATAATGATAGATTTACAGGAAGTTGCAAAGTGGTACAGAGAGGTCCTATGTACCCATTACTCCGGTTCCCAGGGGGTTCCATCTTCTGGAATGATAGTATAATATCAATGCAAGGAAACTGGCATTGGTGCAATGTGTGTGTGTGTAGTTCAGTCATTTTATCTGTAAACCAAAAAGTATTTGAGACTGGTCTCAATCGATTTAGAAGTTTATTTTGCCAAGATTGATGACATACCGGTGAGGG
Source organism: Homo sapiens (assembly GCF_000001405.40). Classification (NCBI taxonomy): domain Eukaryota; kingdom Metazoa; phylum Chordata; class Mammalia; order Primates; family Hominidae; genus Homo; species Homo sapiens. The sequence goes on along the minus strand of NC_000012.12, from coordinate 128,080,815 downwards.
CCTCAGGAGGTCCTGAGAACCTGTGCCCAAGGTGGTTGGGCTACAGCTTTTGGTTTTATACATTTCAGGGAGGCACAAGACATCACCCAATACGTGTAAGATGTACATTGGTTACCTCCAAAAATGCAGGCCAATTCAAAGTGGGAGGTGGCGGTGTTCCAGGTCATAGGTGGAGTCAAAGATTTTCTGATTGGGAATTGGTTGAGAGTTTATCTGAAGACCTGGAATCGATAGAAAGGGGTGTCTGGGTTCAGATAAGGGGTTGGGGAGGCCAAGGTTCTTATGATGCAGATGCAGCCTCCAGACAGCAGGCTTCAGAGAGAACAGATGTAAATGTTCATTATCAGACTTTAAAAGGTACCAGAACCTTAGCTGATTCTCTCCTGGATCAGGAAAAAGTCCTGGAAAGGGAAGGGGATTCTCTACAAAATGTAGATTTTTCCCTGCAAGAGACAGCTTTGCAGGGCCATTTCAAAATATGTCAAAGAAATCTATTTTGGGGTGAAATATTTTGATTTCTTTTAGGGCTTGCTATCTGTCATGTGGGTATCTTATTGCGACAAAGAGTCTGCTTTGTCAGCCTGAAGGTGTGTTTTACAGTTAATGCCAGTCACCTGTGCCTGAATTCCAAAGGGAGGAGGGTGTAGTGAGGTGTGTCTGACCCCCTAATTCCCATCATGGCCTGAATTAGTGTTTCAAAAATTTGGTCGAGCTCATTCTCAATCCTGGTGGCCATGGCATATTTGAAAGTACGTATAACTTATGTTCGCACTAAGCAAATCAGCAGCACTTAACTCACAGACATCACTATGGAATATTAAGATTAACTTGGGAACATTAAGAAATATTAATATTGATGTTAACTCAGGAACAAGGGTTAACTTAGGAACACCCTTGGCTGAGAGGAGGGCTTTAGTCAATTGGTTGAGGGGGCTTAGCATTTTATTTTTGGCTTACATTCCCTGCATGTGAGTTCATGTAACTGGCACCACATCCAGAACACAGCGCTGAATCACGCACACGAGACTGTCCTCCAGTCTCTCCTTTCGGGCTCACCCACCCTCCTGCTCCCCATCATTCTGGACTCCTGGCAGCCACTCACCTGTCCCTGTCTATGCTTTCAAGAATGTCATATCAGTGAATCACTCAGGGCGTGACCTTCGGGGACTGGCTGTATTCACTCAGCCTAATGCCTTTGAGATCCATCCAAGCTGTTGTGCCAAGAGTTCCATCCTTTTCAACACTAAGTAGAATTTCATGGAGGGGGTACCACAGTTTGCGTAACTGGTCATCTGTTGAATAACATCTGTGCTGTTCCAGTTTGGAGAAACATTACCCAGCCTACCATCGTACTCAGAGGTCATGCAGTGACCGAAACCAGCCTAGTTAAGAAACACCAATCGGCCGGGTGCAGTGGCTCACGCCTGTAATCCCAGCACTTCGGGAGGCCGAGATGGGCGGATCACGAGGTCAGGAGTTCGAGACCAGCCTGACCAACATGGTGAAACCCTGTCTCTACTAAAAATACAAAAATAAGCTGGGTGTGGTGGTGTGTACCTGTAATCCCAGCTACACAGGAGGCTGAGGCAGGAGAATCACTTGAACCCAGGAGGCAGATGTTGCATTAAGCTGAGATCGTGCCATTGCACTCCAGCCTGGGTGACAGAGCAAGACTCTGTCTCAAAAAAAAAAAAAAAAGAAAGAAAGAAAGAAAAAAAAATACCAATCATCAATCAACAGTCAACAAACAAAGCCCTTCAGTTCCCACCCATTTGCATGTGAAGCACAGAAACAATAGATTGCATCCCAGGTTTAGCAACAAAGTAGAGAAAAAACATTAATTAAAACCATATTGAGCTACACAAAAACTTGTGCACAATTGCTCATAGTAGCTTTATGTGTAAAACCCCAAGCTGGAAATAGTCCAGTGTCCCAGGCCTTCCTGTGAATAATGAAGAGGATGGAAGATTTGAATCGGTACAAAAAGCACCTTTCTAATACTGCTCTCTGCTTTCTGGAATGACACAAAGGAGCCAAGTTAGCACATGAGGGGATTTTCCAGGTCCCGGGAGGCATTCGCGGCTGCATCGAGCACTGAACTATGACTTTCTAATTGAAGGCCGTTCTCCACCAATGCCCTATTTTCATCTGCTTGTTGTTTCCAGCGGGCAGGCAGGACGAACCCCCATTAGCTTTGTAAATTCCACTGGACTCCTTCACCCAATGGCTTGGCTCCAGATAATGGGGGGTCACTGATCTTTTCCTGCAAATGTAAACACACGCAGAGGACCCAAAGCACTGGATTTGTGGTGCAGACTTTATCAACAGAGGGAGGGTCACACACAACCACACCAGCAGCTGTGTGTCTGAAATTGCAGTAAGCTGGCCACTCCTGAAATCCCTTTTAATATTTTACATGTACAGAAAATGCTGCCATGATCTTGTCGGAATCCAGTGGTGATGAGTCACAAATCTCTTTAGCTCTAAACCCACTTTGGTGCAGGGCCTGTTGTCATGGGGCGTTAATACATTTTAACTCATTCAAATCCTCCCAACATCCCAATTAGATGGGTGATATTATTACTCCTGCTTTGCAGATGAGGACAGAGAGGCACAGAGTGGTCAATAACTTGCAGACGGTCACACAGCCAGAGGGTAGGAAAGCAGGAATGAATGAAGCAGGCTGCAGGAGGGTCACATGGCCAGCGAGCGGGAAAGCAGGAATGAATGAAGCAGGCTGCAGAGGGTCACACGGCCAGCGAGCGGGAAAGCAGGAATGAATGAAGCAGCCTTCATTACCATGCACCGTCACTCCCAATGTGCACCAGGGTGCTGTCCTCAGAACCACTGCAAGGACAGGTGAGCACAGAGATTGCACATGAAATGTGACAGAGTTAAGGAACTAGCCTGATGCTGGGTGACATCTTCCCATTGTCAGCCACTGGGTGCATTTATTTTCTATTGAGGGACTGAGATTTCCTGGAATTCCAGTCCAACCTCCCTGGTTCTGCTGAATCTGATACACCAAAGCAAAAAGCAAATAAGAGATCCAAGATGTATTTTCATGTGGTCGAGTAATTCCAAGAAATGTTGACTCGCTGACTCTCCTGGGACCTTATGCTTCTCGCCAACTTCAAGCCTAAGGAAATTTTCTAGGATAAAGAATTGTCTTAAAAACGTAACCTTTCCATTTTGATGGAGTGCTGGTTTGTTGAAGAGGCGGTGCCACTATCCTGGTGAGGGCTGGCAGTGAGAGGAGTGCCTGGAAGGAAACTGGGGAGTGAGATAGCAGGAGATGCATAGAGAGAAGCCAGGGCTTGAGCTTGATGTGCCTGGAACACCCAGGACTCTTCCTTGCCCCACCACTGAGACTGAGCCAGACCTCAGAAGGGCCTCTCTCACTATCCGACGTGCCCGCTCCCCCTTTGCCTGAGCCAGACATCAGAAGGGCCTCTCTCGCTATCTGATGTGCGTGCTCCCCCTTTGCCTTCTGCCATGATTAGGAGCTTCCTTACGTCTTCACCAGAAGCAGATGCTGCTGCCAGGTTTATACAGCCTGGAGGACCATGAGACAAATAAACCTCATTTCTTTATTTCAAAAGACCTGAGAAGGGTCCCAATGTGGGATTCTTTGTGGTTTGGAATAGATACAGGAACCCGCTCAACCTGGATCCAAGTGAACATAAGAAAGGGCTGCTACATACAGTTGTGAAGGTTGTGCACTGCACAAGAGTTCTCAGCTCAAGGGGTAAGTGGAAATTAAATCTAGCTTGTGTTCTAGTTGCCAAACCAAGGACCCAGGCTTAAGCTGAAAATATCCAGAAGGGGGCAACTTTTACTAATTCACCCTAATTCACTTGGGTGTTCTGCAACCTCCCGGGGCAGTATCTTAAAATTCCCACAAAGGTGCCATATGGCCTAGGGCCAGCCTCTGCACAGATCCAGTGGAAACCAAAGACTTGAATGATTATGTTACAAAGACAGTGCTTATCTTTGTGATATACAGAGGAAACAATACTTTGTGGATCCATGACCCGTCAACTTTGGAGTTATGTATAACTGAGGGATATCTGCACAAATAGGGGTGAAGGACCCCAAATAAGGGCTGAGGTTAGGGAAATGAATTCATTTGCTTACTACTCTTTCCCCAGTACCTAGCACAATGTTTCACACACAACGTGTGCTCAGTAAATACTTTGCCAATATGCGATTAAATAGAACAAGATAGATCATTGATGAATCAACCATTCAAGAAGCATTTTACTGTGTCCTACTGAAGTTCCCTGTAAAGTCCCAGAGAGCTTCCCAGATTGTGTAGGGCATGAGATCTGCCCTCAGAGAACTCATGATGTAGTTGGGTGGCTACGACAGACACCAGAACAGTTAAGTAGTGAAACGAGGAATAGGAATTCAAAACACTCAACGATGACATACATATGACTCATTGCTACTGCAATAGGCTAGGGAATAAATCTTACGGTATTTCAGCACAGCTCAGGATCACTAAGGGCTTGAGTGCCCAGGAAAGTTCTCATAAACAGGAAGAATTCAACCTAGATTTTGAAGTGCATAGGATTTGCAGAGAGAAGCCATTTCAAGTCATTGAAAAGTCAAGATGAGATTCTGGAAGTGGAGACACTTCATATATGGTGCATTCAGACGTATGTGCATAGGTCAGTGTGGGTGAACATGCAACCTCCATTGCAAGGAGGTGCTTCCTCCTCAGTCCTGGCACTTCCCTTCCAGGTGCAGGGGACTGCAGTTTTGCTGTCACTGACCTCTCTCTCACCTTGACGCATCTGCTCCTTGGAAAGGGCGGTGATTTCTTGGATTGGTAAATCTGAGGAAGTAAAATGAGGGTGCCAGGCTCAGCTCCATCCTTCCTCATGGGATCTGCTGTGCACAGAGGGCTTGTGCTTTGCTTTGCTTCTGCAGGTGCATGTCTCACCTGGGCTCACCTGGCCCAGCCTGCCTGACTCCAGGGTTTCCTATTAGCCTGTCCATTTGCCTAATCTGCTCCAACCAACTACTCCACCATGGCCTCTGCATTATTTTCCTATCAATCACTGTTGTGACAAATTACCACCCACATAGCAGCTCAAAACGACTCAACTGTATTATCTCAAGGTTTTGGAGGTCAGAAGACTAAAGTCTGTCATCAGCGCTGTGCTCTTTCTGGAGGCTCCAGAGGAGAATTCATTTCCTCGCCTCCTCCAGCTGCTGAGGGCTGCCCACATTCCTTGGCTCACGGCCCCTTCCTTTATCTTCAAAGCCAGCAATGTCTCACCGCTCCGTGCCTTTCTTCCACAGTTACATCCCCGACCCCACGTCCTCTGCCTCTTCTCTCACTTGAGGACACTGGGATTACACTGGACGCACCTGGAGCACTTTCCCACAGCTGATCAGCAACCCTCCTTGGAACTCCAATTCCCCTTTTCCATGTGACTTAACATACTCACAGGTTTCAGGGACTAGGGTGTGAGCATTTTTACAGGGGGTGCATCTTTAGCATTTTTCTACCTACCTGAGACTTTATTAGTAATTAAGGCAATATTTTCCTCTCATCTTTAATCTTTTTTATATTTCAACTTGTTCAGAACCCAGACTAAGAAGGATAGGAAGGAAGGAAGGAAGGAAGGAAGGAAGGAGGACAGGAAGGAAGGAAGGAGGACAGGAAGGAAGGAAGGAAGGAAGGAGGACAGGAAGGAAGGAAGGAAGGAAAGAAGGAAGGAAGGAAAGAAGGAAAGGAGGGAAGAAAAAGGGAAGGAAGAAAAGAAAAAGAAAAAGAAAGAAAAGGAGGAAAGAAAGAAAAAAATCTGCTACTTCGTAGGGCACATCTTAGAGGCCCCTAACAAAGATGGCAGCCAGACTGATGGACTCCAAATTTCAGATAAAGGAATCTGAGCTCCTTTAGTTTCTGGATTCCCCTACACCGTTTTACACAGAGTAAGAGCTTAATCAATATTTTTAATAGTTAATGGTGACGGCAAAGTCTAACAGGCGAGTGTCCCAAAATGTAGAGCTGCTGAAAGAACCAAGGACAGAACTCTGGGAGCTCAGAAATCCACTGAATATGTCTCCTTGTTAACAAGATGCTGCCAAAGTCTAAATCTGGAATCTTGCAAAGGGAAGGAGAGAGAGACAAACAGAGAGAGAGAGAGAGAGAGAGAGAGAGAGAGAGAGAGAGAGAGAGAGTTGTCTAATTAAATAAATATGCATTGTGTTCTACTGGAGACGGTGGCCTGCAGCAGACAAACAAAATATGATGCCAATCACGGTTTATTTCCCCAAAGCAGGGCTTTGTTTTTAGCACTCGTCAAAAATAGATTCCCATTTACAAGTACTTTGCTGTCAATAAAAATCCATTTTCAGCATGAATTTTCCTCTCTCCCAGCTCAACATGTGGATTTTGAAGAGAAAAGAATGTTCTACTTAAAAATAGCAGAGCCCTCCTCTATTTTTCTCTTTTCTTATTCCTGCCCTCCCTCATTTTCTGTTTCCAGACAGATTCTCTCCCTGGGCTTTTCTCTGAGCAAACCTATTTTGCTGGGGTGTGGAGGGAGCTCCTTTCATGGGACTGAAGAGCTTCCAGAATCCACAGAAGGTGCTGTCAGTGATAAAGCAAAAATGTTATGGACGCTGCAGGAAGCAAGAAAGCCCAACGTGACAGTCATGCGCGGCACTCGCGGGTCTCCAAGGGGGACAAACCCACCAGAAGCGTCCCGTGCCAAGAACAGAAGCAAGGAAAGGAGCGCTGTGAAGGAAAGAAAGAGAAAAGCGCTTTCCATTCTCCAACAACAGACGTGACACTACACTTTTAAAATTTCACAAGTTTCCAGATCTGTTCAAAGGCAACACTCGATCCCGGAGTTCAGTCTGCCTCAAAGGTGATACAAAGCAGGCGGAAATACCTTCTCTTTTCAGGTCTCGTGTGCTGGCCTGGAGCATTACAAAGTTTGTCCCTCCCGGTCGGGCGTGGTGGCTCACACCTGTAGTCCCAGCACTTTGGGAGGCTGAGGCAGGTGGATCACGAAGTCAGGAGATTGAGACCATCCTGGCTAACATGGTGAAACCCCGTCTCTACTAAAAATACAAAAAATTAGCTGAGTGTGGCGGCACATGTCTGTAGTCCCAGCTACTCAGGAGACTGAGGCAGAAGAATCGCTTGAACCCGGGAACTGGAGGTTACAGTGAGCCGAGATCATGCCACTGTACTCCAGCCTGGGTGACAGAGCGAGACTCTGTCTCAAAAAAAAAAAAATGAATGTTTGTCCCTCCCTTAGCATGTCCTAGGCAGAACATTAAATGTTGGGTTAATGATTCAAATTCTGAAGTTGGCATTTGTAACCCTGATGTGGTGGCATCAATTTTTGCTGAGCTCTTGGCCGCATTGTGTGTTGTGTGACCGGCCCTCCGATGAGATGCAGACACTCTGTGATCTCTTGGATCTGGGGAATTGCTCAGAATATTTTTTCACTTGTCTCTAATAGTGGGCTTTAAAAATTAGTCTATATTATTTCCATATTTTAAGGAGTTTATATGCAAAAAATAAGCAAATAAAGAATTGCAGAGCAATATGATACATGTCTTTTACCAGGGGATTAAAAGAACTGCATATTCATTGGGATTCTTGCTTTCAAGAAATGGGAATTGCAAATTAACATGAATATAAGAGTAACTACTAGCTCTCATAGTGGTTTTAGCCCCTCAACATTCTTGACTCGGCTCTTATTTTTGTGGGTTCCTTTCTTGCTCAGTCTCTCCCCTTGAGATTACCCAGAAAGTCTTCAGGGCTACGGCATCAGCAAGTCCAGAGTGAGAGTTCTTTTTCTCACTTCTTATTAGGTCTGCAAAAGTCTTGAAACTGAGTTTCATTGGCTACGATTGAGACATGGGCCTGAACCAATTACTGAGGCTGCAAAGTGAATCGTTCTAATGGGTCACACAGGCTTCACACTCCCACTCCTGAAGCCAGATGGTAGGTGGGGTATGGTGGGTAGGGGTCAGGTCCTTCCTCACTGTATGTGCTGAGGAATGTGTACTTGGACAGACAGCACAGCACAGAAACAAATATAGAAGCAGACATAAAACAGATGCTCCATAAACGCTAACACAATAGTTTCTTCTCTCAGGAACTTCAAAGCTCTTAAGGAAATTAACGAAAATGCAAGCCTTTTTGTGATGAGAAGCATACCAAGAGCCGAAGGAGAGGGTGAATAATACCAGTGTATGTTTCAGTTAGGATGATTTCAAAAGCAGGTATGAAATATTCTCCTCCAAGTAGCTTGTCCAATGGGGTTGCTACGGTTTCAACAATAAGAGGCGTGGAGGAAGGCAGTCAAGAGATGGCTTGAGGGCCCAGCAGAGTCATTGAAGACCTAGAATATCTCCATTCGTTTGCTCAATCATTCTTGCCATATTGGCTTTTTATCCTTAGGCATTTGTCTTCATGGTTGCAATACAGCTGCTGCAGCCCCAACCATCACACCTTCATAAAGTACTAACCAAAGACAGGAAGACCAGGGAATGGGTAAGAGGCCTCCTAATTCATCTCAATTTATATCATGGAGAACAAAATAACTTTTGTCAGAAGCAGTAGAAAGGTATCCTTTAATAATTTTTTGGGCAGAACTGGTCTGTGGACACCAATACTTATAGAAATGGCTGGAGAGTGCGTGTCTGACATCTTCAGTTTCGATAATAGATGGTGGCCTTCCCCATAGAGAAAAATAAATGGTGGAAAGACCGGGGGAACATTCTAAGGACATGAAGAAGAGAACAAATTCAGAAAAGGAAGAGTTTCATAATGTGTTGACTTGAGAGATGGTTATTCATGGATACTCAGGAGAGTCATAGGGACATTCCAAGAGGGGAAAAACTAGAAGGAGGTCTGTGGGTACAAGTATCCCTAAGGGAAGATTAAACTTTGGAAGTAACAACAGAAAAACACTGGAACGAGGGGGATACATTTGGAGAAGACAAATGGAGCAAAATTACCATAGATTCGAACACTTAGAATCTGGGGATTTCAATGTTTTTGGCCAGAGGCAGTGGCCTCCATATGGAATCAGACCCCATAAGGAATCTGGAGCTCGTGTGTTTTTCCTTGTGATTTTTTTGGGGGGACCATATACCATTTCCAGCATTTAAATATTGAGAGCCACCTCACGGGCTTCTCTTGGAAAACTGGAAGATCTGGCAAGTCTGAGCTCATGCCCTTCACAGCAGCAATTGGCTGACACTAGACAGTAGCCGCCACCCATTGAAATGGGCCTGCCCGCTCCCATTCCTCAGGACACTCCCGCATCCAGCTTCCCTCACCTAGAGTCCCTGCCTGGCCTCTGGAGGCATGAGGGGTGTGGCCCCAGGTTAGGCAAAGGGGCAGCTGTTGACCCTCTGCAGGTGAATTTCCAGGAGCAGACAGAACTTCAGGTTGATTTTGGGTCACACCTGCTGGAGCCAACATGGGGCCAGAAAATCGAGGAGTCAGGTGCCTGTGGTCGTCGTCCCTCCCTGTCGCCTGCGTGGGTATAGGTCTCCGCAGGAGTCTACAGGTTTCGTTGTGTTTAACTCAAAAGCCAGTCAAAGCTGTGAGGGTCATGTTGTCCCTAGGCCCCCGTTCCTTTCTTTTATAATATAAATTTGCTCATTTTAAATCCTTTAGTTGAGCATCAGGGAAGGCATGAACAGGCATCCCCTAGTGACTCTCCAGCAACAGCAGATTCATCCAAATCTTTCAGCCATCGGCTCCTGGATATGCCTCCACGGCTGCTCTGAGGAACTGAAAATCTCTTAGGGAATTCAGCAAAAATGCAGACCTTAGAATATTTTTTGCCTCGTCTTTAAATAATGAGGTTTAAAAATCAGCCTATGTTATTTCCAAATTTTAAGGAGTACACATGCAAAAAAAATTTAATCAAACAAAGAATCACAGAAGCAATCTGATACATGTCTTTTGGGGGGATTAAAGGAAATATGTACAGTTGGGATTCTTGTGTGAATAAATGAGAGGCCTGGGCATGGGCCCGGTGGCTCACACCTGTAATGCCAACATTTTGGGAGGCCGAGGGGGGCCGATTGTTTGAGTCCAGAAGTTCAAGACCTGCTTGGGCAACATGGTAAAATCCAATCTCTACCAAAAATACGAAAAAATTTGCTGAGTAGAGTGGTATGTGCCTGTAGTCCCAACAACTCAGGAGGCTGAGGCGGGAGGATTGCTTGAGCCCAGGAAGCAGAGGTTACAATGAGTCAAGATGGTGCCACTGCACTCCAGCCTGGGTGACCGTGTCTCAGAGAAACAAAAAACAAAGAAAGAAAAAGAAAAGAAAAAAGAAACAGAAAAAGAAAAGAAATAGGAACTGTAAGTTATATTGCTAAGAACATAAGGGTCTTTATGAGCTCGCACACCTTATTAACTCTCACAACCCCTATATTAAAGGCATTTCTGGGCTCTGAGACCTACCTCTTTCCAAAGTGTGGGTGGGACACATCTTTACCTTGTAGCATAGATTCACCTGAGAATGTAAATGGCCCGTAAGGATTATAAGCTTTGATCCTGAAATGTATTTGCCAATTGCTTGTTGTGTTTACCAGCTGTCTCTGTTTAATGGGGAGTCCATAAGCATCTCTAAAGCGAATGCACGTGGTAAGCCCATTTCTAGATTTGTTTCTAAGTCCTGAATCTTTACTCCTATCTACTCCTACAGATATTCTGAGCAAGGGCCTTTTTGCTGCATGCCCCAATCCCTGTGAACACTGAGATAGTCTGCACATCCTGAGTAATCCATTTTGAAATGGTCTGGTATATACTAGGTGCTCAATAAAAATAAGGTATTGTTATTATTAATAGTACATTCTTCATTATTTCGCCGAACACATATTAATTAAACACTCACTCTGTTACCAGGCCCTGTGAGCAAAAGGGGAGAGAAGACAATTTACTGAGGCTAAAGTTAACCATCCCAGATTTCATCACCCACATTTCATGGCTTAGGGAAGAATAAGGTAAACTCCCTTCTCCAAATCTTCTTTGATCTTAAGCATATAGCCTTAACATCTGGAACTTACATTTAATAGGTTCAATTGTGGAGTTACACGATGATGGATTCTCATTTTTTCTGTTTGGAATTGGAGACGAAGCAATCATCACCAGGTGATTTACCTTGGCGAGAAAGTTGAAGAATTGACACTACAGTACGCTGCCACCAGGTGGCAGTCAATGCCTTTATCTTAGAGCTCGAACCACTAGCCGACCTCAGCATTACTAGTTCCAGTTTATGAGGAATATCAATAGTGTGAATATGTGATTAGTAATATTATGAATTGTAGGAATGTTATACTGTGGTTTACCATATCATAGACTTTTTAGGCACGTTATCCACGTTTAATCTTCACAGCAGCTTTGCGAAATAGTGTTATTTCCATTTCGTTAACAAAGAAGGGAAGGTTCCTAGGTTGACTGAGCTGCTGGAGGCCACACGAATCTTAGGTTGTGGACTTAAAACCACCAGACCCTCGATCCTGTCCTCATTCTATTCCACTTAGAGTTTTCGGAGTGCTGTTAATTTTCAACATTTTATTTAATATAATTTATTTAAGTAATTGAACTTAATATCAGAAAGCTATATGTTTAAGAGTATATATTATTTTTTTTCCATTTGACACCAGCCTGGGTGACATAGTGAGACCCCCCATCTCTACAAAACAAAGTAATTAAAAATTAGCTGGGCGTAGTAGTGGGGGCCTGTGGTCCTAAGCACTCGGGAGGCTGGGACAGGAGGATCACTTGAGCCTGGGAGGTCGAGGATTCAGTGAGCCATGATTGCACTCCAGCCTGGGTGACGGAGCAAGACTGTGTCTCAAAAAAAAAATCACAGAATAAAGATATACCTTGTAGAGTTCAGTACTTATTATGGGTTGAATTGTACTCCATACAAGATGCTGAAGAATTAACCCTCAGTACATGTCAATGTGACTTTACCTGGAAACAGGGTCTATGCCAGTGTTATGGGCTGAATGTGACCTCCTAAAATTTATATGTTAAAGCTCCTCATTTCTAATGTGATGGTGGTAGGAAGTGGGGCCTTTGGAAGGTGGTCAGGTCATGAGGGCGGAGCCGACATGACGGGTGTTAGTGCCCTAATGAGAAGATATATGAGAGACATGATCTAGCTCTCCACCACGTGAGGACATAGGAAAGAAGGATCTGTCTGCAAATCAGGAAGTCTTAGTAAGTTCTTACCAGGAACTGAATCAGCCAGCACCTTGATCTTGGACTTCCAGCTTCCAGAACTGTGAGAAATGAACATTTGTTGTTTTAGCCACCCGGTCTAGGACATTTATTCTAGCAGCCTGGACTGAGGCAGCAGATGATCAAGTTAAAATAAGGTCACTAGGCTGGGCCCTAATCCAGTATGATTGGCATCTCTACCAAAAGGGAACATTTATTCACAGAGACCGGCATGCACACAGGAAGAGCGCCCTGTGAAACTGGAGTTCTGCTGCCGCAAGCAAAGTGACCACTGGAAGCTGGTAGAGAGGTAGGGAGTATATCCTTCCCTAGCACCTGCCTGCAGAGGGAATGTGGCCCCACGGCCTTGATACTGGATTTCCAGCCGCCAGAATGGTGAGGCAAGGAACTTCTGTGGTTTCAAGACCCCCAGTTTGTGGGGCTTTATTAGGCCAAGTCTATTGATGACTCTATTTGTAAGGGCAAGTCTGTTGATGCCTCTATTTCTAATTTTAGCGGTGCAGCCTTTAGAGACGATGCATTTCACATAATTAGTATACCCAGGAGAAAATTATTCTTTGATTTTATGTTTGTTCCCTGCCAAAGGGACTAAAATATCCCCTTGAGAGATCAGCCATAAAATTTCCACCCTTTCTTGCCTCCTTTCTCTGCCTCCTTGCTCCTTTCTTCCTTCCTTCTCTTCCTCCTTCCTTTCCTTATGTTACAGTCTCGCCAATGCACCTTTTCACCTTCTGCTTTGGCTCCAATGAGAGGAGAGATTTTTTCTCCCTTTTCTTACCTCTGAGTTTGGATATTCCCACACCCCTCCCACCAGCATACATCCAGTCACTCCACACCAGAGCTGTCATTTAAAGATGGTCCCCGCAGATCCGGGAAGAGCAGAGGCTGTTACTTGCATGTTTGGGGCTCTGAGAAGGTGGAGGACGACCCCCCTGCTAGCAGAGAGCTTTGCCTTCAGTCACTCTTCATTTCCATGGATTGCTGGAGAGAACCCTGTTCCCTGTCTCCTATGGTTCCTCTCCACTGATGAGGTCAAGAGCCAAAAAAAGAGGATTAAGCTGTACCTGTGCTGAAAACATATATTAAGAAAACACTTCTGGAGGCTGGGCATGGTGGCTTATGCCTGTAACCCCAGCACTTTGGGAGGCCAAGGCGGGAGGATCACTTGAGGTCAGGAGTTCGAGACCAGCCTGGCCAACATGGCGAAACCCCGTCTCTACTAAAAATACAAAAATTAGCTGGGCATGGTGGCACATGCCTGTAATCCCAGCTACTCGGGAGGCTGAAGTGGTAGGATCACTTGAACCTAGGAGGTGGAGTTTACAGTGAGCCCAGATGGTGCCACTGCACTCCAGCCTGGGTGACAGAGGGAGACATTTTCTAAAAAAAAAAAAACCTTCTGGGAATTTGTTTTCCCGTGAAGAAAAAGGGCACTTTTCCCTGTAATCTCAGAGAAGAATAAACTTTTCTCCTCCCAATCTGTGTCCAGGTGAGTGAGTGTTGGATATGAATCAACATTTGAATATGCCATCTCCACTTCAGACATCATAACAATGCCTACGGTTCTCCATAAACTTTGACAATCTGATTATATTAGTTTCCTGTGCTTCCAAAACAAATGACCACAATCTGAATTGCTGTCTTAGTCTGCACAGGCTGCTAAACAAAACACAACGGACTCGGTGGACAAAGCAACAGAAATTTATTTCCTCACACTTCTGGAGGCTGAGGATCTGAGATCAAGGTGCCAGCATGGGCGGGTTCTGCTGAAGGCTCTCTTCCTGGCTTATAGATGGTGCCTTCTCACTGTATCCTCACGTGGGGATAAGAGGGCATGGGAGAGGGGAGAAAGAGAGAGAGAGAGAGGAGAAAGAGAGAAGCTTCCTTTTCTCTTTCTCTTATGAGACCACAGTCTTAATCTTCCTCTTATAAAACCACAGTTCTGCCTGATTAGGGCCCCACCCCTGTGGCCCCATTTAAGCTGAATTCTTTAATTACCTTCTAAAGACCCTACCTCCATGTACAGTCACATTGGGGGCTTCAACACATACATTTTGTGGGAGACACAGTTCAGTCCATAGCAGGGCTTAAAGCACCGGAAATGTATTCTTTCACAGCTCTGGAAGTTAGAGTCCCACATCTCCATGTCAGCAGGCCACGCTCTCTCTGCAGGCTCTAGGGGAGCCCCTCCTCACCTTTTCCAGCCCATAGCACTCCTGGGTTTCCTTGGCTGGTGGCTGCGTCGCTCCCGTCTCCGCCTCCATCCTCACCTGGCCTTCTTTTCTGAGGGTCGGTGTCTGTGAGTGTCCTCCTCTTGTAATGACACCAGTTCTATTGGGTTTATGGCCCACCCTAATCCTGCATGACCTCATATTAACTAATTACATCTGCAAAGACCCTATGTCCACTCAGGGGCACATTCTGGGGTTCCCAGTGGATGTGGATTTTTAGACGGCTTTGTTTCACTTAGGATGCTGATCACGCAAAGCCGAGTCATAGGAGTTAGCCACGGGAAAAGCTACTCTAGAGCTTTCACCACCATGCCCTTGAAACTCAACATATTAAAGAAGCTTTTATGAAAGACCTTTTGTATTAGTCCGTTTTCACGCTGCTGATAAAGACATACCCAAAACCGGGCAATTTATAAAAGAAAGAGGTTTAACGGACTCACAGTTCCATGTGGCTGGGAAGGCCTCACAATCATGGCAGAAGGTGAAAGTCGTGTCTCACATGGTGGCAGACAAGAGAAGAGAACTTGTGCAGGAAAACTCCCCTTTATAAAACCTTCAGATCATGTGAGACTTATTCACCATCATGAGAACAGCACAGGAAAGAGCTGCCCCCAGGATTCCATTACCTTCCACTGGGTCCCTCCCATGACATGTGGGAATTGTGGGAGCTGCAATTCAAGATGAGATTTGGGTGGGGACACAGCCAAACCATATCACCTTTAAATTAATATATAGTCATTTAAATTTCATGGGTCAGGCACGGTGGCTCACACCTGTAATTCCAGCACTTTGAGAGGCCAAGGTGGTCAGATCACTCGAGATTAGGAGTTCATGACCAGTCTGGCCAACATGCTGAAACCCCATTTCTACTAAAAAAAAAAAAAAAAAAAGCCAGGCGTGGCAGTGTACACCTGTAATCCCAGCTACTCGGGAGGCTGAGGCAGGAGAATCACGTGAGCCTGGGGGACAGAGGTCACAGTGAGCTGAGATCATGTCACTGCACTCCAGCCTGGACAACGGGGCCAGACTCCATCTCAAAAAAATAAAATTAAAAATAAATAAATTTTCTGACAATTATCCATGTATTTATCTAAACACCTCCTGAGTGTGTTTCTAATTTTAGTGGTGCAGACTTTAGAGATGATCCATTTCACATAATTAGTATACACAAGAGAAAATCATTCTTTGATTTTATCTTTGCTCCCTGCCAAAGGCGCTAAAATATTCCCTTGAGAGATCACCCATAGAATTCCCCGTCTTTCTTCTGTCCTTTCTCTTTCTTTGCCTCTTTTCTCTTTCCTTTTTTCCTTCCTTTTCTTCTTCCTTCTGTTCCTTACAGTATGTTTTCCTTCTTTCTTCTTTGCTTAATCACCTAAGGAATAGGTAACTCTTCAAAGCCAGATGAAATTCCTTTCTTTATAGTTTTTTTTTCTTTCTGTTCTATTTTCCCTTTCTGTTCTATTTTTCCTTTGAGTTGTACAAACGAATAATTTCTTTCAAGTTAATATTTTGCCTACTTAGAAGACAAGCCTGGAACATATTTTTCTACTTGTCAAAAATCTTATTTTAAATATCTGACTAGGTAGACAATAAATGTCACCTGGTCTAGATAACGAATCACTTCTTAAAAAAGAGCCTCACCTTGTTTGTTGCATCAATTCTGGATTCTGAGTGCCTACTGCTTTTATATATGAAAATCCTTTCTCTTCTTTTTTTGTAAATACAAAGCTGCTTTTTTCTTTTTTCTGATACCTTTCTTGATCTAATCACACTAGTTGCTTTAAGTCTAGCTATTTACAGACAATTTTATTCAAGAACACAGCTTTTGCTCCCTGTCCTATATCTAATTAATGAGGCCACTCTTTGATATCCATTCAGAACATTGTGATTTGCGTGGTTTCATCCGAGACCCCAGTTGTCTCTTTTCAAGACAAATTAGAAATGGATTTATTGGATGCTCATTCACTGCCATGGACTAAGGTAGGAAGGAGATGAGAGCTCAGAGGTGAGGAGGACCCGATGCAGTCCCTCCTGGATGAGGCACTCACATGATGGTGGGAGAAATAGACACAGAGGGATGTAAAGATCAAACCGTGTGGGGAGGACAGGACGGCATGCCCGGGGTGATGTGGAAACACAATGTTGGGGCCCATCCTCATCCAGATCTAGGGTGGAGGCCACTGGGTGGAAATGATGACTAAACCGAGCCTCTAGAGATGGCTGCAGGGAGCCTTAAGAACGACAAAGAAACCAACATCAGTGAAAGGCTCTTGTTGCAGGAAGAAGCCATGCAAAAACTTGCAAATTCTTACAAAATAATTGTTTTATTTTATCCAAGGTTTCTACAGGTCAGAAATTCAGACAAGGAACATGGGAATGGTTTGTTTCTGTTCAAGATGTGTGGGGACTTATCTGGGAAGGGTCAATGGCCAGGGACTGGAATCAAGTGAATCCAATTACTCTCCCACTGGGTGATTGGTGATAACCTTTGGCTGGGACCCCAGCTAGAGGCTGACCCCGCGGCTTGGGCTTCCTCACAATATGGTGGGATAAAGTGGTTTCAGATAAAGTGGTTTCAGATTAAGTGGTCTTCCTACCAGGTGGCTCAGTCCTCCAGTGTGATTGTTCCATTGAGCAAAGTAGAAGCTGCATCTTTTTAAAATATAATGTCAAAAATCATGTACTGAAGGGTCATTTTATCTACCTTCCATTGGTTGTAAACAAGTCACTAAGGTTCACCCAGTTGCAAGTGGAAGGAGGCAGGTATTGCCTCTTGAAGGTAGGAATATCTAGGGATTTGCGGACTTGTTTTAAAAACTTCATAGCACTTTGGGAGGCTGAGGTGGGCGGATCACGAGGTCAGGAGTTAGAGACTGGCCTGACCAACATGGTGAAACCCCATCTCAACCAAAAATACAAAAAATAGTCGGGCGTGGTGGTGGCAGGCACCTGTAATCCCAGCTAATCAGGAGGCTGAGGCAGGAGAATCACTTGAACCCAGGAGGTGGAGGTTGCAGTGAGCTGAGATCATGCCATTACACTCCAGCCTGGGTGACAGAGTGAGACTCCATCAAACAAACAAACAAAAAAACCCTCCATAGCTCTCACTGATTGATCCTTTTGTGATGATCTCAAGTGACAACAACAAAATAATCCTAATAATCATGACAACAATTTTGGTTTACTAAAATAAATTCAGTAAGTAAAAGACAATGAGTTAATAATGCTATTTAAAGGAAAAAAGTTGATAAAAAAGTAAGAATATGTATGTGTATAATGTTTTGCTTACTTTAATGAGTAGTGGGTGTTTGTATGTGGATATTTTATTCCTTCTATTAATTATACAGCTATTTAACTTTAAAAATATTCTTAAAGTCAAGGTTGGAAATAATGATGAAATGCATTCATTTGATGGAGTTAAAGTTTTGGAAGGAGCTGAAGTACTAACAGAGAGACTAATATGCCCCAGTCTGTCTGGGACTTCCTGGGTGTTAGCACTGAAAGTCCCCCTTCCTGGGAGTCCCCTGTTTCTCCAATTCCTTGGAAACTGAGATGACTGCTTACCATAGATAGCAATATTTTTTAAAAAATGATTGTGTGTTTGTGGATTCTGCTATTCAATATCTATTAAGTCTCAGAAAAACCCAGGCATAATACATTTGAAAAATTAGCTTCTAAGGTTTAAGAACATTTATTAATGTTACAAATGATTATTTGAGGGCTTAAGCAAGTGTAAGTAATTACACCATGTTTATAAGTACTTCTCCATATGTGCTCAAATCCCCATGTGAACATTAAATAAAAATAAATAAAATTAAAATAAACACAATGAGGAATAATTAGAAATAATAGGATAATGAGAAAGAGCTGGCATCGTGAAAGCCCAGTTTCAATCAGGAATGAGCCATCAGGTAAGAGCAAGACTGAACCGTGTGCACTTGATTTTCGACAGAGGACCCTGGGGGTCCTTACAAGAGCATTTCAGGGCCAGTCATGGTGGCTCGCGCCAGCACTTTGGGAGGCTGAGGCAGGCCGATCACTTGAGGTCAGGGGTTTGAGACCAGCCTAGGCAACACGGCAAAACCCTGTCTCTACTAAAAATACAAAAATTAGCCAGGTGTGGTGGCACACGCCTGTTATCCCAGCTACTTGGGAGGCTGAGGTGAGAGGATCACTTGAGCCTGGGAGGTGGAGGTTGCAAAGAGCTGTGACGGCACCACTGCACTCCAGCCTGGGCAACACGGTGACACCGTGTCTCAAAAAAACAGAGCATTTCAGTTCCTGGAGAGGTGGAGGTGGAAGAAGTCTCAAATGCAGGTGTCTTTGGGATTACCTGAGACATTCAAGGTTAGAGTAAGCTGGAAACATGAGAAGAAACCAAGTACATGTCATCCCAGTATCTGTGAGCTCACTGCGCAGCCAGGCAGGGAGAACGCAGGAAGGGTTCAGAACAGGATGGAGTAGTAAACAGATCTGTTGAATCCCACTGGGGTGAACCAACCTTGCAGAGAGGGTTCAGACTCAAACTGGAATTAGCTAACATGAGACTCAGATCCAAAGCAGGCGGATTGGAGGGTGTGGACTTGGAGGCCCCTCCCGTGGACACTCTAGGAGAGCGTGAGTGAAGTGGTGAGAACAACCACTCCAGTGTTTGGGGGCTCAGATCCACCTGTTCTGGCCAGAAATTTTGTTCAGCCACCAATTTCGGCCCGTCGAAGAGAAAATCCCAGTGATGATGAGATGGTGGCTCCCAATTTGCTTGGGAAGGTAGCCTCAGCTTGCTGGAGTGGATGAAATCATTTTCTCAGTAAGTGTAGAATCCAGAAGGGTGAATAATTGAAAATAGTGGTGATAAACTGTGTTTATTAATATTTCTGGTGTAAAGCATAGAATTAAGGGGATATATTTTGCATGTAAAGTGTTTATAATATTTAAGTTAATTTATCACATTAGTTTAGAGATAAGCCTTGTGATTTCAGCTAAAACAGGCATTTAAAAATCAATTTTAGGTCTTTTTATTTGAAGATGAAAAGTATAAGATAATTTACCTAACTACGAACAAGATTGGAATGTTTAAGAGAACTTGAGAGTCCTCAGTAAGTTTTATTTGTGAGATTTACTAGGGCTGTTTAAGTACTTGCAAGAGCTTTCCACATTAATTAGGTGTATATATTGCTTAAAAAGAAGCTGAATATATTAAATTTATGAGCGTCTTGAGATATCTAAAGGAATATAATTCACTAATTTATTAATACTTCCTCTTAAAATTGCATTAAGGTACTATATTTATGAATAGAGTAGTAAATTTTTTCAACTGAACTTGAAGGCTTTGGTAGAAAGATAGTTTTTGTGATGTTTACTTTGATACAGTGAACATTAAAAAGAACAAAGCAAAGGCCAGGTGGGGTGGCTTATGCGTGTAAACCCAGTTCTTTGGGAGGCCAAGGTGAGGAAATCACTTGACCTCACGAGTTCAAGACCAGCCTGGGCAACATGGTGAAATCCCCTCTCTACAAAAAATACAAAAATTAGCTGGGTACATTGGCACCCATCTGTAGTCCCAGCAACTTGGGAGGCTGAGGCAGGAGGATTGCTTGAACCCCAGAGGCAGAGGTTGTAGTGAGCTGAGATTGTGCCATTGCACTCTAGCCTTGGCAACAGAGGCAGAGGCTGATACACACACACACACACACACACACACACACACACACACACACACAGAGCCATTAAAATCAATTTTTAAAAAAAGGCCAGGCGCGATGGCTCATGCCTGTAATCCCAGCAATTTGGGAGGCTGAGGTGGGCAGATCACAAGGTCAGGAGTTGGAGACCATCCTGGCTAACACGGTGAAACCCCGTCTCTACTAAAAAATACATAAAATTAGCCGGGTGTGGTAGTGGGCGCCTGTAGTCCCAGCTACTCGGGAGGCTGAGGCAGGAGAATGGCGTGAACCCGGGAGATGGAGCTTGCAGTGAGCCGAGATCGCGCCACTGCATTCCAGCCTGGGCAACAAAGAGCAAGACTCCATCTCAAAAAAAAAAAAAAAAGAAAGCAAAATAAGTATCTGTGTAGTCTCTTCCCTGCTTGGAAGATACCCTTAAGGCATCAAAAACCCATGCAGCTGCGTAGCTCAGAGGGGACCGTGCACACCGGCCTCTGTGCTGCGTGGGGACGAACAGGACTGGTGAGCCTGGACTCCATCAGTGAGGACAGGCAGAGAAAACAAAACAGAGGAGGTGGTGGTACCCAGGGAACTCCCCAGAACACAGCCCTGAGTGCAGAGGGGGAAGCACAGCGCGACCTGGGGGTCAGCAACACTCAGGAAACTTTACAACACAAGCGTCCACAGCCCATTGCTGTGTGGTTTTCAGAGGTGACAGTGGAGAATATACCTGAAAAGCATGAGGAAGGGGCCTCTGCCGGGGATGGAGGAATGGCGATGGATGGAGGTTAGGGTAAGGGAAAACATCACCGAAGAAGAACCGTGGGTGGCCCTGTCGTGATGGTGCCAGGAGCTGTGTGGTCGTCTCAGCACTTGGTGGCCGAGTGTTTGAAATAAAGCAGTAGAATAAAGCAGTGGATGTTACAGGATGGGAAGGGCAGAGGGGAGGGAGGGCTAGAAAGAGATTTGTTAAAGGGTACAAAATTACAGTAGATGGGAGAAATAAGTTCTAGTGTTCTGTTGCCCTGTGGGAGGACTACAGTAACAATAACATTTTATATAGTGTCAGATAGCTGGAAGGAGGACATGAAACATCCTCAACACAGAGAAATGGTAAATGTTTGATGAGAGGATGGATATGCTAATTACCCTGATCTGATCACCATACCCTGTATGTATTGAAACATCTTTATCTACCCCATGAATACATACAATTATTACTTGAAATTTTAAAAATAAGTTAAAATTTAGGGAAAGAAAAGTTTCACCTGTAAGGACGTCCAAAATAAATGAATTAAGCTAATCATTTTTTTTTTTTTTTTTTTTTAAAGACAGGGTCTCACTTTGTCACCCAGACTGGAATACAGTGGCACGATCTCGGCTCACTGCGACTTCCGCCTCCCAGGCTCAAGGGATTCTCCTGCCTCAGCCTCCTGAGTAGCTAGGACTACAGGCATACACCACCATGCCCTGCTAACTTTTGTAGTTTTAGTGGAGACGGGTTTTCACCAATGTTGGCCAGGCTGGTCTCGAATTCCTGACCTCAAATGATTCACGTGCCTTGGCCTCCTAAAGTGTTGGGATTACAGGTGTGAGCCACCTCGCCCAGTGTTTTTGTTTTTTGTTTTGTTTTGTTTTGTTTCTTGGGTAAACAACAACAACAAAAACCCAGATAAACACCTCCTAGGATGTAGGACTCTAATCTGCCTCAACTCATCCGGGGCCTTAGAGGCAGCTCTCCCACTGCAAATAGCAAAATATTTGGGATGAAAATCCTCGGAATTATCCCATTCAAAAGGAGACTGGCTACATTTCTGGGCAGTTGTGAATCTGAATGTAGCCGCTGTCATATGCCTGTTCTACTGTCAGCATCGAGTAAACGCTGAGCCCTAGCAATAATTATAAGGGGGAGGATGGATGGGAGCTTTCACTTTCAGATCTGTCTACAGATTAGATTGACTTTTCTATTGTAAGGATGTTACTGCTTTTTTGTTATTGCTTTTCCCTAAATAAAAGTCTGAAGCTAAGTGAAAGACAGCAGTTATCCCCTCATTAACTCAAGCAATTAATTATTGGATCCTCAGTCCCCCTGTGGGTTGCAGCCATTAAGGAATGTTAGAAGCTGATAAGGCAGAGGTCTTCCAGGAATATCTCTCATTTTAATATTCTGACAGTTTTGACTTTTCTCCAGGGTGAGTTACGATGCAGCAATAGAAAAAAAAAATACTGTTTTTTTTTCTTCCAAAATGAAATAGGGCCACACCTGGCTGGCATTGGAGGCACCATGAAATAGACCAGCTCATGGCCGGGCAGAGTGGTTCACGCCTATAATCCCAGCACTTTGGGAGGCCGAGGTGGGCAAATCACCTGAAGTCAGGAGTTCAAGACCAGCCTGGCCAACATGGTGAAATACCATCTCAACTAAAAATACGAAAATTAGCCAGGTGTGGTGGCAAGTGCGTGTAGGCCCAGCTAGTTGGAATACTGAGACAGGAAAATCGCTTGAACCTGGGAGGTAGACGTTGCAGTGAGCAGAGGTCCTGCCACTGCCCTTCAGCCTAGGTGACAGAGCAAGACTCCATCTAAAAACAACAACAACAAACAAACAAATAGAAAAACCAAAATGACCAGCTCTGATTGAAGACACATAATTGGGGCAAGTGGAGAATAATAACTACTGGCTGGGAGAGGAGACGGAACAGGCTCGTGGCCTTTAGTCTGGGGGTGTGGCAGAGACAATGTGTTTACCAAACCCTCTTGACTTTCCCCCGGCCATGTGGTTGGACCTATGTTTCCCAGCCTCCCTAGCAGTCATGTGACTGACTTCTTGCCAAGGGATTGTGGGAGAAATGATGTGATCTGGGTCCTAAACCCTGCAAGATGCTCTCTCTCTGCGGTCCGGGGTGCTGCAGGGTGTGGCACCACGTACACTATGGAGGCTGTAGATTGAGATGCAATAATCTAAGAGGAGATTGGGTCTCCGAATCACCGCATGGAGCGGAGCCTTCCTCACCCTCCTTGGACTCTGCAGTGGAAAAGACATAGCTCCTTGCTGCTGAAAACCACTGAGATTTCAGAGCTGTTTGTTTTGTAGTCAGCATACCCTGACAAAGAAAGAAAGAGAGATGGTCTGGGTGTGCCAATATGCTAGTGAATTCTCCCAGAGGTCACCATGTAGAGGCAGAGCTGAGTGAATACAACACTGGAAATAAAATCAGGAAAAAGAACCACACTTCACACGAGGAATATATTTCTGTGTTTTCTAAGCCACTCAGCCTATTTTTGGTGGTTGTTATAGCCGCCCAAGCCAACTAAGACACTTGCTGTGTTCCAGGAACTATACAAAGAACTGAAACATATGAGTGTAACCTTTCGTACTATTGTGGTCTGCATGTTACTGACAGGGAAACATGCTTAAAGGGTTAAAGAAATAGCCCGAAACACTGAAGGTAACAAGAGGAGGAAGCAGAGACTGAGCTCAGGGCCACACTGTCAGCAAGGAAGGGGCTGGGCTGCCTCGCCAGGGGCATCGACTGAAAACTGAATTTAGAAGCTGTTTTCCAGGCATTTCCAGTTGTTCTCTTTTGCTTACACTGAACCCCTCTGATGCCCAATGAACTTGAAGCTGCCTTCAGCCAGCAAGTGGCAGAACTGGAATGTGAGCCCAGGGTGCTGGCTCTAGGTCCTGCTCAGAGGAACTCTTCTCCACTGCTCTTTGTTTATTAATTTATTCTCTGTCTCCTTCTGCCTCTCTGCCTCTGTTCCCCTGAGTCTCTCACGCATTTGCACGCACATACATACACAATAGCATACTGCTATATTTTCAGCCACTATACAGGAACTCTTGATGTTATCCATAAAAACCCCCGAGCACGGAAGCTTAGGGCCTTTCTGCCGCCTGTGGATGCCAGCGTCACAGGGCTGTGAATTACTCCTGGAGCCACTTTCCATGACTCCTGACACAAATCGAAGTCTGAGCCATCCGTAGTGACAGCTGTTTGACATGGAGCCCTCATGGAACACAGATTTGCTCTTTCTTTTCTCATTACAATGAAGCCCCTCCTCCTGATAGAAGGAGGCACTGGGGTGGGAAGCTGTTGACAGCAGGTTCCCAGGACTGAAACCTCACCCCAGAGGGAGCTGCAGCCACAGCTTTTCACACTTCTGCTGGAAACAGAGTTCCACAAGGACCACGGGCCCCAACGCAAGGCAGCCTGGTTTTCAAAATACCCTCTATCCACCTGGATCCCAGGCCGCTCCTGCTTCACTCTGCTGCCATTTACAGGACAAACCTGCAGACACTCTGGCTGGAAAGTGTGGGAGGGACCCGCCTGCCCTGGCGGAGAACTTGAACAGTGCTCTAGCTAATTGGCTGGAAGTAATGCCCCCAACTGGGAAAATTCATAGCCTTTAGGCCTCTCTTTTCTAGGGAGCAAAACATTTCTGATTAAAAAATCTTAAAGCTTAACTGCTGCAATTCAGCCTTCAAAGTCAGTTCTTCATGAAAAGGACAACTTCTTCATAAAATGAATCCATTTTGAGTGGATTTTTATTACGTGCGTTTGATTTTTTTTTTCATTAAAAGGGTCGCTTTTATTGGAAAGTACAATTTTAGAAACAAACCACTTAAGTAATTATTTTGCCTGTTTAGTTTCTGCGATTTTTCAATGAAAAGCCTAGGATGAGGGCGGCCTCCTAAACTCCAAACTGATGAATAATCTTCTGCCTCCATCTCTCCCAAGGGAACATGCGTGTAGAAGCCATATTCACCTTCCCGGCCACAGCCTTCACCTCTGTGAGACAATGTCCCTTTGATGACAGTGGTTGTTAAAGGATCTCCATGACAAAGGATTCCCCATTGTCTCCCTCACGAGCATCCCCTCTTTGCTTCTTCTAGGGCTCCAACCAGCACAGACCCTGTCGCTGATGGGATCCAGGGGGAAGGAGGGATCCAGACCGGCCACTGGCCAGCTTCAGCACCTGCAGCAGCCTCGCCAGTCATCTGCCCTCTGTACCAGCCTGGAACATTCTTGCCACAGTCTCCTTGTGGGCAGGCCCAAGAGGTGAACCCTGCTGCAGAACTGATGGGTTTCCTGAGCTTCAGCAAGATTGTGCCCTCTTCAGGTGACTGTCTCCAATCTTACCTGGGAAGGACATGGATCTTTTCCAGCATGGGATCTTTTCAATGCTGTGCTCATACCCGGTGTGGCTGTGCAGGCCGGTGCATGTGTGTTTGTGTACGTGTGTGTATGTGTATGCAGGTATGTGGATATGGATGTATGTACGTGCATGCATGTGTGTATATGTGTATGTGCACACATGCATGTGTGTATGTGTACATGTACATGCATGTGTATGTGTGTGCATGTGTATGTATGTGTGTATGCCTGTATGTGCATGCCTGTGTGTGTTTGTATGTGTGTATACATGCATGTATGTGCATTTATGTGTGTGCACATGTATGTGTGTATGTGTGTATATTTATGTTATGTATGTGCATGTATGTATGTGTGTACAGCAGTTGTAATTGCTATTCTCTTGCTTCACTTGGTGGGTAAAATAATTATTACAAGGTAAATGGGATGTAGTCGCTTCATAACAGAAAAGAAGTTGTGAGGAGTTTTATAAGTTTTCAGAGCAAAGGGTACTGTGTGGAGTGAACTATTTCTTTTTGCAATAAGAAAAATTTTCTCAAATAAAAATTGGGAGTAAATAATAAATGTTAAATGGTCTAACCAATTTAATAGCCTTAGCAGCAAGTGGCATGGCTAGTTTTTGTTCAACTGCCTGATAAAATGTGATATATCAAGTGGGTCTTACTGAATGCATCTTGGGATAAAAGTAAAGCCTGCCTTTTAGTCCCGCATGATTTCATGATGTCCAGGCACCACTGGTTTGTTATAAATTAAAGATTAATATATGTTTTTTGGTTTCGTTCAACATACAAGGTGACAGCAAATGGATTAATTTGACAGATATTCAGGGAAATCGTATTAGCCTAACTCAAGAAGTACAAAGGGAGATGATTATCAAGAAATAGATACAATTCCAGGCAGAAAAGATCCCAAAGAAGTCTTAATAGCTGAAATATTGCTGACAAGGAAGTGCACAGACCAGCCTTGCGGAATCCCACATCCGGGGAAGCCGACTTTCCCCTGCAGACACCGCCGCCGGAGCAGAGTCTGATGGATCACAGGCCAGGATGGGGAATTGCAAACACCTCAAGCACCCGTGGAAATACTGGGTCACCAACAAGCCACCTCCCGAATTCCCCTCCTTCTGGGGTATCAAACTCCAAGCCTGGGCGACCTGGTAAAGAACAGACCAACCTGGAGAGCACAGGTGCCCCCAAATGGGCAGGGAGTGGCAGCCAAGTGTGTAGGGTGCTCTCAGTGGGGCCACATCTTCCCTTTTCAAGAGAATGTAGAAGGCCGGGTGCGGTGGCTCACGCCTGTAATCCCTGCACTTTGGGAGGCTGAGGTGGCAGATCACCTGAGGTCAGGAGTTCGAGACCAGGCTGGCCAACATGGTGAAACCCCATCTCTACTAAAAATACAAAAAATTAGCCAGGCATGGTGGCACATGCCTGTAATCCCACCTACTTGGGAGGCTGAGGCGGGAGAATCGCTTGAACCTGGGAGGCGGAGGTTGCAGTGAGCTGAGATCACACCATTGACTGTACTCCAGCCTGGGTGACAAGAGCAAAACTCCATCAAAATAAATAAATATATAAATAAATAAATAAATAAATAATAAAAAAAATTTAAAAAGAGAGAGAAAGAATGTAGAAATTTGCAGTTTTATATGAAAATTCTCTATGTTTAGATTTTGGCAACCAATTCAAAACATTAAAAAATAAATAAATACAGAAGGCCAAGGAAACAAGGCTGCAAGTTGGACTCAGCCTTTGAGCATCAATTTCTAGCCTCTCTATCACCTCGTGGCTAAAGGCGCTATTTCTTCCTTGAGATTTGAGGCTGTGCCTGCAGTGTTTTGAGGAGACTGAGAACAGAGAATGGCATGGTTAGCCTGGTTCTAGATAGCTCTACTCTCTGATAGAGAAGATTATGACTGGAGGTTTGATGCTGGCCGTAAATAAGCTAGGGGCTCTTTTCTTGGAGCAGACTAAGGCTCTTGCATAGCCCCGTGATGTGGAGCTTTCTTCTATATCAATAAACCAAATGGATACCAAACACAGCTGACATTAATAGGTGCCTCAGCCAGGGTCTCCACCAGAATACTCAAATGAGGATAATTGGAGAGAATCAGGTTTTTCCTCTTTTTTCTTAATGCATAATATTTGTACATATTTGTGGGGTGTGTGTAATATTTTATTATGTGCATAGAATGTGTATGCTCAAGTCAGGGTATTTAGGGAGGCATGACAAAGATATGGGTGCGGGGCGACCCCAGGAGCCAAGCAGGAACTCAGAGCTGCTGTCAGCCTGGCTGAGACCTCCTGTCAGTCCAAAGGGACCGGGGCTTAATTGCAAGGAAAGGGTCTTAAAGCCAGGCCACATTTATAGGAGCTGTAGCCTTCTGCCAAGAGATACAGCTGACCCAAGAAGACTTTGATGGTAGAGAGCCAGGGAATATTCCTGGACTTCACTCTCTTCTCTCTTGCCAGTCTCCTGCGGGGCTTTCCATGACCAAACCCAGCAGGGAGCCAGGGGCCATGGGTGCCCACTGGTGTTGTCCAGACCAACCTCGGCGGGCAGAGTTGAGAAGTGTGGAGCCTGGGTCTGCAGGGGCTAGCAGCAGATACCCAGCTCGGAAGATATTAGTGTAAGTCAGTATTTTAGAAACAAACCAACATTGTTCAACTCTAGGTGGAGGCAGCTGCCCAGAGTCTGCTGCCTGATGAAGGCTCAGAGCTCGAAGCTTGAAGCTGCTTTCTTTTCGTAGAAAGGGAGATTACCAAGCACTGACGTAGTGTTCAAGACACACGTGTTTCAGAGGGACACTCTCTCAAAGTACGCAGCCAAAGACTCAAAAGAAATGACAGGTAATAACACCCTCATCGCCTGACTCAAATCACATCTGAGTGTTACCCGCGTCTTTCCACCTCTCCCTGGATTGGGGAAAGGTGGGAATAAGTGATCTCAAGTCCCCATCTGACTCTGGGATACTCACCATGCCTGTGGCTGTGACTCACCACAGCTTCGTATGGATAAAGTAACAATTTTCTGCACTCAGCTTCTTGTTATTCCACAAACGAGAATGTTTTGTTTCAGAAGAATGAGAGCTTATTCTGGGCTTGAGCTATAAGATGCCGAATATGTATTAATGCTCTTTCAGAGATCCTATTTGAGAAAAATAAGCTTTTATTCTCCAAATGTTTATTGGTCTCTTTGTCTGCATAGCTCTTCAGGCTAAAATGAATATAATCCATATGTAGCATTAGACATTTTACCTTACCTTAATACAGCAATCATGAATACATATTAGCTGTACAGAAGGAAGCCTACATGTATTACAGTTGATGGAATGTACTATAAATTGGCTTTTGTTTTACTTATAAATTTGTTATAGAGATATTTATTGGGCACACATATATAACTGGTACTGGCACCATTGCTATGCCAAAGTGTTTTGTTTATTTTTAGTGAAATAATGGATATATTAGAATTAATTCTATTGTAGTTAATTAAATGTCCAAAATAATCTTTCTACTCTGGTGTACTGATTAATTTTTAACAGTAGGGTCTCTGAAGATTATTATTAGTTATACTGATATAAAGGCCATATAGCACCTAATTTACAAATCATAATATACAATATCCATTATTTTAAATTTTATATAGCCAATTTATTTTGTTTACACCTTTAATTTCAGTGTGACTTGCTATGCCTTGCCAATTCCACTATCAGTTTTTATAATTTTTATCAACAACAATTGTGTCACAAAATCAGACAATGATAAATGCTTGACACTTATTGGATTCAGCAAAGAAGCTACTACGTCACTCAAGAAGACTTATGGTTCTGACACAAATAATTGTTGATACTGTCACTTATGTTAACAAGAAAAATGAAAATGAAACAACTAACATGTATCTTGGAATTGTATCGCATTCTTCAGTGCTATCAGGGACTTCTTTCCTGAATTAGATAATAGTTTTTGAACAATGGAAAGTTATTTATTCTCTCAACACTTCGTGCTATTCACAATGAAATGGCTATAAACCCAATATACTTTTAAGTTTAATTTACATTTTAAACTTTTTCTCCATTACTTTCTTAAGTCTAACCAATCAACAAAATAATCAAGTCCCAATCTGTAGTGTTTGCCTATTTCTCTGGTGTAGACACCTCCACTATAGATGGTTTCAAGCTTCCGATGTCATATCACCAAACGTGGAGTCGCCCACAATGGTAACTTATGTTCCCTCTTCTTCATTATTATTCTTCTATTATTTCCCTTAAAAACAAACATAATAGTAAAATGTAGTGACATAACTTGGAAGTGATGAGTTTTGATTATTGATTACATTTGCTTTTATTGTCATTTATTTAATTGTATGCTTTCACAATTTAATTTTTAATAATGGCTGTGTTTGACCATCAGTGAACAGAATTCCTGGAAATTTAACAATTGCCTCTTTTGAACCTAGAAAAGGCAGCTTCAGCATGCACTTTATCTTCATGCTAACCCTTCAGTGCTAGATCCAAGGGGCAGGGAGGCAAAATATTATCGGTACCATATCCTTTCCCCCTGCGCCTCACTTTATTAACTTTATTGCTGCCACCCTGGTCACCTTTTGGCTGCACAAACACCCTAAATTCATTCCCACCGCAGAGCTTCTGAATTTACTATTTCCTGGCCCAGAACATCCCTATTTTCAAATAAATGACTATACTTTATCAAGTAGAGCTTTGCTAAAATTAATTTTTTATGAATACATAATAGATGTATATA
The DNA here is from genome assembly GCF_000001405.40 of Homo sapiens. Classification (NCBI taxonomy): domain Eukaryota; kingdom Metazoa; phylum Chordata; class Mammalia; order Primates; family Hominidae; genus Homo; species Homo sapiens. The sequence goes on along the minus strand of NC_000012.12, from coordinate 128,050,752 downwards.
TTTTGGGGGTACCTGTGATAACTTGGTACAATCATATGACGTGCTGAGATCAAATCAAGGTAATTGGGATTTTCATCACCTTAAATATTTATCTTTTCTTTATGCCAGGAACACTCAAATGATGCTCTTATAGCTAGTTTGAAATGTACAATAGATTAGCGTTAACCATAGGCATTCTCCTGCCCTGTGGAACGTTAGGTCTTCTTTCTGCTAATGGTATTTTTGTACCCATGAATCAACCTCTCTTCTTCCTCCTTTCCCTTATCCTTCCTGGCCTCTGGTTACCACCAATCTAGCTCTCTCTTATACACCTACCCTACACAATCACACTATTTATGGTCAATTGTTCCCATTTGAAAATGTAAGTTCAATGTTGTCATATTTTCTGTCTCTTCAAGAAAATCCAGAAACCTGGATTTGTACATGAAATCTCACAATTAAGGAAGACAATGCTGCCCAAATCCATTATTTCCTTGGGCCATATTTAGCCTGTGAGATTACAGTGTTCAGCCCCTATTGATAGTATCTGCAACTGACCCCACTGGCCTGAAAAGCGTTGTGATATTCGGGGCCATATCACTGGAGGGAGGCTGCAGGAGAAAGGACATTGTTGAGAAGAGCCACAATGAGTGTGCTGAGTCAGTGTTGAAGAAGAGGAAACATGGTCAGTGTTGAAGAAGAGGGAACATAAGTTACTCATACACACGGGAACCAAAAGTAGGGTGCTGTGATGGTGTTGAACAATGATGCTAAGTATTGGGAATCATCATCACCTTGTCCTTCTGGATCCACAGCAGACATCACCAACTGATCGTGGCACAGTCTGTCCCAGAACACCGGCACAGCCTCATGATGCTTCTCACCATGGCATGCATGTGACCAGCCAGCACGATGGGGCTCACTTGTCAAGCCTGGTATAAGCTTAACTCACACATCACCTTGTCTATGAGGCTCTTCTTGCCTTTTTGGATGTAATCACTTATCCATGTTGGATCCTGTGCAGAAAGGAGTTAACAAAACCGGCCTGTGGCTGTATTTGCAAGGTTGGCCCTTGCCTGGCATAGGGTAACAAATTTTGGGAGGGTTCCCATCATTTCCTGATATGAATGGCTCACTGTGCCTGCCAAACAACATGGCTTTTGCTGGACGTCTGCTTTCCTTCTGGGATCTGGAATTTTGGCACATGCTAGGCAGTGGGTACCCAGGCGAGCAGCTCCCATGATACATCTGAGTCCTGGAGTCTGTAAGAGCATCCCCTGTACACGGCATTTCACATGGGTCCTCACAACTCATCTTGGGATGAATTACACACATCCTGTGTGACTCCATGGGAGAGGACTCTGGAAGGTTGCTACTAGTTTCCTCTGGACTCTGCCCCATGCACTCTTTCTCTTTACCAATTTTTCTTTGTGTCCTTTTGCTACGATAAATCATAGCTGTGGGGATGACTGCACGCTTAGCCTTGTGCATTGTCCTAGTGAATCTTTGAACCTGACCTGGTCTTGGGCACCCTGACACAGATCCCAGGGCACCATGTCCATCCCCCTGTGGAGATATAACTCTATCGCATTTCACTTCTGTCTTCGTGGTTCTCCTTATGGTGCATGGTGCATCCATAATAAATTTCTCCTGAAAAAAATGATGTGTATAGACGCCAATGGGTAGGGCATCCGAGAAAAAAATTCGTGCCTCATGAGAGCTCTGGAGGCTATATTTTAAGGACTCTTAGAGAAACAAAAGCTCACTAGTTCTTTTCTGCATATGTTATTTCTTAGGATGTGACCAGCCTTTCCACCCCAAGCTAAAAATGTCATTTTTATGGACACCACCTTTGTCAATGGAGCTGATGCATACTGCTTGCTGCGCAGAGCATCTGCAAATTTCTTCTACAAATGGAGCGTGTGTGCATGCAATCATGTGCCAAGCAAGGCAAACGGGGCCCACCCAGAGGCAACAATTCCTTCTAGAACTTAAATCATGCCTGGAGGAGTGAGCATCAACTCTGCAAGAGTGGCTGTGTGTTAATGCCTTTCACAATCGCAAGCATCCAACATAGCCAAGAAACAGAAAGGATGGTGCATAGTACATGATAAAGCACCTGAGCAGATGCACAGAATATGCTTATGGTTGTTTTCCCAGGAAGAGGGTCATTAGTGTCCACTAGAACCTTAGAGTGGTACTCCCTTTACCCTCCCCCAATTAGAAAGAATGATGGAAAAACACAAAGGTAGCTATGGAAGACGTAAGAATACCTAATCGCCTTTCAAACTTGCCTTCTAGGAGCTCAAAGTCTAACATTCTAACTTTACATACAGTGACTCCCATTGAAATGCCTGGTATTGCACGACAGAAAACAGAATAGCATATTTACGTAGCATGGGAATTGGGTATCTGCAGAGCTGGGCTCACAGTCCAAGATCCACCAGTTACAAGGTAGCCACTTACACACTCCGACCCTCAGTTTTCCCAACTGTAAAATCCACTGAAGAGCACACAGCACATGGATTTGTTGGGGAAATGTGATAATACAAGTCTTCATGTCATTTCTGACCCTAGTCAGAGCTTCATGCTTGAGAAAGGTTAGCCATGATAATTGTTGCAGGTTGGGCCTCCCTGGAAAATGTGTCTAAGATGGGGTTTCATATGGAGAATGTTTATTAAATAATGTCCTTAGGACTATCACAGTGGAAGGAAGGGAGGAGAATTGGGCAGGAGATGATGACACCCAGGCAGGTCCAAGAACAGCCTTGACAGATCCTACAGGCAGGCTCTGGAATGGAATAGCCCAGCAGAGTTGGGGGGAGGGTATTCCACTGGGGATTGAACAGTGAGGCTGAAGTGGCCATGCATTTAAGCACTTGTCTCAATCAGTCATTGGATGTGGGCTACCCAAGTGGGACATGGCCTTAGGAGAGGCAGCGTTCTGCAGGTGAGGCTGTCCTTGAAGGAGCTGGCAGCTGAAGATGCTCAGCTGGCGGCATTCCCAGAAGCTCAGGAAAAAGCTCTTCCTTGGAAGGAGATGGGGCTGGCATGGGGAAGTTCTAAGCACAGTGAGGATGGTGGTGATGAAGATAATGGTGATGAGATACATGATCCAAACAGAGTCAAAGGTGATGATTTACAGGCTAGGTTGATGGAGGCAGAAAGAAACCACTTTCCTCTGTACTTTAAGCTGCCTGTCACTGTCATGTTCTGTGCACTTTCTCATCACCTGCTGGCTGCAGGAGATTTGGCTTTGATCTATTTTGAGATGTGTTTTCAACTAAGCTCAGATTGGGGCTTTGTGGAGGGCTCTCAGAGACTGGTTTCAGCATCTGCACAATTTCTTTAAGTGCCACCTGCCTGTGGCCATGTAATGGGCTTGGGTAATTACAGCTGACATTGCAATCGGCTTTCAGTTCTAAACACATGGAAAAAATCCTCTGAAGGACCTAGTTGAAGTTTATCAACTAGTTTATCTTGTCAATGGATTTTATCCTCCACCACCATCACTTATAAGTGAGCTTGGCTTTAATTAAGAGAAAAGTTGTTCAGGCAATGATAGAAATGTTGCTTTCCTTACCCGGAGAGTGGTCTGATTAAAAGCTCAGGCCTGGATCCCAGCATTGCCAGATCAAGACCATCGGTGCCTAGGGAAGGTTGAATAGCATCCCCCGACAACTCATGCCTATGCAAAACCTCAGAATGTGACCTTATTTGGAAACAGGGGTCTTTGAAGCTGTATTAAGAGAAAGTCATACTGGATTAGGGTGAGCCCTAAATCCAGTGACAGTGTCCTTATCAAAGGACAAGATGACACCTGCAGAGACTTCACAGTAATTTAACAAGATTTCACAGCTAGTGAGAGTCAAGGGCTGGATTTGAACACAGAGATGCAACAGTACCACCCATACCACAACACACCAATTGTTGTACAATAAGACCTTCCCTGAGCTTTTGTAAATCCACACTGGCTTGTCTTTGATTGTCCTTGGAGAGCTGTCTTGTAGATGTCTTGTAGATTATGGGTGGGGCGACAGCAGGATGCTAGGACTTCCACCTGCCGGTGTATGTTGTAAAATGCAGACTAAGCTGCCCAAAGCTCAGTTAACTTTTTTTTTTTTTTTTTTGAGACAGAGTCTTGCTCTGTAGCCCAGGCTGGAGTCCAGTGGTGCCATCTCGGCTCACTGATACCTCCGCCTCCCAGGTTCAAGCGATTTTCCTGCCTCAGCCTCCTGAGTAGCTGAGATTACAGGCACCTGCCACCACGCCTGGCCAATTTTTGTATTTTTAGTAGAGACAGCGTTTCACTATGTTGGCCACGCTGGTCATGAACGTCTGCCCTCAGGTGATCTGCCCGCCTCAGCCTCCCAATGTGCTGGGATTATAGGCGTGAGCCACCGCACCTGGCCCAGTTAACTTCTAAAAATGATAATGATCATGGCTCAGTTTGGGGTGATACTTGTGTCGGGGCTCATTGACATTTCTAGGTAACGCAGGCTTTGCTGTGACAGCCTGGAAATGATACTGCAATTTGGCCACACACAGGAAAATATTTCTCTATTTTCCACAAATACTTTTGTTTGTTTGTTTTTTGAGACAGATACTTGCTCTATTGCTCTGACTGGAGTGCAGGGGCATGATCTCAGCTCACTGCAACCTCCACCTCCTGGGTTCAGGCAATTCTTGTGCCTCAGCCTCCCAAGTAGCTGGGATTACAGGCACCTGCCACCAGGCCCTGCTGATTTTTGTATTTTTGGTAGAGACAGGGTTTCATCATTTTGGTCAGGCTGGTCTGGAACTCCTGGCCTCAAAAGACCTCGGCCTCCCAAAGTGCTGGGATTACAGGTGTGAGCCACCATGCCTGCCCTATAAATACTTTTTAGAATTCAACATCAAAGTTGTTTAGCCCTTTGATGAAACAAACTCAACAATGTGCTGTACAAATGCATGATCACAATGTTCAGGATGAGATAGCAAGTAAAATGAGCGTTGGGAATTTATACAAGACTAAAACCACAAGTCCACCAGAAAGCGATGGGCTCTGGGTGGTGCCCAAGGTACTTTAGAAAAAGCATAATGTTCACTTAGCAGAAATCAAAGCTAAAATGTACTAACTGACTGTGTGCTGCGTGGTTTATACACTTGAGTTTCCCCTACCTCCAGGTACGCTGGGTTTTCTAGCTGCACTTGCAGTCATTTCTCTACATGATATAGGAGTTAAGAAGAAATTACTTAGGCAGATAGTAAGGGTATGGGAGTCCTCGGTAAGGCTTTTCTTTTTTAACGAAAAGCAGCCCCAAGTTATTTTCCTTTCTAACAAACAGCAGCCTGTAAAATCGAGCTGCAGACATAGATATTGGCATTTGTGCCAATCATGTTCAAGATGGCGGCTCCATTGTCCCTTCTCTTTGTCAGCCATGCGTACAGTAAGCAGACAAGATGGCACTGATCAACTAGAAAGTCCATTTGCATAATAAGATTAGGGTGGGGCAACCAGCCTTCCCCATGCACTATGTAAATGTCATACCTGATCGAAGCAATCCTTGAGTCCTGTGTAAATCAGACACCGACTTCTCCAGCCTTCCTAGAAAATCTGCTGCGGTGGGCTGCCTCCCCACTTCTCAGACATCTCTCTCTCTCTCAAGAAGATGCTCTCCTCTCTCCTTTCTTCTGTCTATTAAACTTTCCACTCCTTAACACATCCACACATGTCCTTGTCCTGAATTCTTTCTCGGTGCAGGACAATGAACCCCGGGGCATATACCCCAGACAACGTAGCCGTTTCATAAGCACTCCCAGGGAATCAAGATAAAATGGACTAAAACAGAATAATGAATCTTCTCAACCATGTTCTTGAAAGAAGCCCTCCCACAACAATACATGAGCATCCAGAAGGGCAAGAGATTTCTTATCCCAGACTGACTCCCACCTAAGGAGTTGCTCCAGGCGATGTGAGAGTGGGAAGTGGTTTGACATGAAACTGACCTAAACAATTGCACACACACACGACATGGTGACCGTGGCAAGGAGGGAAGAGGACATGGTTGGAGGTCCGGGGACCTGAATCCATACAAGGAGGCAGGAGGTGTCTCTGAGGAAGTGAAGCTTAAACTGGGGTCTGAGTGGTGAGAGGTAGGTAACAAGGCTAGGAGGAGAGGAGAAAACATGTAACAGAAGGGAATTGGTTTTATATTGCTGCATAACAACACACACACACACACACTTAGCAGCTTAAAACAATACCCAGTTATCATGTCCCAGTTGTATAGGCTCATGTTCCACTGGGTTCTCTGCTGAGGTCTCACAAGGCCCAAATCAAGGCACCTGCCAGAGTGGTGTCTTACCTGGAGGCTCTGGTAGGAGGAGCTGCTTCCAGGCTCGTTTAGGTGATTGGAAGAATTGTTTCTTGCAACTGTATAATTGAGATCTTCCTTGTTTCTCTGATGGCTGTTAGCCGGGGGCCTTTCTCCTCCTCTAAAGGTCACCCACACTCCTTACCAGGAGGTCTCCTGCATTGTCAAAGCTGGAACAACGTGTTCAAGCTTTCTTCTGCTTTGATTCTGACTTCCCCTTTCTCCAGCTGGAGAAAACTCTTGGATTTTAAAGAGCTCCTGTGATTTGCTTAGACCCACCTGGATAATCTCCCTATGTAAGGTCACTGATTAGCATCCTCAATTGCATCATCAATTTTTTTTTTTTTTTTGAGATGGAGTCTTGCTCTGTTGCCCAGGCTGGAGTGCAATGAGTGGAGTGCAACAGAGTCTCGCTCTGTCACCCAGGCTGGAGTGCAATGACACAATCTCGGCTTACTACCACCTCTGCCTCCCAGGTTCCAGTGATTCTCCTGCCTCAGCCTCCCACGTAGCTGGGATTACAAGTGCAAGCCACCATGCCCAACTAATTTTTGTGTTTTTAGTAGAGATGGGATTTCACCATGTTGGCCAGGCTGATCTCCAACTCCTGACCTCAGGTGATCCACTCGCCTCAGCCACCCAAAGTGCTGGGAAGCAAAATTCTTTTTGCCACATAATATAGCATGATCATGGGAGTGGAATCCAGGGGTGGAGGTCACAGGGCCACTTTAGAGTTCCACCTGCCACAGTAGATATGACATGAAGGTTCAGGACTCCGCGGTGCCCTGTAGGATGTTGTAGAAGATTGGGCTTCATTTAGGCACAAAATTTAAGGTTCTGAGGCTGCTCGGTGTTTCTGAGAACAAGGCGAGGCCATCAAAGGGGTTCAGGCAGGGGATGAGGTGGCTGAATTTGCATTTCGGAAAGCTCACTGTGGTTGCTGTATGAGTATGACGGGAGGAAGACGAGAGCAGATAGAGAAATTGCTATACTGTTGTTTTAGGCAATCAAAGATCCCTGTAGTCAGTCTAAATAGATTAAGTTTTTATTTTTTCCTCAATCAGTTTTGTAAGATATGGGGAAACACTGGAAACTTTATAAAATGTAGCAATGTAATTTGTAAGTAACACACGACAACACAGAATATGAATTCGCTTCTATTAGAAAATGAAAAAAAGAGTGGATGCAGGGAGCAGTCAGCATCTGTTATGTGGTCCAAGGGTGAGATGAGTGAGACTGGTACAAAGATGCTTCAGACCAGGAGGACAACTCTGTTCTTTTTTTGAACCAGGCTCACTCCCTTTGCTCTTGTGACCCAGCTCAAGACACTGAGCCCACAGGAGCCCCGATTCGACCCACTCAGTAAGAATTTATCGAGACCTACTTTGTGTTAGACACTGTCCTAGGTCCTGAGGCTGCAGTGGTGAACACAGCAGAGAGAAGTTCCTCCTCTTGAGGAGCTAGGATTCTCCCAAGGAATGCAGACAAAGAATGAGTGAAGAAACAAATAAAGAGTTTGGCAAGTGGTGATGAGTATTAAGAAGAATAAAGCTGGGTAAGGAGACAGCAAGGAATGAGGGTGGCCTTGGGAGTGGAAGGGCGGGGAGTTCTGTGTGACCAGGTGGCCTGTGAGCAGAGAGGATGTGAGGAAGTGCCTGCAAGCGGAACAGTGTTGCAAGCAGAGGGGATTGCACGCAGAACAGCAAGGGTGTGTGTGTCAGGTTCAAAGGCTGCCAGTAGGGTCTGCAGAAGAAGGTGAGTACAGAGCAACCAACAGGGGCAGGATGCAGGGGGGGCTCGTGGTCACATTAAGGGAATCGCTTTATATTCTGAGTGTCAGCACTGATGAGTTTTGAGCCAACCAGAATAGGGTCACATGGGAGGCTGTCTAGGGTCACGTGGGAGGCTGTCTAGGGTCAGATGGGAGGCTGTCTAGGGTCACGTGGGAGGCTGTCTAGGGTCATGTGGGAGGCTGTCTAGGGTCACGTGGGAGGCTGTCTAGGGTCACGTGGGAGACTGTCTAGGGTCACGTGGGAGGCTGTCTAGGGTCACGTGGGAGGCTGTCTAGGGTCACGTGGGAGGCTGTCTAGGGACAGATGGGAGACTGTCTAGGGTCACGTGGGAGGCTGTCTAGGGTCACGTGGGAGGCTGTCTAGGGTCACGTGGGAGGCTGTCTAGGGTCACACGGGAGGCTGTCTAGGGTCACACGGGAGGCTGTCTAGGGTCACGTGGGAGGCTGTCTAGGGTCACGTGGGAGGCTGTCTAGGGTCACGTGGGAGGCTGTCTAGGGACAGATGGGAGACTGTCTAGGGTCACGTGGGAGGCTGTCTAGGGTCACGTGGGAGGCTGTCTAGGGTCACGTGGGAGGCTGTCTAGGGTCAGATGGGAGGCTGTCTAGGGTCACGTGGGAGGCTGTCTAGGGTCAGATGGGAGGCTGTCTAGGGTCACGTGGGAGGCTGTCTAGGGTCACGTGGGAGGCTGTCTAGGGTCAGATGGGAGGCTGTCTAGGGTCACGTGGGAGGCTGTCTAGGGTCAGATGGGAGGCTGTCTAGGGTCACGTGGGAGGCTGTCTAGGGTCAGATGGGAGGCTGTCTAGGGTCAGATGGGAGGCTGTCTAGGGTCATGTGGGAGGCTGTCCAGGGCCAGATGGGAGGCTGTCTAGGGTCACGTGGGAGGCTGTCTAGGGTCAGATGGGAGGCTGTCTAGGGTCAGATGGGAGGCTGTCTAGGGTCATGTGGGAGGCTGTCCAGGGCCAGATGGGAGGCTGTCTAGGGTCACGTGGGAGGCTGTCTAGGGTCAAGTGGGAGGCTGTCTAGGGTCACGTGGGAGGCTGTCTAGGGTCAGATGGGAGGCTGTCTAGGGTCACGTGGGAGGCTGTCTAGGGTCAGATGGGAGGCTGTCTAGGGTCAGATGGGAGGCTGTCTAGGGTCACGTGGGAGGCTGTCCAGGGCCAGATGGGAGGCTGTCTAGGGTCACGTGGGAGGCTGTCTAGGGTCAAGTGGGAGGCTGTCTAGGGTCAAGTGGGAGGCTGTCTAGGGACAGATGGGAGGCTGTCTAGGGTCACATGGGAGGCTGTCTAGGGTCAGATGGGAGGCTAAGGTCATGTGGGAGGCTGTCTAGGGTCAGATGGGAGGCTGTCTAGGGTCAGGTGGGAGGCTGTCTAAGGTCATGTGGGAGGCTGTCTAGGGTCAGATGGGAGGCTGTCTAGGGTCACACGGGAGGCTGTCTAGGGTCACGTGGGAGGCTGTCTAGGGTCACGTGGGAGCCTGTCTAGGGTCACATGAGCTCTAACATGCATTTGAGAAGGTATGTTGTCCCCTGGCCACTGTGTGGAGAACAGAGGAAGGAGTGGACGGGAGCAGTTAGGTAAACTGGAGCACTGAGGTAAGCAGATCACTGCAAGTGTAATAATCCAGGTGAGCCATGCTGGGGGACTGAAATGGGATCGTGGTGTTGATAAAAAGAGTCAAACTCTGTAAAATATTTTAAGACATTTATTCTGAGCCAAATATGAGTGACCATGCCCCTCACACAACTCTCAGGAGGTCCTGAGAACATGTACCCAAGGTGGTCGGGGCACAGCTTGGCTTTATATATTTAAGGTGGCATGAGACATCAATCAAATACATTTAAGAAATACATTGGTTTCATTCAGAAAGTGGGGCGGGGGGTGCAACTCAAAGCGGGGGCTTCCAGGCCACAGGTAAATTTAAACTTTTTCTGATTGATAATTGGCTGAGTATGTCTAAAGACCTGGGATTGATAGAAAGGAATGTTCAGGTTAAGATAAAAGATTGGGGAGGCCCAGTTTTATTGTGCAGAGGAAGCTCTCAGATAGGTGACTTCAGAGAGAGAGCAGGTTGTAAAATGTTTCTTATCTTAAAAGGGTGCCTGGCTCTTACTTGATTATCTCCTGGATCTGCAAAGGAAGGAAGGAAAACAAAAGGGAAAGGGAATTCTCTATAGAATGTGGATTTTTCCCAAGAGACTTTGCAGGGCAATTTCAAGGTATGGCAAGGAAATATATTTTGGGGTTAAATATTTTGATTTTCTTCCTAGTCTCGTAGGTTATGCCAGAGTTGGGTTGGAAAGTAAGTCATGATATTTAGTGTTAAATAAAAACCATCTGATGAGAATTTATGGTTTGTAGGGCATGACTCTCAAGATGCCTTAGATAGGAACTTGGGCAAAATAAAAAAATCAGAGCTTAGTCCTCAATGGAGATGATGAGAAGTGGCCGTGTCCGGGTTCTGGTTGGCATTGGAGGTGGACACCAGAGGATACGCTGATAGATCAGTGTGAGGGATATAAGAAGAAGGGAATAGAGGAGAGGTCCATGGTTTTTTACCTAAACAATGGACAGAGTGCAGATGCATTTGCTGGGATGGAGGGCAAAGGCTTCAGCTCAGGACAAGTTGTATTTGAGATGTTTCTTAGACAGCTCCGTATAGAAGATCAGTAAGTGGTTAGAAAGATAAGTTTGGAACTCAAGGAAGATGTCTGGGCTGGAGCGTTCAGATGTGTTTTCAGTTCCTGATCATTACGTATCCACAGCCAACTCTTTCTGCAAGGCTCAGTCCGATCCTCCCTCCAGTCCTCCGTGCTGGAAGCTTGGAAGGTGGTTTAGTGGAGTGGGGGCATCATGACAATTGCAGCTCTCAGAGTGCTGATTCTGGGTTGGGGCTGAGTCTGGTAACTTCCATTCACTCCATCCTATAAGTCATTACAGACTCTGTTTTATACATACTCACAGGGCTTATAATTCCTCTTTATGGCCAAGCACAACTTCAATTCAATGAAAAATAATATATTTAATTATTTACTTCCCATCTTCTCTGAGAAACTGTAATGTCCTTGAAGATGGGGACTGTGCCCGTGACAGTAGCCCCAGCACCTGGCATATTGCTTTGCGTAGAACAATTTAGCAATGTTTGGGTTGCAAGTGACAGAAATCCAACTCAAACTTAACAATAACTCACATGTGAGCTGATAAATCAGGGGTAGGGTGAGTTTTAGGTAGGACCAGATTCAGGCTGAAACCCTAGTATTGGGCCTTCGTTTGCTTCCAGCTTTTCCTTCCTCCTTTTCTCTGCTGGCTTCAGTCTCAGTATTCATGTGGCTACAGGCAGGCAGAACAAACTCCAGCCCTTATTCATAATCCCAGCAGTTCAAGAAAAGGTCTCACTGGGTCTCAGTGGCCTAATTAGGTCATGTTCCTCTCCCTGAATGGTTCATCATGGAAGGTAATAGCCATGCCCTTGCTGAGTTAGGGCTGGGTCACATGGCTCTTTCCCAGGATCAGGAGGAGGTAGGGATTCCCCAGTGGAAACTGAGGTGTTTTTCTGAAAGTAAGGTAAAGGATACCAGGCAGTGAAAACAATGATTGCATAGAGGTTAAATGAGAAATATTGGTTACCCAGATGAGTCATCTCAAAGGATAATCTGTTACGATTCCTATGTCCCCTGGAGCTTAGAAAGTCTAAATAACTGAACGGGCACGGTGGCTCACGCCTGTAATCCCAGCACTTTGGGAGGCTGAGGCAGGCGGATCACAAGGTCAGGAGATCGAGACCATCCTGGCCAACATGGTGAAACCCCATCTCTACTAAAATACAAATAATTAGCTGGGCGTGGTGGCACGTGCCTGTAGTCCCAGCTACTTGGGAGGCTGAGGCAGGGGAATCACTTGAACCTGGGAGGCAGAAATTGCAGTGAGCTGAGATGCACTCCAGCCTGGAGACAGAGTGAGACTCCATCCCAAAAAAAAGAAAAAGTCTAAATAACCTGTCTAGGGTCACATGGGAAATGGGTGGTAGATGTGGGTTTAAATCAAATTCCTCCAATCCACCAGCAATACAGTGCTCCCACCCCCCATCCTCTGAGGCCCTTCCTTTGACCTTCACACCACACGGAGGGTCTCCGGCCCTGACTTCTCTAGCATGAAGGGGTGACAGTGCCTAAGGTACCATTGGTGAAGCGAATTAAAGCAAAGACCGGGCCTGACAAGCCAGTCAGGGCTCAGAAGACTCCTTAGCTTTGCTTTGGAGTTTGATTTGCAAACATAAGTAGAACTTAACTTGAGCTATTTCTCAAGTTAAACCCCTATACCAAAGAAAAACAGAATTAAGCTCAATCAGAAGCAGCCAATAAGCTTAGATAACTAGGAACTGTCCAATGGGATAAAGCAACTAAAGGCAACTGGATAGCTATAACCAACCCAATATTGTCTTTGCTTTACCTCTGTGTTGTTCTGTAAAAGCCTAACCTTTGTGTTTCCTCGTGGAGCTTCCAGACCACTTGTGAAACACTGTTTCCTCAAATACAGTCATTACATTTGTATTGTGTCTCGGTTCATTTTTAAACATCATCCAGCAATCATTTTAATGGTTTCTGTCTTTTTCTGTCTTGACTCTCTAGCTGAATAGTAAGATCAAGAGAAACATAAAGAGAGAAAAGAGAGAGAAAGACATACACACACACACACACACACGCACGCACATGCAACAGAAAAACTTTGTTACCCATTTGCTGCAGCAGGAGATTCTTATGACCGGATTTGCAGAATTCATCAAGTGCCAAATTTAAACCTCATCCAGCCACCCACCCGAGTTTGGTTGCTTAAGTGTTGCTAATTGAATATGTAATGGCATTTTATATAGTTGTTTACTTTTTTCTCATCTTTTTCCTGTCTTTTTTTCCCTATTTTAGGTTTATGTATATTTGTACTTATCTTACTATGCAGCTTAAGGAAAAACAAATGAGAACCCAATAGGTTCTAACAGGACAGTCAATAAACAAATGAATTTAATGAGCGGCTGTTGGATAGTGACCTCATGATCACGGGCAATCTATCTTGACAAGAGAAAATTCGTGGTGCATTTGGATGTCCTCTGTTAATATATAATTGGTCACTTACTGGTTTCCTTCAGTTATGAAGATATCATGCTGTAATATGCTCTTCGCTCCACAGATCCTTTTGCTGACTGCTACGCTATCGATTTGTGTGTTTCCATGAGATGATACAGAGTAGGAAAAATGGTCAGCACCATTCCCCTTGATGGGATGAGGGGCAGCCGGGGAGGAAAGCACTTTGCAGCTGCCCTGTAAAGAGGCTGATCTGAGAAGCCCCTTCCCAGCCTCATGAACAAGGCACAGCCCCTGCCCCTGAGCTGAAGCCCTGTCCAGCTGCCTCTGCAGAGTCACTGGACTCAATTCCACCCAAGCTCTTGGATTCCCTGTTTACATTAGAACAGATGGCTAAATTCCTGCCCTTCAGAAGACAGACCTGGACCTCCCAAGGGCATGAGTAGGACAGGCAGGCTCCTGGGTGCTCTGCTTCCAAATGAGCACTTCTTTGTGTCCGCAGGTGCCACGTCCTGCAGTTCACCTGCTCAGGTAAAGAAAGACGCTACTGAGAAAAGCCTCCTGTACTTGTAAGTAAACTAGTTTATGTTTTCTGAAATCTACCATACTCATCATCAGCCTTAGCTTTGCATAGACTGTAGGCACAAAACAACAACAAGAGCTACAGCCATTGGCAAAATGGTTCTTATTTAAGGGGTTTCATTGGCTGAGATTCTATTCCTCTAATTATAGTCATTCAGGGGCCGCCCTCACATCTTTCCCTCTGTGGGTTCTAGCCGCCCTATCATTTAGTAGATTTTATTTAATTGACTTGTCTTCTTTACTTAAACATTTACTCTTGGTTTGTCCTAAGCCAAAACATCCATGAAATGATGCATTTGATGTGCTAATTCAGCTTGCCCCTAGCATGCAATTAGAATACAGCTAACTATTAAAATAAAAACAAAACTTAAAAGCAAATACAACAAGCTATAAGCAGTCATAGAAACTTGGTGGTAGATACATGGATGTAGAGCCTCGGTGGTAGATGTATGGATGTTCACCTGGTGATAGATAAATGGATGTTCACTCTACAATTATTTCAACTCTTCTTTTTTTAATATTCACAATCAAATGATGGAAAAATAAAAAGCAAATGCTTATTCATGCTCCCTAAACTCATCTCTCCTCTCCCAGTGGTATGCACACCAGACTTTGACAATCTGATAACTCTTTGACCTTCATACTTTTTTCCATATCCAGGTAGAATTTGTGCTATTAACTGGCTTTACATGGTCCTTAAATTACTGCATGATCTAAACTTGACTGAATATGCAGGGTTCGTGTTTTCAAGCACGTTTCTGGTCCTTCTGGGCCTTAAGGTTTCCACCTGCCTGGAGAGAACAAGAAGATGACCTGGCCTCCCTGCCTCCCTGCCTCCCTGCCCTGCAAAGAGGCTGATCTGAGAAGCTGATCGGATCAGGTATGGTGCAGACGTCCTGCATGCATCGGGCAGAGAAGGAAGGTGCGGTCTTTTCCAGCGCAGGTGCTGAGAGTGGACAGGCCCCAGGGCCTGGCTGTGGAGGGCACCAGGATTGTTCACTCTCCTGTCTGAGTTCCCTTCTGGCCATTTCCAGGGGAGCTGGGACCCCTCACACAGTAACTGCTGACATAACCAATTTAAAGCAGGTTCTCTCACACATGCCTCAGCGGCACAGGCCCTTTGGGAGCTGGGACAGGTTGTTCTGGGCATTGGCCCAGAAGCGCCTAATCTATGGAGGCAGGGGAGGACTTACTCATAGAGAAATCGGACAAGGAGGACTCTTGGCCGGCCCTCCTGGGTCTCATCCTATACCCATCTCCTTTCTGCATTTTCTTGATCCTTTCACTCCATGCAGCTTTCTTTTGGGACCCACTGAGGGTTCCCCCTGGAGCCTGGTTGAGCTGAGCTGAACTGTTCACAATCCCAGAAGTAACCCTATGCAGATTTGGGGGATAAGAGAGGCTCTGTTTCTCTGGAACATCCTGACTAACCTGAAACTCATTACAGCATCTGCCTCAATCCCTCCTTCGTGCATTCTATATTTTTTGTGTCACACTCACCATAGCATTGCCATCCCCATTTTCACATTATAAAAATCGAGGCTTGGTATATAAGTTGTTTCTCAAGAAAAAAATTCAGGTGAAAGGCAGAGCCAGATGTGAGTACAGGAATTTCTCATTCTGAAGCCTACCCTCTTCTTTTATTTTATTTATTTATTTATTTATTCATTTATTTATTTTTTAATTTTGAGACAGAGTCTCACTGTCGCCCAGGCTGGAGTGCAGTGATGCAGTCTCGGCTCACTGCAACCTCCGCCTCCCGTGTTCAAACGATTCTCCTGTCTCAGCCTCCCGGGTAGCTGGGATTATAGGCATCTGCCGCTACGCCCAGCTGATTTTTTTTTTTTTTTGTATTTTTAGTAGAGACGGGATTTCACCATGTTGGCCAGGCTGATCTCGAACTCCTGACCTCATGATTTGCCTGCCTTGGCCTCCCAGAGTGCTGGGATTACAGGTGTGAGCCACAGTGCCCGGCTGCCTACCCTCTTCTTGTTGTTGCTTTTTGTTTCGTTTCACATTTATGAAAATGCATCTCATCTTTTTAATAAACTGAATTGTCATAAATAGAATACTGCCTCAAGAACTGCAAAAATTGCTTTTCAATATTAGCTTCCGAGATTTCTTTTTATTTTGCAAAATAAATATTAATTTATGTGTAAACCTGATATGATTTACAAAGAAGCGCCTCTCGGCTTTTAAAACTTTGCTGGCTTTGAATTGTTTTATTGGAGGTTGAAAACTTTAATTTAGAAAAACACACATACACTGCGTTCCTGCCTCTCTTTTTTTTTTTTTTTTTTAACAGAGTCTCACTCTGTCGCCCAGGCTGGAGTGCAATGGCGAGATCTCAGCTCACTGCAACCTCCGCCTCCTAGGTTCAAGCGATTCTCCTGCCTCAGTCTCCTGAGTAGCTGCCCAGGTAACTTTTGTATTTTTAGTAGAGACGGGGTTTCACCATGTTGGCCAGGATGGTCTTGAACTCCTGTCCCCAAGTGATCCACCCACCTCGGCCTCTCAAAGTGCTAGGATTACAGACGTGAACCACCATGTCCGGCTGCTGCCTCTCAAATCTTGATGAAAAATATCCACCAAAGAAGACTGTAAAAATTTCCCTTTATGTTACTTAGACCAAGATGCACTTCCATTACTCCGTAGAGCTCATTTCAGAATCTGCACAACGGAGCCCCTGACAACAGTCGGCCTCTGCAGACCATGCTTCTCTTCAACATCAGGGCAAAAACCTTAAAACAACTTTCCGAAAGAACTCTGTGAGATTTAGTTCATCAGGGAAACAGAAGATTCTCTGGTAAAGCACTGAGATGTGATTCAGCCCCATATTGTTTAAGGCCTATGTGCCTGTTGGGTTTGTTACCCATCAATGATTTTTGTAAGAAAAATAATGCAACTAGGAGGAAAATGTTGCACACCTTTCTTCCAACATGAAGATTCCTTGATCAACCAGTGGCAACTCCATGGTAGATTAAGAAAGGAGGGAGTTAACTGAGGGGTGGGCTGGTAACAAGAAGAAAGGAAGAAATGTATGGTGAGAAGATCCAGTGACATCCTTGCCATCTTCTGTTCCCAGCTCTGTGACCATGTGCCTGTGCTATACTCCTCAAAGCCTCAGTTTCCCCATTTGCCAATGGATGGCCACACCACACAGGTCCATAGGCTCCTTTTGGAAGACAGCAACATAAGGGAATGGAGCCGACTTGTCAAACCCTATAGCATGATGAAAGTGAGGGCCTGGTGCTGGTGTGATTCTTCCTCCTCTAAGCCCAGGAGGGTGAGCAGGGGTCAGTTGCCATGGCAGCCAATGCTGTGGAGCAGAAGGACTGCCTGTCTCATCCGAATGGCTGCCCTGAAGTCAACAGACTTCATGTTGCCTCTAGGAAGTTATAATTTCAGTATTAAGTCACTAGGTTATGCACTGTAGTGAAAAATAATCACATTTATGTACTGTAATTTCAACATCTAGAATATCCACAACATAATGAGTGATGTATGTTGTTTAGAAATTACAAATTATTCTCTCGGTACCACACAAGTATGTTTTTCTTTTTAACAGGGTGAGCGATATGGTTTGACTGTGTCCCCATCCAAATCTCATCTTCAGTTGTAGCTCCCATAAATCCCATGTGTTATGGGAGGGACCCAGTGGGAGATAATTGAGTCATGGAGGCAGTTTTCCCCGTACTGTTCTCATGGTAGCGAATAAGTCTCAGGAGATCTGATGGTTTGATAAGGGAAAACCCCTTTCACTGGGATCTCATTCTCTCGCTCCCACCATGTAAGAAGTGCTTTTTGCTTTTGGCCATGATTGTGAGGCCTCCCCAGCCACATGGAACTGTGAGTTCATTAAACCTCTTTTTCCTTATAAATTACCCAGTCTCAGGTATGTCTTTATCAGCAGTGTGAAAATGGACTAATACAGTGACTTAGGTCTGTTTTCCCAAATTGCTTCTTCAGTGGGCACAGCTGCATCATCCTGCTGATATATGAGGCCTTGGAAAAGAACAGTTAACCAGCTGACACCAATATCCAAGATTCAGTCCCAAGTATGTACCCAGTTGTTTCAAAAACTCTACGTTGCTCACGACAGTGGATATTGATCATTGATCAAGGGACATCTTATAAAGACAAATGCACAGAATCAAGCTACTTGCCATTTATATGTAAGATAAATTTTTGGGGCAAAATTGCCCTATGTATTTCTTCATTGCCTAGGGAGCACTTCCCAGGTGGAGAATCCCAAGTCTTCTCCTGCGACTGAAGCTTTCCTCCATGTGACTCATGAAATCTAGGTCAGAAGGGAGTGAGATGTCACTCCTGCTTTCCAGGAGGGTTATTCCAAAAACAAAAAAAAAAGGCTAGATCTGACTTAGAGATCCATTCACTTACATTCACAGGACCCTAATTATCCAAAAAGAGCAAGGCTGATTTCATGAAAAACAAAGAGTGCATCACAAATGTATGATTTGTTCATTCAGCAAGTTTAGCCAAGCTTATATTGCCTAGTGTTTCCATGCTAAATGTTGCGTTCAGAAGAAACTCTCAGTTTAAAAGGACACAGATCCAAAAACCAACAATACAAATACAAAATTTGTCAGGATTTTTTTTTATTGCAAGTAACGGTCATTGAGATGGGCTGATTCATGCTACTGAGAATCCCCGTGTGTTCCAAGGTTGGCTCAAATAATGCTATCAGGCTGTGACATCTTTGTCTCTGCCTTTTATCTCTGCTTTAATCTGTGTTGGTCTCACCTTTAGGCAAATCTTCTCCAAAAAGGGGCCCATAGACCCCGGACTGCCAATGTCTTAGCAATACCAGGATAAAGAGAGCAACTGAAGATAAAGAGAGCTGCTCGTGTGACCTCCCAATGGGTTCACCTTGCTCTCTGCCTAGACAGAGCCTATTTATCAAGGCGAGGGGATTGCAATGGAGAAAGAGTAATTCATGCAGAACCAGCTGTGTGGGAGCCTGGAGTTTTACTATTACTCAAATCAGTCTCCCCGAGCATTCGGGGATCAGAGTTTTTAAGAACAACTTGGTGGGTGGGGGGAAGCTAGTGAGCCAGGAGTGCTGATGGGTTATGTAGGAGATGAAATCATGGGAGATTGAAGTTATCCTCTTGCACTGAGTCAGTTTCTGGGTGGGGGCCGCAAGATCAGATGAGCCAGTTTATCGACCTGGGGGGGTGCCAGCTGGTCCATCAAGTGCGGGGTCTGCAAAACGTCTCAAGCCCTGATCTTAGGAGCAGTTTAGGGAGTCAGAATCTTGCAGTCTCCAGCTGCATAACTCCTATATTATAATTTCTAATCTTGTGGCTAATTTCTCAGTTCTACAAAGGCAGTCTAGTACCCAAGGAAGAAAGAGGTCTGTTTTGAGAAACAGCTGTTATCATCGTTGTTTTAAACTGTAAACTATAAACAATGTTCTTCCCAAAGTTAGTTCACCCTGTGCCCAGGAAGGAACGAGGACAGCTTGGAGGTTGGAACCAAGATGGAGTCAGCTAAGCTAGATCTCTTTCGCTGTCTCAGTCATAATTCTGCAAAGGCGGTTTCACTTATTCCAATGATATTAACAGCGATGATAATAAAACCCAGCTTGGCTTAGTCCATCCCTACACACTGAGTCAACAGTGATGGCAAGAAATATTGAATACTATTCAGTGGGGGCAGCTCTAGCCATACCTCCCAGAACAAGAGCTTGGGTGATGCGCTTTCTTCTCTTTTCTTTTCCTTTCTTTTCTTAACAAGAGCTTGGGTGGTGCTACCTTCCCTTTCTCCTTCCCCTCCCCTTCCCTTTCTTTGAAATGAAGTCTCTCGGTGTCGCTCAGGCTGGGAGTGCAGTGGTGGAGTATCAGCTCACTGCAACCTCCGCCTCCCAGGTTCAAGTTATTCTCCTGCCTCAGCCTCTGGAGTAGCTGGGATTACAGGCAGGTGCCACCATGCTTGGCTAATTTTTGTATTTTTAGTAGAGACAGGGTTTCACCATGTTGCCCAGGATGGTCTCATACTCCTGACCTCAGGTGATCCACCCATCTTGGCCTCCCAAAGTGCTGGGATTACAGGTGTGAGCCACCGTGCTGCACCGGCCTGTGCTTTCTTGAATGTGGATAAAGGTAGTGGTCCCAGAAAGGGCATGGAGGCAGTGGGGAGGCCATGACAGCTCCAGTTTGACCAGTGTTGTGATAAGATGAGAACACAAAGGCAGGAACTCAGCCCTGCTAGATCACAGGTCATTCCTGAGAGCCCACAGCTGCCCTAAGCATTGAGGAACGGGTAGAAGTGAGCCCAGCAAAGAGGAAGGAACAGGTGTACTGAATATGGAGTCAAAGGGAGAAGCAGAGGCAGAATTCAGAGAAACAAAGATGTAGAAAGAAAACTTGCAGCGATTTGGCTTGGCTGGAGCCCAGGAGCTAGCGTGGAAATCCAGACCTGCTGGCCTTGAGGAGCTGTGTGCAGAGTTGGAGCTTTATCCAAAGGCTGCTAAAAGGAAACAGGTGCATTTTTGTATTTGCATCCTGGGGAGAATATTTATATTTTAGAAATCTCCCTTTAGCAGTAATGAGGCGTTGAAATAATTAAGGTAAAAAGTGAGCAAAGATCAGCTAATAGTGCAGGAATGTCAGTAAAAAGGTGTGTGGTGGAGTTCTATCTACTAGCACAGTGGAACTGAAAAGAAAACAGTGACTGACAGGAAAGGAGGGAAGTTCAGGTGAAGTGCCTATGTCATCTGGGGTATATACCTTCCGGTTCCTTGTTGCATGCCAGGAAAATTTAGGACACGGACCCACATGAGGAGTTTAGAAGCGGAGATTTAATAGGCAGAAGAGAAGAGAAAGAGAAATAGCTCTGTCTATAGCAAGAGGGGTCTCTGAGTGGAAAGGACCATAGGCTGGTGGCAAATGTGCCGAATTTTATAGTCAGGTTTGAGGAGGCGGTGTCTGATTTACATAGGGCTTACAGATTGGTTCCATCAGGTATGATGTTTACATAGTGCTCGGGGAAGGCTGGTGGCCCCACCCCAATCTTCCATGGAAATGGGCTTTCCAGTTGATCAGGGCAATCTTGTCCCCTCCTTGCTGCACACGTGGCTGACAGAGAAGGGAAGATGGAGCTGCCATCTTGAACATGTCTAGTCCCCTAGCTCCTGCTGGCATTCACCCGTGCAAGCTCCCAGCTTGCTTGTCTATGTCTGCAGTTCGACTTTACAGGCTGCTGTTTGTTAGAAAATGATCTGGGGCTGCTTTTCATTAAAAAAAAAACAGGCTTACCGAGCACTCTCATACCCTTACTATCTGCCTGAGCGATTTCTTAACTCCTATATTACAGGGTTTGGGATGACTCCTGGGTTCTTGGTTTAGGAAGTTAGACAAAGGGGGGTATGTATGCTTGCGAAAGGGGGTTCTGGAAACAGGCATTTGGTGTTCAAAGCCCAACCCTGTCCTCATTAGCTGTGCAGCTAATAGCAAGTTCCTTACCCTCTCTGAGCCTTAGCCCCTCTATCTGTCAAATGAGGCACATGATGTTACCCATTTTGTAGGGTTCTCGTAAATATAAGTCACTTAGAACAGTCCTGACTATAGTGAGCTTTCAGGAAGTGTCAGATGCTGTGATTGTTACATTCATCTTCATTATCCTTTGCCTTGGAGAACGAATGAGGAGCAGCAGAATGGAGCAGGAAGAGGGTGAGGACGTGTCTGCTGCGGCCATGCTCAGTGTGACCCAGAGGCAGGCCCTGAGTCATGTGATTTGCAGGTGTGCAGCCACGCATCACTGGCCCAAATTCACCTTCTTTCCTCCTCCTTCCCGCTCCATCTCAGCTTGAAGCTCCTTCCCTGGAGCAGTCTTTCCATTCCGAAGGACCTGCCTCTTCAGAGGTCCGTTGTCCATAAGCAAGTGACTCTGGCTGGGACTGCACCACACCCTATTCCTGGCTATGGTCCTCCCAGTTGAGGCGCTGGCTGGAAGCTCCCTGGGATGAGGCTGGACCTGGAGCTCAGGGAATGGAGAGAAGTCCACGAGAGGGGACGATGGAGTGCACGCTGCATGGTGCAGCCAGCATAAGCCATGTTGGCGTCCCAGGCAGAAGAAAGAATATCCACCCCCAATACATAATTCAATCTCAATTGTTATTAAGGTCAAATGTTGTATCATAAAGTTACCCAATTTAAAGTGAACATCTGAGTGCATTCAGTATATTCTCCATGTTGTACAGCCCTATGTAGCTGCAAAGTATTTCATCATACTGAAAGGAAACCTGCAGCCGTCAAGCAGTTACTCCACATTCCCGCCCTGCCCACAGCCCCTGAGGACCACCAGCCTCCTTTCTTTCTCTGTGGATTTGCCTATTCTACATATCTGACGTAGATGGAATTAGACGTAGGTACCCAAATGAATACTCAAACTGTGCATGTTATAGTATCAACCAGTCACAATAGAGAAAAGGTGGAAACCACGCAAACGTCTGTCGGCAGATGAATGGGTGGGCACAATGTGGTCTATCCGCACAATGGAATATTATTTGACTATAAAAAGGAACAAAACACTGATGCATGCTACAAACATTCTGCTAAGTGAAAAATGCCAGACACAAAGCGTACCTATTTTAATGTATTTTTCATGATTATTTTTTTCTGGAACATTAAACTAAATGAAAAAAAAATTAAAAATTGAAAAGCAGTTGTATTAAAAGTTGCAGCATTATTTTTAATGTTAAATATTTTACTTATACCCCAAATGAAATTTACTATATTTTTATTTTCTTGGCTTTAAGGAAAGCAAACTCATCAATAGTATTTTCATAAAACCTTCATTAAATTATTAAAATTTCCATAAAGCCTATGTATAAGGGCACACAGTTTTCCTTTTGCCGTGGGCTCCAATATCTCAGCATGGCACTGGTGGACCCTGTCTTTATTTAAATTTTTGATATTTTGTCCGCCATGGATTTTTTGCATTCATTTTGATTTCTTAACATACTGCATTAAAATAGTATTTATCTGGATTGCTGCGATTTGTGGCACCCCCTTAACTTTTGTGTCCAAAGAGAGAGTCTAACTTATGTCCCCTGGCCCGGCTCTGGCACGGGGTCCTCAGTGCCTGTGTCTGGGCTGTTTCAGGGCTGGTGGCTGGTGACATACAGTGGTCACAAGCATTGCTGAGAAGGAACCTGCTCTGACACGGTTCCAGGCCCTTTCTCAGTGCTTTATCCATGTCAGCTCACTGAATCATCACAACTGTATGGAGTCTGAAGTAGACTGTCAGGCCCTTTTTGAGGATACAGAAATTTGTTCCCAGAGACACTAAGCAGCTTGTTGAGTCACCAGCCAATTGATGAGAGAATTGGGGTTGGAACCCAGGCAGTCGGGCTCCACAGTCCACCCTCTTGGCCACCCCATTGTCCTGTCCTGGATGCAACAACAAGCTTATCTCCAACGTTTGCACAGAACCAGGGTGGCCAAATCACTCCAGTTTGCCTGGAACTCTTCCTGGCTTTAGCAGTAAACTTCTGCATCCCAGGAAAGCTCTGAGTCATGGGCAAACTGAGATGGTTGGCTTCCCCATCCACAACAGAGCACATAGATTGGAGTTTGTGGAGCCAATTTGAGCTTTGGCTGTGTTGCTCTGTCACTGAATCACTGTGTGACTTTGGACCCATCACTGGACTCCCTGTGCCTCCATTTCCTCTTTCATAAAAAGGAGTTTATGAGATGATTCTCATTCAGGTTAATGATTTTTTAAATCCCTGTTTGGTCTTGGTGTAGATTCAAAAAGAGTGAACCAGGAAACATCATGTAATTGAAACACTTTTAGCTTAGAAAAGAGCAGAGCAGAGGGTAACTAGCTCAGAATTTTTAGTTGGTGGCATGTATTTATGAGATGGAAAAGTCTATGTCTGAGAGGGGACAGAGGCTTATCTTCTAGCGTGGAAAGGAGAAGGGGATGGAAGAATCACTGAAGAGGAGAATACAGGTGAGAAGTAGGGTGTGGACTGTTATTTCTCCTGTACAGAGAAGCAACTTGGAAAGGCACGTGTAACAGGTGGGACAGCGTGAGTAGGGCCAATTGGGAGGGAAACTGGTTTTTCTAGGGGATGAAAGCACATGAGGCAGTGCTGACAAAAACAGGATGTGTTAGATCGGGGATTTCATTTGAGCTGCTGGAAAAAGGGACGGATTATAGAGAAAAAGGCTGCAGAGTGCCTCTCCCAGTACTCACAAGGTGAGATGAGAAAACCAGGCAGGTGGGATCCTGCTAAAACCAGTCAAGGATCCCCATGAGAATGAGCTGCCCTAATAGCTTTTCTGGCTGCTCGGATTTGGAGGCCATCTCCTGGCAGTGATTTTATACCAAGAGAGGGAAAGTGCCTGCGCAAAAATTATAACAGTGAGAAAATTATGGCCATGAAAGAGATCTGTTCTAACCCACCCCCATTTTGCCTTTTTCTAATTTATTCCTGGGCTTTTGGGCTGAGCTGACTTTGGAAGATATTTAGCTGATATTAATCGTTTAAATGATAATAGCACTTCCCCAAAACTCAACCGCCTTTGTAAAGCTAATGAAAGGCCATCAGGCTGGGGGAGAAGGGGAATCTGAATTCTGCTAAAGTGTGGACATACATTGTCAGTCATTCCAGCAGATAACACCACTATTATAGATTGACCTTTTGAAATATAATACATTTTCAGGGTTTTTTGGTTTGTTTGTTTTTTTGTTTGTTTGTTTGTTTTTTTTTTGATATCTGACACCATGTCTCCATGTAGACCAATCTCACTCCCGTGACCCCACCCAGAAGTGATTCAATGCAAGAGGACAGCTTGGATCTCCTATGACTTCATCTCTGCCCCAACCCATCAGCAGCAAGCACTCATTGCCTAGCAACCACCGGCCCTTACCCCACACTGTCTTTGAAAAGCTCCTGCTTATGAGCCTTGGATGAGACTGATTTGAGTGTTAACTCCACCTCCCACGTGGCGTGGCTGGCCTCCTGTCTGTGAAACTCTTTCTTTATTGCAGTGTTGTGGTCTTTATTTGCGCAGTGGGCAGGAAGAACCCCTTGGGTAGTTACAAAAGGTCACCTGGAAATGAAGTGACAACTAATTAGGTATGAATCAACATGGTGAGCAAAGGTCAGGGGAGAGGTTCACACTGCGGTGATGGATGGTCTCAAGGGGTTGGGTCGGATTTGCAGTAAAAGAGATTTTCCTGGAATCTGAGTGATGAAGAATAACTTGCAAATGCAAACTTGTTTCTCCTGCTGATGCGTTCCTAGTCTATGTAAGTCACTGAAAAGTGTTCACCAATTGCTTCAACATTCAGGACTGGGATATAGCAATGTTTTCGACTGATTTTTTTTCTTTTAATAGACTGGTTCTTGTTACTTGAGTGGGTTAGTGACCTTGATTGCTTTTATACTCATATCCACCAAGGAAGGCTGAACCCACCCTAAACAGTTCAGCCCAGTGGAAGGGAAGCTACATATTAATCTGATTATACTTATTCCTGAGCATAGTAAGATACTAGTATACTTCTACATTTAAAAAATTGTTATGCTGTCCTGGAAGCTTAAATGAATGCAATGCAGTCCTTCTCAATGACATTCAAATGCACCCAATTCCTCTTTTCCATCACTCCTATCATTCTCTCTAGACCCTAGTCCTCACCTGGACACCTGCAGCAGGGCCTAACCGACCTTCCTCTAATTCATTCACCACACACTGCCCAGAGTGATGTTCTAAAGTACAGTGACCATGCCACTCCCATTAATAAAATCTTTCACCACTCCTCGTTGCTCCAAGAGAGAATGAAAATGTATTTCGGTAGCTAGCAAGCCCCTGGGGGACCTGGCGCCTTTTACTTATGGTGTTTCATAATTTGTGGCTTCCTCCACTTGATACCAGTCTCCAGCCAAGTGTGATTCTTCAATGGCCCTGAACTGACCTTCTTGGTCTTCAGAGATTTTATAGTTCCTGCTGCTTCTGCATGGATCACCTTCTATCACCCAGCTCCTCCATACTTTCACGTCTTCCACTCTCTGTCTCGGCTTTCAGAAGTCACCGCTGGGGTCTCCTCCTCTGGGAACATGAGACTTCCTAAGAGTGTCGGATGAGCTGCCAAAGTTAAGAAAGCCTCCTTGATCTGGGATGGATCATCTGATTATTTAAATGGGAAAGGGACAAAAATTTGGGCATCCTGAGACAGAATCTAGTCCAATGTTGACTTAGTCCAATGTTTAAATACTTAGTCTGTCCTCTCCCCGGAGATGGAAATGTCAGTTATCAGGGATGCTAAGGGCTGATGAGCGGGAGGAAGCCCTTGTCCTTTTATTTATTTTCCAGGGCAGAAGCTTTGGCCACTGTCATCTGCGAAATCCAGTTACAACTTTCTCTGTTTTATGAGGGCTTCATGAACCGTATTCCACCCTACTTTTTCAGGGTCACTTCTCCGTCCACAGAGCCTGTTTGAAGAGCCTTATGCAAGTCAATTGCACACTGTTTTTTTGTTGTTGTTGAGATGGAGTCTTGCACTGTCACTCAGGCGGGAGTGCAGTGGCACGATCTCGGCTCACTGTAGCCTCCACCTCTCAGACTCTCATGCCTCAGCCTCCTGAGTAGCTGAGATGATAGGTGCCCACCACTACGCCCGGCTAATTTTTGTATTTTCGGTAGAGACAGGGTTTCTCCATGTTGGCCTGGCTGGTCTCAAACTCCTGACCTCAAGTGATCTGCCTGCCTCAGCCTCCCATAGTGCTGGGATTATAGATGTGAGCCACCATGCCCAGTCTGTTCATTTTTTTCTCAATCCCGCCATACAGATATCTTATCAAAATGAATGTAGTGACCCTGGCACAGCCCAAAACAACCACGCCCCTAAAAAGAAGAACATTGAAAGAGGAAATTGGGAACCTAAGCCTTTTCTGAGGACATTCTGGAAGGTCCATTATGACACATTTCAATTCCCAGGTACTAGGTTCAAGTCCTAACAGAACATTTTATATATTACATTATAAACTCTCTAGAGTGGTCTTTATTCTTCATTAGTTTATGGGATAGAAAATTCATCATTAACCCTGACTGCGAATAAGTGCTCATTGACAGTGTAGATGAATGAATAAGATTGCTTTGTTTGTTTTATTTTCAGAATTGAAGAAGTGTGGGTCTGCTGTCTCATTATGGTAAAGTCTACACTTAGGAAACCCTCAGACATACTCTTTGATCAAAATGATGCTCATAACATTCTGTTTTTTCAAGGCCGAAGGATCAGTGCCCCCCGCCCCACTCTTGTCCATTACCGAGAGCATCCTCACAGTCCATTGGAAAGTCCATCATGAAGTAACGAATTTGTTCTCTGTGTTTATCACCTGAATAATAGATTCAGGGCCCATCATCTCCTGGAAAGCTATTAATCATACACTGCAGTGTGGCACAGGTTTGATGGGTTGGCCTCAAAACCATGCCTGGCTGGATTGGAATTGTGGATGATGTTCAATAACTGCCTTCAGAAACTATTCAAGACATTTAATGAAGACACTTTTTTCTCCATGTTTCTCTTAGGGACAAAAAATATAGCCAATAGCTTTTTCCTCCTGATTGCAAGTGCTTTCCGAAATCCTCTGTCTTCTTAATGGAAGAAGATTTCTATCTTGGCTCCTATTATTTGAGAGATGTGAAAAGCAGATTCTCCAAATATATGTGAGAAACAAAACAAAAAAACCATTTATGAAAAGTACAAAAAGTCGCACACATAATAAAAGCTAAGCCCTTCCTTTCTTCCTCCTTGGTTAACTTTGGAGCCTTGATAAAAGACAATCTGAACAAAGAGCTCTTTAGAACAACTACAAAAAGTTTCACAAATGCAGCGAGCAATTACAAACTCTGTTTCAATGGGCCTCAGAGCCACACATAGAGAGCCAGGGTTGCCCAAGGCCGTTTCCAAGAACATTTCTGAAGTTGGGCTTAAAACAATTTGTTTCCATTATCTTTTACTCAAGGTGGGTTCTGGAATAATCTATGGAATCATTTGCAAAATTCAGCATAAACTTCTCCTTGCAGAAACTCTGGTGACATATCATTTGGCTGAATCTCACATGATAGATACTAATGAGAAATGCGAGCATGGGTTTGATATAGTATGGGCTTCCTTTTTGTAGCTAAGACAAGCCAATTCCTGAGAAGACATGGATTAAAAAAAATTGTGTCATATTCATCATTAGACACCCTTGTATTTAATCTACTGTACATGTCTAAATAAAATTGCAAAGTGACAGGATTCAACTTCGCATTAATCATCACTTGAAAATGGGGAGAGTGAGAAAGGATGGCATCTCCTTGGGGCCCATGGACAAGGAGAAGTTTCAAATTATTAAGCAGAGAAAACGGAATGTGGCTTTGCAAAGGCAAGTCAGAGCAAGCTCGCTCCAGTCTGGAGTTGTTCAAAAGGTATAGCAGTGGCGGCAGCTGAAAAAAACCTTGATTCTATGAACTCACTCACGCAATTTAAAGTCCAAAGCATGGCTTCATATGTTTGAAAAACTCTAGTATATAGTGTGCATTTTAATTATAAAAGTCAATCAGCCAGGCACGGTGGCTCACACCTGTAATCCCAGCACTTTGGGAGGCCGAGGTGGGCAGATCACCTGAGGTTGGGAGTTCAAGACCAGTCTGACCAACATGGAGAAACTATGTCTCTATTAAAAATACAAAATTAGCAGGCACGTGCCTGTAATCCCAGCTGCTCGGGAGGCTGACGCAGAATTGCTTGAACCCAGGTGGCGGATGTTGCGGTGAGCCGTGAGCCAAGATTGCACCACTGCAGTCCAGCCTGGGCAACAAGAGCAAATCTGTCTCAAAACAAACAAACAAACAAACAAACAAAAATCTAAAAGGACTTTTCTACTTTATGGAAATTTTAACTTTTTTATTATAAAGGTAACATATTTTATGCACAAATATGTAAAGGGAAAATTACCCAATGACCAGCCCCTTCGAAGTCCACTTATAACCGAAACACAGCTTCAATCACTTGCCACTTGCAGAGTCCAATTAACAAGAGCCAGGTCCAGTATAAGAAAAGTGATTTTATTCCAAAGCTTAGCTTAAGGGAAGAAGTACAGGCTCCTACCTTTAAGTCCTTGCTTTTGGGGAGGAAAGCAGGGGCTTTTAAAGGAACACTTGGCATGAATGGAATACAGGGGAGGAAGAGAGCAGCTACAGGGTTATTCTGCTGGGTGCTCAAGCTGGCACCATGGCTGGCAGAGCTAGGCTGTAAACTGGCCACTGTCTGGAGATACTCTCCAGGTGGAAGAGCGTTCCTTTGAGGGCATACTTTTAGGTGGTAAATTGACTGATGTCTCCTGAGGCAATCTGCTCGTGGGAGAGAGTTGCACTCTGGAGCTTCTAAGAAAGCACATGGTTAGATAAGCTTGCCCTGTAGGGAGGGTCTGGTGAAGGGAAGGTACAGTTATAGGTGCATTTCTAAAGAACTAAGTAGGAAGTGGGAAATAGTGGAAAGGAGGAAAAGGGAAAACAATAACAAAATAATTTAGAAAATAACTCATTCTCTCTTAGAAAAATGGGGATACTCAGTTACATACCCCCAAGGGGGAACCAATGTTCATAATTTGTAAGTTATTCTACCTAAGTTCTCTCATTCTGTCCTAAAAAATCTTTTTGCCCTTAAAATCTACTTATTTGACAAATGTGTGCATCTGTATCGTCACAATCAAGATGCAGGTCATTTAAATCACTCCCAAAGTTTATCTTCTGCCTCTTCCAAATTTCCCCCTGCCTTCCCCCCGAGGAAAACTTGATCTGCTTTTATTTCACTCAAGATTAGATTTTCTTTTCTGGAGTTTCATATGAATGGAATTGAAACAGGAGAGTTCCCTGACCCCCCTCACAGGATGTGTGACAAGGGTGTGGCTGCTCTGTTCAGCCACCTTCAAACCCCTTACTGGAGTAGGAACATGCAGATGGGCAGGTCCAGGAGCCAACTGAGCACCCTTGGGCTCCGGCCTCATGGCAGCGTCCAGGGGTGAGAGGCTGCAACTCCTGAAGCCCAAGTGGGCGCATGCTACAGTGTGCTCTTTTAGCCTTGCCATCTATGGACGGCATAAGTGTTAAACAGCTCAGTGGACCCTCTGCCTTTTGGCTGGGGAACCCTCCTCTTCTACCCAGTATTTCCCTGTCTTCTGTCTGTATCAGAATCACATGGTATGTACTTGTGGCAGATGTCAAAATACACTGCCCAGCTCTCCAGCTCTGACCGTCCCAGATGTGCATCTCTTGGCCCATCTCTGGATTTGCCCTCAGGCCACTTAACCCCAGCCTGCCCCAAACCAACAGGCAAGCTCAGCCAGGATTCAAGTGCCAGCCCACTCCCACGAACACGTGTAACAGAATATTTTATCTTGAGGACTGACTGCTGACCTGGATGAAAGTTTCTCAGAATTGCATTGCAGCCTTTGATTCTTCCTACAGAATACTCTCTCCCTCTCCCTCATCTTTCACAGGTATTCAGCTGGTATCATGGTGCAAAGGAGGTTGCTGCCTCCCCTGCTTTGACCTCACTGTCCTTTGCAACTCTTGCACTGTCTCATCCCATCTGAATGTCTGCTTCTTGGAGGACTCGAAATAACACATTTGTCAGGCCTCTGAGCCAAAGCTCAGCCATTGTAACCCCAGCGACCTGCACATATACGTCCAGATGGCCCACAGGAGCCAAGAAGTCTGGAGTAGCCGAAAAACCACAAAGAAGTGAAACAGACAGTTCCTGCCTTAACTAATTAACCCACCTTACGACATTCTACCATTAAGACTTGTTCCTGCCCCGCCCCAACTGATCGATCGACCCTGTGACATTCTTCTGGACAATGAGTCCCATGATCTCTCCACCATGCACCTTGTGACCCCCCGCCTCCCCTGCTGACAACAGATAACCACCTTTAACTGTAGCTTTCCACTGCCTACCCAGGCCCTATAAAGCTGCCCCTGTCCTATCTCCCTTCACTGACTCTCTTTTCGGGCTCAGCCCACTTGCACCCAAGTGAATAAACAGCCTTGTTGCTCACACAAAGCCTGTTTAGGTGGTCTTCTATACGCACACGCGTGACAACATTAATGTGTTGGCTTCTTTTCTTTTGCTCAGCATAATGTTTCTGAGATTTATCTGTGATATCGTTTGTCCGTAATTTGTTTTTGTTGTTGTTCCTGAGTAGTATTCCTTTGCATGAACAGGCCACTTTGTTTATGTATTGTTAAATCAAGTTTAGCCTAAAGCTTCCTCCTTACATATTTGAAGTTTGGCCTAAAGGTTTTCTGTACATCATGAACTGTAACAAGTGGAGGTGTAAACAGACTGTAGCCTACACTTGTGTCAATCACCGAGTTTTGGCCTATGAAATGTGGACAACTGTTTGACGCATGTTCAAATAAGGCAAACACCAAGCTGTAACCAACCTGGCCATTTCCATTCTTCACTTCTGTTTTCTCTACATCACTTTCCTTTTCCTGTCCCTACATCTTCCCCCACCATGTGGCTGCGCTGGAGTCTCTGAGCCTACTTTGGCTCAGGAGGCTGCCCGATTCATGAATCATTCATTGCTCAATTAAACTCTTAAGTTTAATTTGGTTGAAGTTTTTCTTTTATCAGTATTCATGCATTGGTAGACTTTTGTGCTGAGTCCAGTTATGAGCTCCTACAAATAAATCTTGCTATGAACACTCATAGACAAGTCTTTGGATGGATGTACACTTTTATTTTGCTCTAGTAGATAAGTAAAGGAAGTGTGATCCCGGAAATCGGAGGCAGGTCTCAGTTAATTTAGAAAGTTTATTTTGCCAAGGTTGAGGATGCACCCATGACACAGCCTCAGGAGGTCCTGATGACACATGCCCAAGGTGGTCGGGGCACAGCTTGGTTTTATACACTTTAGGGAGACATGAGACATCAATCAATATATGTAAGAAGTACATTAGGTCCATCCAGAAAGGTGGGGACAACTCAAAGCAAGGCCTCCCACTAGGGGCTTTCAGGCCACAGGTAGGTGAGAGACGAACAGTTTCATTCTTTTGAGTTTCTGATAAGTTTTTCCAAAGGAGGCAATCAGAATATGCATCGGTCTCTGTGAGCAGAGGGGTGACTTTGAATAGAATGGGAGGCAGATTTGTCCTGAGCGGTTCCCAGCTTGAGGGGTCCCAAGATACTTTCCTTTCACAGAAGTAAAATTCAGTCACCAGGTAAATATAGGGGTAACCGTTTAAAAATAAATGGACAGTTTTCCAAAAGTTTGTGTCATCTTATGCCCCCACCAAAAGTGCATGAGAATTTAAATGGCCTCATATCCTAACAATTTTTTTTTTTTTTTGAGACGGAGGTTCACTCTTGTTGCCCAGGCTGGAGTGCGATGGTGCAATCTCAGCTCACCGCAGCCTCTGCCTCCCGGGTTCAAGCAGTTCTCCTGCCTCAGCCTCCCGAGCAGCTGGGATTACAGACAGGCATGTGCCACCACGCCCGGCTAATTTTGTATTTTTAGTAGAGACCATGCTGGTCAGCCTGGTCTCGAACTCCCAACCTCAGGTGATTCGCCTGCCTCGGCCTCCCGAAGTGCTGAGATTACAGGCGTGAGCCACCACACCCAGCTAACAATTAGTATCTTTACACGTAGCCATTCTAGTGGAGTGTGGCGGTGCCTCACTGTGTTTTTAATTTCCATTTTCCTAATGACTAATGATTTGGGCATGTCTGCTTATTGCCCAATGTATATCTTCTTTTGTGAAATGTCTGTTCAAAGCATTTGTCTATTTCTACTAGGTTGTTTATCATATAACTGAGTTTTAATATTAGTATACTTTGTATATTCCAGACGTAAGTCATTTGTCAGCTACATGAATTGTGAATATTTTCTTCCAGTCTGTGACTTGCCTTTAATTTACATAATGATATCTCTCAAGGAGTATGCACTTTTAATTTTGATGACATCAAACTTATCAAATTTTTCCTTATGTTTCCTGTCTTTTGTGCCCTACGGATCAAAATCTTTGCCTCCCCATGGTCATATTTTTTTCTCTATATTTTTTATTTAACTGTATGATTTTAACTTTTACTTTTAGATGTACAATAGTTTTGAGTCAATCTTTGAGTATTGTGTGAGGTAGTGGTTGATTTTTATTTTTGTGTATACAGATATCCAATTGTGCCCCCATCATTTGTTGAAAAGACTTTATTTCCTATTGAGTTACACTGTCAGACTTATGAAAAGCATACACGTGTGGCTATATTTGTATATTCTCTATCCTGTCATCAGTTATACACATACACACAAACAGAAGCACATAGTGTACTTTGTTGCTTACAATAGCTTTACAAAAAGTATCCTCCAAATTAAAATGTGAAATTAAGGAAACCATACCATTCACAACATATCTAAAATCATTAAATACTTAAGGATAAATCTGACATTTGTGAAAGACTTGTACTCTCAAAAGTACAAAATACTGCTGAGAGAAATTAAAGAACTGAATCAACAAAGCTATGTAATATTTCATGCTCAAGGCTGTCATGCTTCCATATTAAGATATGAAATATCCCCAAATAGATCAGTAGATTTGACGAGATCCCAATTAAAGTTTCAGAAGATGTTCCTTGTAGAAATTGCCAAGCACATTCTAAAATGTATATGGAAATAGAAAGCACCAAAACAATCTTGGAAAATGAAAATTGAGCACCCTAAAATTTACAATAATCATTGTAACGTATCTCAACCTACTTTCAAATAATATTGACATTTCATGTGTGTCTGAAAATGTACAAGGGCATACTTCTGTTCCTCCCCTCTCATCCTTTGTGCTATTTCTTGCTACATTTTGCTTCCACAAATATTATAAATGCTTTAATTTATTTATCTTATTTATACTTGAAAAAGTCAATTACCTTTTGCATTAATTTAGAAATTAGAAAATAGTTACATTTATATTTACCAACCTACTTACTTCCAGTACTTTTTATTCTCGTGTGTAGTGGATCTTTTCCCCAAAAGAATTTCCCTTAGGGTATTGCCAATCTGCTTCTAATGAATTACTTTAACCTTTGTCTGAAAAGTCTTTGGCCTTTATTTCTGAAAAAGGTTTATAGTGCATATACAATTCTAAGTGACGGGATTTTTCATTTCCTTATAGCTCTGTACTTTAAAGATGTTACTCTTTTTTCTTTTGGGCTGTGTGGTTTCTGATGAAAATTATTTCCTAAGTATGTTCTGTAGAACATAATTTATATACACATAGATTTTCTTTTGCTGTTTTTTTTTTTTTTTTTTTTTTTTTTTTTGAGACAGAGTCTCGCTCTGTTGCCCAGGCTGGAGTGCAGTGGCGCGATCTCGGATCACTGCAAGCTCCGCCTCCCGGGTTCACGCCATTCTCCTGCCTCAGCCTCCCGAGTAGCTGGGACTACAGGTGCCCGCCACGCGCGCCCGGCTAATTTTTTGTATTTTTAGTAGAGATGGGGTTTCACTGTGTTAGGCAGGATGGTCTCGATCTCCTGACCTCGTGATCCGCCCGCCTTGGCCTCCCAAAGTGCTGGGATTACAGGCGTGAGCCACCGCACCCGGCCCTTTTGCTACTTTTAAGATTCCTTTTTATTACTTGTTTTCAGAAATTTTATTATAATGAGTCCCAATGTAGTTTTCTTTATGTTTCTTTGGCTATGGGTTTATTTATCATTTTGAATCTATGCTTTACAGTTTTCATAAGATTTGGAATTTTTTAGCTCTTATTTCTTCAATTATTTTGGATTCTTACTTCTCTCTTTTTTGGACTCCAATTGCATTTAGAAATTAAATATATGATAACCACACAAATATTTCAGTGGAGGGGGTAACAGCTATATAGATACTACAGAAGAAGAAATTACTTTTCTTCAGCCATCAAAAATTATACGTGTGCATCCAAAGAAAAAGTTGCAAAATGAAGCACAGAGATAAATATGTCTTTTTTTAAAAAAGGCAAAACAAAAAAACAAAGCTTCAGTGCCCTTTGAGGCAGTACAAAGCAGTTTAATACAGATTCCTTTTTTCTTCTCATTACATTCATATTCTTCATTAAATCCTTGAGTAGACTCAGTATGTTCACTCTTTTAATGCTCATATCTGAAGATGCCATCATCTCTATCATTTATGGGTCTGTTTCTACTGACTTATTTCCTTCCTGTGTTTAGGTCATGTTTATCTGCTTCTTCATATGTCTTGTAATTTCTTAATTGAAAGCTAGACAGCTTAAATTTTGCATGGGCATATGCTAGATTTTCTGTATTTCTTATGAAATACATTGAACTTTATTTTTTATATCAGTTTGATGTTTAAGTCTTGTTTTAAACCACTTTTAAGACTTGTCCAAAGTACCCTTTAATCTATAGCTAATTTAGGTCTGCTTCTAAGGTGTGGCTCTTCTCTACTGAATGCCTTATGTATAAACAAAACGATTCCCAGCCGTTTGTGACCTCTGGTCATTTTCATCATACAGCTCCTTTGTGAACTCTGGTCATTTTCATCATACAGCTCCCTGGCAATTTTAATTTCCCCAGAAGTTTTTCTTTATTCAACCTGTGAGTTTTTTCCCAATACATATGGAGATTTTTTATCAGCCGAAGGCTCAAGTGTGCCTGTGTGCACATTTTTGGAACTCCTGCTTTGCACAGCTCCTTCCTTCCAGGTGTTCTGTCCTGTAAGTCCCAGGAACATCAGCCTTCCCAAAGTCCAATCTCTTTCTCCTCAATTCAGTGAGAACAGGAGGCTCTGTTTGGGTTGACCCTCCCTGCCCTGCAGTCCAGAAATTGGGAGTGATAGATCTCATCTTATTTGTTTTTCTTTTTTCAGGTATCGTAGTTTTGCCCTGCCTGTTGTCCAATTCCAGAAAATTTGTTTCCTATAAGTTGCCCAATTATAAGAATAATATTTTTCAAATTTGTTCACTGTAAAAAGGTGATTCTGGGCTGTGTTTCCCTCCTATGGCCAAGACATAAATTTCCCTTCTATTTATGCTCAACTATAAAAACAACTTTCTATGTTTTATCCTCCCATTTTCTTCTTCCTCCTTGTTATTTACCTTCTCCCACCTCTGTCTTACCATTGTCATGACCAACATTATTACAAGCATCAGCTAATGTTTTTTCCAGGTGCTAAGCCAAGCATGTTACTTGCATTTTAGAATTTACTTCTCTTGCAGGGTAAAGATGAATAAATTCTGTGGACCTAATGTACAGCATGGTGATTATAGTTACTAATAATGTGTTGCAACCTTGAAATTTACTGAGAGTAAATATCAAATGTTCTCATCATAGGCGCGCACACACGCAATGTAACTGTGTGAAATGATGCACGAGTTAATAGCTTGATTATGATAATCATTTCTCAATATATATGTGCCAAATCATCGCATTGGACACCTTGAAAATATACAATTTTTATTTGTCAGTTATATGTCCACAAAGCTGAAAAAAAGAAAAACACAAAATTTAATTCTAACAACAGCCCTAAAACTAGGCTGCCAGAAACCCCTTTATCTTAGCCCTCCTGATACGTGTGGTCATATCTCATCATTCTCAGCCTTCCAGCCAACGCTGCAAAGATGCTGGTTTAACTCAGTCTCCTAAAATGCATGAATATGTGCCCCTCTGGTCAGTTGGGGGTCTTTTTAGTTACATCTTATTTTATTTTATTTTATTTTTATTTTCATTTTTATTGAGATGGAGTCTCATTCTGTTGCCCAGGCTGGAGTGCAGTGGTATGATCTCAGTTCACTGAAACCTCTGCCTTCCAGGTTCCAGTGATTCTCCTGCCTCAGCCTCCCTAGTAGCAGGGATTATAGGTGCCCGCCACCATGCCAGCCTAATTTTTGTATTTTTAGTAGAGACGGGGTTTCACTATGTTGGCCAGGCTGGTCTCGACCTCCTGACCTCAAGTGATCCATCCTCCTCGGCCTCCCAAAATGCCAGGATTACAGGCGAGAGCCACTGAGGCTGGCCTACAACTCATTTTAAAGCTATTCATCAGGCTAAACCTGGCTCAGGATTCTGCTTGCTCTTCATATCCTCTAAGAATCTTCCGTGGTGGTCTTCATGTTCTCCCCTCCCACCCTCACTTTGCTAGGTTGAATTAGGCACAGCTACATGCACTTTGTATCCCAACCCATGCACAGCCATAATTCCTGTTGTTTATACCAGAGACTACTCTGTACTTCCTCCTTTCTTCCCTCAGAACGTCAGTGTGTGAGGTCCATCAGCTTCATCTCTTTGTTTCCAATGCCCAGCACAATGCCAGATGAAGTGGGTGTTAGCTAGATTCTAGCTGTATTAATGGATACATGCATAAAAGGATTCACTTTTCTCACTAATAGTCTTAGCTTCATGGAACCAGCGTCATTCACATTCACTTACATAGCCTACTCAATCGGAATCTGCTAACCTCCTTGTCCTTAAATACAGAAACAGTTTCCATATTCCTATTGTACACAATTGGTGCTCATTAATGCTCTCTTAATCCCCTGAGAAGTGGGAACCATAAAATCCAATTGAGCAATTGAATCTCTTTTCCTTCTAGCTCGCGCTGGAGCCAGAGGGATGGAGATATTAAAAGTTCCCTGAATCTCATTATCAGCTCAGAATTTTAAGTGTGTGTCCATGCCTCTATCACCCCCTGGAGCATCACGACATGAGTGAAAGCCCAGTGCTTCCCAGGTCACACAGGCTGGTCCCTTATTTTGTAGAGGGTTTAACTGACACTCAGACTGTGACATTCTCTAAGGTCATGTGATAACTTAGTCGCAGAACCAGGATTAGAGCCTATATCCTTCCTGCTTAGCCAGCATAAACTTCCTTCTCATTTGAGTCCTAACTTGGCTCTAATTTCATCTGATTTCTGCATGCATTTTGATATATATCATTTATTAATTCATTAATTCATTCATTTGATAAACAATAAGTATTTTATCTGTTATATATGCCAGAAAATACTCAGATAAACAAGAAACAGACTCTACTGTCTTCTTCAACTATTCAGCTTCTATTTAACATTGCTTCAAGCTTTTATTTATTTCAACATCATCATTTTTTAAAGTTGATACATACAAATAGAGCATATCTGAGTCTATACAGTGGCTAGTTCAAAATTGATCTGAATTTTATCTACATTTCTTAGTTTCTGATTTCTTTTTCTTTCAGCTGAATGACTGACATTTACTCCAAAACTTATTTTACTTAAAATGAATGCTTGATTTTTAGTATTTAGAAAAATATGAAATATATAAAATGCCCTCTGGTATACTTGAATTGAATTTTCTTCCTATCACAAACATTGAATTCTTTTCAAAGCATAGTTTAATATGCCTGTGCAATCGTGCACAATGATATATTCTAGGTTGGCCTCATGAATGAATTTTGAGACAATATCCTATTCCCAGCACTATCACATTGTATAGGGAAACAATTTTTAACTTTGTATTTGATTGATTAACCTTAGTGTTTTGAAATTGGGTTAAGTATTATATATGACCACACATGAATAAAAAATATCCATGACTGTTTTCCCTGGAGCAGAGAGTGAAAATAAAGTTGTCTTAGGTTGCAGGACTGGTTTCTAAGACATCTCCAAGATCAGTGCCCAGGGAGTGGCTGCCAGCCATATCTCATGCCTTTGAATCAATAAGAGCCTGAAAATCATTTCAGACTTCACACTCCTGCTTTGCTCCTGTTTCTAGGTGAGAAACTGCTTGTACCTATAAGAAAGTATAATTTGTTAAATCCTTCTGATTCTAAGTGTAGCTACCCACAAAAATTCAAAGTCTGTTCTCCTAATATCACACTTGGATCTGAGGGCAGCTAAGCCCTACAAACTACTTGTACAGGTAACATAACTTTTGGCTTTGACCCACGGAATTCATGCACGTGAAGCTCAATTTTACCTCTAAAAACATTTCAGCATGATGCCAGAGCAGGTTTTCATTCCTCCCATTAATTGATGATAATACAATATCACTTTTATTTGAACATAAGGAAAACCTTCATCATTATCCTTGGTGCCTGGGCCCATTCCCCATGGGGCCAGGGTTGGATTTCTTTATGTAAATCTCCCTTGCTGAGCAAACACAGGAGCATTATCTGGCTGGTTAGGATTTCAGAAGGTCTCTGTTGAGGAACAGGAGTCAAGAGCTCCACAAAATTGGGAAATAAACCTAGAAGTGATGCTTTCTTGCAGTTTCAGGGATTCTATTAAAAGTGACAGGTGTTTTGAGGATGTAGGGAAAGGAGAGCACATGCAAAGTAGTCTCTGTCTCATTTCTGCCAAAACTTTTATGCCTAAAACTTTACATCAAAATATTATCTAACTGAATATTTGCATTTCTCATTCTGGACTGATAATGCAAACAAGGCATACACTTATTAAAATATCCAGTGTTTCAGTTTCCTTATCAATGTCAGGATGGTAGGTGCTAGGGAGAAGAATGGAAAGATGTTAATGGATGGAATTGAAATGAAGCCTCTTCTGCCTATTTATGGAAATCAGAGAACTATACATGTCCTTAAGATATCTAAGAATTACAATGAGCCACCGGGCACAGTGGCTCACACCTGTTAACCCAGCACTTCAGGAGGCCAAGGCAGGCAGATCACTTGAGGCCAGGAGTTTGAAACAGCCTGGCCAACATGGTAAAACCTTGTCTCTACTAAAAATACAAAAATTAGCCAGGCATGGTGGTGCATGCCTGTAATCTCAGGTACTTGGGAGGCTGAGGCAGGAGAATCGCTTGAACCTGGGAAGTGGAGGTTGCAGTGAGCTGAGATCGTGCCACTGAACTCCAGCCTGGGCGACAGAGCGAGATTCCATCTCGAAAAAAAAAAAATAGCAAAAATCCTCTAAGCATATCGGGGAAAATGTAAACCTGGAGATGTGTTTCAGAAGTCCCCAGGGATCTCAGTTCCTGCCCCCAGTTCTTTTTTTAACTGGAGGCAGCCAATGTACTTTCTGATAACACAGTGCTTGGCACAATCAATTGGTCTGTGCTAATGTGGATGCCACAGTCCCTTCAGTGTGATCCACGCAGCACTAGTGGGTGGCCTTTACTGAATCTGGAAGAGAATGTAGTAATAATCAGGACCTTCTCAGCATAGGCTGTGTCCAAACCTTGTTTGAGTGGTATCCAGAAATCTCAGGATATCATTATAGCCGAATAGCCTGAGAAATGAAATCAGGATCTGAGTAGAAGTGTGATTCTCCATAGCCATCCGGAAACATATTTGTGTTTGTTTAATATCCATTGTGAGGTGGTGGCAGGGAAAGTATCTTTTATAAACCAATAATAAGGTAAGGTTCCCACAAAACCACCCCTGAAAAAGCCTCTTTCATCATGATTAAGATCAGATGCATCACTGTGAAATGATCTCAGTCAATGCCATTTTAAGAAGCATCCACCATTCAGATAACCCTCTCTGTGACAAAGAAGGACAGAGACATTCAGCATGGATTTTGTCATTATTCTGGCATTTGACCTCTTAATAGCAAGCATTTAATGTGAGATAAATGGAAAAAAAAATGCCTTGATGTAATGAAGATGGGTATCTGTGTCCAAGAACAATATTTGCAGAAAAGAATTATACAAAGAGCTTTTCCTCATATTACCAAGAGGAGTGATACATCTTTTTAAAAGTTACTTCAATGAGCCCAAGGATAATGAAAAAATATCCTGATGTTAAAGAGACATGGAAGGAGTGTGAATTAAATCATTTCATAAAATGAAAATGCATAATTACTTGTAGAGAGGTGTTAAACAAATGAAAAAGTTAAAAATATATTACCCTGGCATATTGACTGTTTTGAGTTAAAGGTACTTGAAAAATAGCAGGTGCAGGACGATTATTCTGACCTCTTTTCTGTGTCTTAAAAGCAGGAGATGAAATTCCCACGTGAAATTCACCTTCACTATACCAAAAGAAATAGCACCTTTATCCTCAAGGACGAGAAGTGGAGACCAAAAAGAATTCAGTACAGACTTCGTGAAAATAACTCCTGTCTCTTATGTCTTCCCACACAATTTAGCTGCTTCTTCACAACTTTCTATTCTTTGTCCAATCCAGTATATAAGTAACTCTCTCTAACTGCTTTAGTCTTTTTTTTTAATGACAGCTCCCATGCCATGTAAAACTTGTGTTAAAGACATTTGCCTGCTTTTCTCCTGTTGACCTATCTTAAATTTCAATTTAATTTTCAAGCCCATCTGACAAGAAGCCCTAAATGGGATCCCCACTCCCCTACCCACATATGAAACTCAGTGAATTATGTAAATAGATTATTTGACCTCTTAACTCTAAAATTTTACATGTTAAGTTGGCCCCTCAAAAGTTTTTAAACGCTATTCTTTTAATTTGAAAAATGGGGCCGGTCCCTTCTATTTGGGTATGACATGTAGTAGATATTGCAGGGCCCACCCAGATCCCCTCACCAGGAGCTGCCGGAGCATTAGCTGCAGACAGCTCAGAGCTGAGTCCCTCTCTGGGAATGTCGCTGGCCAAAGGAAAGTGGCTCTCAACGTTAGGCACCCTCCCTGCAGCAGGCTGCACCCAGTAACGGTAGGCGGCGGCGAAACAGTTTATAAAGGCTCAGCCCCATTGCCTTGATCAGGTCAACTCTGAAAAGCCAGCTCAGCATCAGGGCCTCCCTTGGGATTCCTGGGGGCTGATGTCACAACTCACAACAGATCACCACCTTCTACAGGTAATTCCTCCTCCCTGACTCCCCTCCCTCCCAGATGCTGCTTTTGAGAATTCTGCCCAGTGAACCTCTGTCTTAGAGCATGTTTCTCGCATACCTAACCTAAGACATTTTATGAAGAGGATCCTGTTAACAAATCGATGTACACCCAGGAGCACACTGTGCAAGCATCTGTGTGCTGGGTACAGTAGGACGCACAGGGAAAGATCAAAACATTCCTCTGCGCCAGAGGTTGCAAATGCATGGCAGTAAATCGACGGAGTTGAGCTCACAGATATGTTTCCTTTGATTTGCCTGAGGGTTTAAAAAAACTTTGCATTCACTGACAATGTGTAGTATCAGGAGATTTTACATTTAATATAAGATATGTAACTTTTCTTTAAAAATGAAAATCTGAGATGTGGCAATACTGGTATGCATTCCAACAGCCACAATCAGCTGGAGATGAGGTGGTAGCCATTGTGCTCTTTAGACAGCATGAGAGCTCTTCAGTGAGCCACAGTCTCCAGCACTCCCTATTGCCCCACACCAGTTAGTTTCATTCATCTGTCTAACCTGCCTGGCCCCTGGAGGCATTTGAGTTTGTGACTTCCCGTCTTGTCTATGACTTCTATTTCTACTAGAAAAAGACTGAATTTCTCAAGGCCAGAAACTGTTAATCCTATTCCAGCATTTTTCTCCTCCCAGAAACTTGACTTTTAACCTATGAGAGTTTATTTAACTGGTGATTCAGATATATCTATTTAGCTGGTTTATTTAACTGGTGATTCAGACATGTCTGCTCGGGGAGAGAGTGACTCCACGCCTGATAGTCTGTAGAATTTAAGTCACTCATTTATTTTTATCCTATTTAAAAAGTTGGACTGCAGGTACATAATTAAGTTACACTTTTCTGTTTATAACAGATCAGTGGTCTGTGTAAGGCCTCCTTCTTGTTTTATTCATTTTATTAATTTGATTGCATTCTCTATTCTCATACCCATTCCCACTTAGTCCACAAGCACAACTCGAGCATGTGTGGTATTTGTCCTTAATATAGCATGG
The DNA here is from genome assembly GCF_000001405.40 of Homo sapiens. Lineage (NCBI taxonomy): Eukaryota > Metazoa > Chordata > Mammalia > Primates > Hominidae > Homo > Homo sapiens. Next base: position 128,008,167 of record NC_000012.12, on the reverse strand, counting down.
TGTGTGTGTGTGTGTGTATGTGTGTGTGTGTGTGTGTGTGTATGCTGTGGGTTTTCATTTACATAATTGGTATTTGCCTACATTCTTTTTTCCAACATTTTTCAATCAACATTGTTTTTTAGATGTGTCTCTGATGTGCATGTTTACCTGGGGAATTTTTTTTGACTGTGTGAATGTATTTGAACCTAAACTTCTAATTATCTAAAAATCCATCATCATAAAATATTTCCTCAACCCTTGGTACGTAAGACTTGGGGTAATGCACAAGTCTGTGGCCCCTGCTCCTAACACACGACTCGGCCATTCCTTTCTATGCACACAGCGCTCGGAGTGCTGGTCACCGAGCACAACTCAGAAAAGCAGAAAAATTCTCCCCATTTCCTCTTAGTGAAGGGTGCTTTGGTATTGATTCTTGTTTGGAAAGATACTTTTCTCCCCCTATTTTTTTTAATCCTCCAATAATGGAAATTTCACTCCCTTCTTGACAAAAGACATCCATCATGACCCAACTTAAAACCCAGGTCTCTTAAATGCCCAGATTCTCATTTGCCAGGAGAAAGCTGAGTCCGGACCCAAGGGCTATAATTCCATCAGCTCTTTCCTGCAGCATTTCCACAACCTGTGCCTACCCTGGACAATGGCTTTTCCCCTCCTATGCCACATCCTCCCCTTCAAACCACAAGGGTAGGGGCAGTGTTGTAGTTATTTTCTGACTCCCACAGCCACAGCCTGGCACAGGGCTTAGCGGCAGATGACCTGGAAACATTTACTGGAAAAGCAGACGTCGTTTTTTTCTGATGAGAGCTTCAGTTCCACTGCATTCTCCTCCTTAAATTTGCCTGGTCTTCCTCACAATTGAGTTTTCCTGTGCAGTGCAATCAACCACAGACAGACACACAAGAAAGTGTGCTGGGCAAACGGATCAGCTTAGGATACATGTTCGATCATTGCGGAGTCAAGTCTTATGGCACATTAATGAACGTGAAATACACGTTGTGGTGTCTTTTATCCCCTCTGCAGCGGGATTACTGAGGAAAGATAAAATAAGCCCATGAGTACACTCTGAAAATAGCAACATAACTCAATCATGTGTCCTCAGAAGAGTTTGACTTAAAATTGAAAGAAACTATTTTGTCTGTTGTTAAGAATATAAAAGTAGGACAAGCTATAGGAGATCAATTTTAAATTATTTGAAGCTACAGGAAAGATTCTTCCTGAAACTTTTTTCAAATGAGGTAATGTGTTTTTCTGTCATGGCCTTTTAATAAAGAAATCATGCATTATGCAAACGTTAACATTTAAACCAATTATGAGCAATTGAAGTTAATTCTTTTAAGAACATAGAGTTGAGATATGACCTTCTTTTTATGAATATAATGCCTTTACCAAAATAAAACAATGAGAGTTATGTCTTATGCATTAGCTCACACTGTTGGAGAAAAAATGATTTTCTATTTTTCTCTTTTTGGATGAGAGCACATTATCAAAAATTTTTATGTACACAATATTATTTCTTAGTAAATGTAGGGGGTTCAACAATGACAGGCATTGTTTCACAATAACACAATAACTGTCATCAAAACACTAGGAGTAATTACAGCATCCTCATTATACAGATGACAAAAGTTAAGCATCAAAGGTTTATTTGTCACTCACAGTAGGTCAAAATAACCTGAAATACACCCAGTGTTGGGACTTTTGTTTAAAATGAGTGAATATTCAATAGGATAGTAAAAATGTAGTGTATTTTAAATCTTTATTTTTTAAAAATAATGCTTTATTTATGTATTTTTTGAGACGAAGTTCGCTCTCGTTGTTCAGGCTGGAGTACAATGGCACGATCTCGGCTCACCGCAACCTCTGCCTCCCAGATGCAAGCGATTTTCCTGCCTCAGCCTCCTGAGTAGCTGGGATTATAGGCATGCGCAACCACGCCTGGGTAATTTTGTATTTTTAGTAGAGACGGGGTTTCTCCATGTTGGTCAGGCTGGTCTCGAACTTCCAACCTCAGGTGATCCGCCCGCCTTGGCCTCCCAAAGTGCTGGGATTACAGGCGTGAGCCACCGTGCCCAGCCAGTAATAAGTTTAACCCTTATAAAATAGAGTATGATATTAGGATGTGTTATAATTCACAATATAAATCTAAGGGGTGTGTATGTGTTTAACTTCAATGGTGCACACTTGAGACACTTCATGAATATGAGGTCAGGGTCTCCCTTCTATATGGGAATTGACTTATTTGTGTATCCTTGACCCCTGTCCCCTTTTTTTCTTTGGGAGAGTCCTGGACTGAAGGACATGGGATTATGTATGCACTTATTTTTCGTTTACAGTGACCTTGAACAAGACTTTCCTCTTCTCTAGGCTTCAGATCCAATCTGAATGGCACAGGTGCCAAACAGATAATTTCTAGTCTGTGAGTCTAAAAAAGCTGTTACAGCTCTTTGTACCAAGCCTGCTCTGCAGACATGTGGCACATTTTATTAAGCTCAGGAAGTGTTTTAAACAGTTTCAAATCAGTCTTTTTAACATTTTAAGATTTTGCGCAAATATCCAGACTTCCTTTGTCTCCTGGAGCATCTGAGGTTTTGGTGCACCAGCCTGCATTTCTGCAGGGCCCTAGGGTGGGAATTGGGCTGCGGTTCCTCTTTTCCACACCTCAGGCATCCAGTGACTCCTGTCTGCTGGTTCCCCCACCCCACTGACATAGGAGCTAAAAAGAAATTATTTAGGAAGTTAGTGAGGTAAGAGAGTCCTCAGTAAGGTTTCCCTTTGAACAAAAAGCAGCCCCCCAAATAATTTCTTTTCTAAAGAAGAGCAGCCTGTAAAATGGAGCTGCAGACATAGAAAAGTAAGCTGGGACCCTGCACAGGTGAATGCCAGTAGTTGTGCCAACAGAAAAGGGCTACCTGAGGGCCAGGCATCTTCAACATGGATGCTCCATCTTCTCTTTTCTTTGTCAACCACGTGTACAGCAAAGGAGCAGGCAACATGGCGCCAGCCAGGTAGAGATGCCCTCTGCATAGTAAAAGATGAGGGTGGGGCAGCCAGCTTCTTTGTGCACTATGTAAATGGCACACCTGGTCCAACCAATCTTTGGGCACTATGTAAATCAGACACTGCCTCTTCAAGGTTGTCTATAAAAAACCCCATGCATTTCACCTGGAAACTGGACGACCCACTTGAGAGCCCCTCTCCGTCTGCAGGAGAGAGAGCTTTTCCTTTTCTCTTTCTTTTGCCTATTAAACCTCTGCTCTTAAACTCACTCCTTGTGCGTGTCCTCATCCTCGATATCCTTGGTGTGCAGCAACGAACCTCGGGCATTAGCCCAGATGCACTGCAGCAGGACTAGCCGCGGACAAAACCCCACAGGCACCGAGGTGGTGAAGGCAGTGCCTTTTAATCAGCTGCAAGCATCAGCAGACTAACGCCTCAAAATCCGAGCTTCTCGAGTGCACAATTTCTGTTCCTTTTAAGGGCTCACAACACTAAAGATTTTACATGAAAGGGCCGTGATCGATTGAGCAATCTAGGGGATATGTGACAGGGGCTGCGTGCACCGTTAATCAGAGTGAAACAGAACAGAATGGCAAGTTTCACAATGTCCTTCAATACAATGCCTGGAATCTATGGATAACATCGGTTGCTAGGTCATGGGTTGAATTTTAACTATCAGGTTAGGTCAGGCAGGTCCAGGCCTGGTTCTGGGTCTGGTTTTGGGTCTGGTGCCTGGCGCCGGGCTGCCTGCCTTTGGTTTCACTTCCTTGTTTCTTCTTAAAACAGGTACTGAGTATGAAACAATATAAAACAAATATGGAGGGGTCTCTTTCTCTCTTTTCTCAGCAGGACGCCACTTCACCACGTCCAGTCCTTTCTAGGCTGAGATGATGTCACTGCAATAACTCACTTTGCTTGCCCTACTGATCATCTTAGAGCAAAGTGGGGTCTTTCTTGTCCCTGTGTCTTTCTCAAGACAGCACCAGTGGTCAAGTATAAGAACTGTTAATTCCAAGAAAAGAAGCCCTTGTACTCCTTTCAGTTTGCAATCCTTTCCTCATGAATATTAAAAGATTCCTTCAATCTGGGTTGCTTTTCTCTGACCAGAAATCCCACAGCACCAATCCCATTAATCTAGGCTCAGAGACTGTATTTTCTTTTCTTTTTTTAATAGTCTTTGCATTTCTCATCTAAATTTGTTGCCCAGATTCAGTCACAATTAAACATTCATATGCAGGGGACTGGGAAGAGGCGGAAAAGAGATTAAATACACTTGATTTTCTCAAAAGGCTTAACTTCTGTTTTGGAAAACCCAAAACCCACTGTAAATAGAGTTCCTCATACAGCACAATGTAATAATGGTAAAAGCAATCAGTTATGAATCCTTCACTGTTTGCTGCGATCTGTTCTGTGTATTGTCTCTCCCTCTCTCTTTTTTTTTTTCGAGATGGAGTCTCAAAAAAAATGCCAGGCTGGAATGCAGTGGCATAATCTCGGCTCACTGCAACCTCAGCCTCCCCGGTTTTAGCGATTCTCTTGCCTCAGCCTCCGAGTAGCTGGGATTACAGGTGTGTGCCAACACACCTGCCTACTTTTTGTATTTTTAGTAGAGATGGGGTTTCACCATGTGGGCCAGGCTGGTCTTGAACTCCTGATCTCAGGTGACCCACCTATCTCGGCCACCCAAACTGCTGGGATTATAATAGGTGTGAGCCACCACACCTGGCCAATTCTGTGTATTCTCTCTTTTTAAAATTAAAATATTAATAATGATAATAATTGTAGTAACAAAACACATAACATATACTTCCAAATATTTAAACAGAATATATATCTCTTTTTTCATTTTAGACATAAAAATCTATCATATTCTCCATATTCCTGAAATCTATCATATTCCCCATATTCCTGATACATATGAAAGTTACCGTCGTAACCATTTTGAAGTATACAGCTCCATAGTAGCAACATTCACATCACTGTGCAACAAACTTTCAGAACTTTGTCAGCTTGCAAAACTGAAAATCTGTGCCTCCTCTCTGTCTGTGAGTGTGATTGCACTAGCTACCTTCTATTTGGAATCCTGTGGTATCTGTCTTTTTGTGACTGACTTCTTTCACTTAGCATAATGTCCCCAAGGCCCATCTATTGTGTTATCCCCTTTAACTCTTAAAACAATCCTGGGAGGTAGGTCTTATTTACAGATGAGCAAACCAAGGCTCCAACAGGCATCCAATGTCACCTGACAATGTGCGACAGGCCAAGGATTTAAATCCCAGTTGAAATCCCTGTTGCTACCTCTTAGGCCAGGGCTTCTCAAATCAGGATCTGCTGGGGTGCGAGAGGGCAGTCTTCAGCATTTCTCAGAAGCTCTGCCATTTTCTACAGTGTTTTTAAGTTTTATTTCTATTTTAGTGGCTATCTTTTCCTTTCTGTCTTTTATTTGGGAGCGAGTTGGGCTCAGGTGCAAATACTTAATCACACTTCTCATCTAATGGTGCAATCTATCCCATGATCTGTAGGAATCTGTGCTATTCATGCGTTTCCTTTTCCTCCCCCATCCTAGATTCTTCCTCCCGCCATCTTCTAAGGCACAGGTGCTGGCTATAACTTGAACAGAACAAACATCCTTATAAAGTCTGCAGCGTTGGTGTGTGCGTGCATGGGTATGTGTGTGTGCATGGGTATGTGTGTGTGCATGGGGGTGTGTGCGTGTCTGGGTGTGTGTGTGTGTTTCAAGTCACATATTGAACTCTCTATTTGACACTCTTCTTATTTTTAAATTTGTTTTGCGTTGTTCTTAGTTGTATCAAAGTTATCACTTTTCACATTTTGAAAAATCAACAGGTCTATAGATCTGTAAAACATATCACAAAAAGGAGCAAATTCTGTTCATCCACTCCTCCCATTATTCGTTTCCCAGAGCTGTTTTCAACACATCTAGCTGAGTTTCGGTATTTATCTTCAAATAGCTAAACAGCATGTCTTTCTTATTACTGTTTTTATTTACTAGCTTCTGCCATAATCTCTCATAGTCTTAATATTGGTGATGTGCCTTAAGCTTTCTTTCACCTCCCTCATCTCTGTGTGCACCCCTCCCATCCCTCATTTCCACAGTGTTTCTAACTTACTTTTTTTTAACTTTTATTTTAGGTTCAGGGGTACATGTGCAGGCTTGTTATTAGGTAAGTTGCATGTTATGGGGATTTGCTGTACAGATTATTTCATCACCCAGGTGATAAGCATAGTACCCGATAGGTAGTTTTTTGATCCTCACCATCCTCCCTTCGCCTTCAGGTAGGCACAAGTGTCTATTGTTCCCTCCTTCCTGTCGATGTGTATTCAATGTTTTGCACCCACTTAGGACGGAGAACATGTGGCATTGAGTTTTCCATTCCTGAGTTAGTTTGCTAATTAGGGTAATGGCCTCCAGCTCCATCCCTGTTGCTGCAAAGGACATGCTCTCATTTGTTTCTCATGTCTGTGTGGTATTCCATGGTGTATATGTACCACATTTTCTTTATCCAGTCTACTGCTGACGGGCATCTAGGTTAATTCCATGTTTTTGCTATTGTGAATAGTGCGGTGGTGAACATATGCGCATATGTGTTTTTATGGTAGAATGATTTACATCCTTTGGGTATATACCCAATAATGGGATTATTGGGTCGAATGGTAGTGTTGCCTTGAGTTCCTGTAACATGCATTTTTTTCTATCAGTATTCTGTTATATTTATGAACATACAAGCCCTAAGCTGAACCACCTTTTGCTTTCTTGACTTTTACTGCTTTTCCTTGAGCTAATAACTGTTATGGTTTTTATTTGCCTAGATATCTGTGCTTACTGCTCACATGGTCAGAACGATCCATTATTCTGTCCACCTTTGCTTCCTGAAGGAGCCTCCTGCTCTGCTGAGCTGCCCCAGCCTGGCTGGGTGCCTCAGGCCCGAGCACCACTTCCCCAGGCTCACCCTTCACCATCTCCCTGGCATCCCTCTGCCTCTCCGGGGCTGGATCCCCTGTTTCCCGTAGGCAGAGTCCTCTCTTTCTCTGTCTGGTGAAGTGCTTTCTGCACTATATGCTGGGGATTGGGTGTGTGACATTTCTTTCTGAGTTTTGGATGTCAGAAAATGTCTTTATTCTTAACCCATATTTGATTAAACACCACATATATTTGAATACTAAACTGGACATCAGTCTTCATTTGAATTTTAATACATTGATCTATTATTTTGTAGCCTTCCACTATGTTATTGAGAAAATGGAAACTACTCTCATTCTAACTTTTTTAATATGGTAGAAATATACACTCCCGATTCAAAATTATCAAAGACTGTGGTTTGTTGCTAGAGAGAAAGAGGAAGAAATGTGATTGGCTCAAATCTCTAGTCTTCTCAGTACTTCGAAGTTTACCTTGGATTTCGCAGTATTTTATTTTTAAAATGTACCTATGTGGTCATATGTAATGCATCCATGTGGTCACATGTATATTATGTTTGTTACTTCTATTTGCTACATGGCATTCCATGGTAAGCACCTAT